>NC_000008.11:28041920-28344951 GCF_000001405.40 Homo sapiens | reverse complement strand
GCTTGAGGAAGTTGTGGAAATGTGTTTAAACGTTTAAGGTATATTTAAAATAAGAGTTCGAGGTGGTGGTGGGGCAGGTGGAAGGCCCCACAGGATCTTTTCCGCACTGAGTCATCTGGTGGGGAGAAGCAGGAGCTATAGGAAGAGGCTCTGGGGAATAGGGAAGGCAAAGAGGCAGGAGCTTTGGGGATTGTGAAGTGTCTCTTGGGGCGGGTTGCAGGGACCCTTCACATTGCTGGCCAGTGGGGGTGTCATGCCCAGGCACTTCATTATGGCCTGAGTCAGCCACGCCCAGCAGCCCACAAAGCAGTTTCTTTTTCCCTCCTTTTGGCCTTTTTTTTAATATCTTGGGGGTGCAGTCAGGGACTTCCTTCTCCCCTTCTCTGTGTCCTTGTTCCAGCTCATCCCTCTAAGAACACCTCGAATAGAATTACCTGTTCTACTGCGTTTACCAAGTCCCCCTCCAAGTTAGCTACCTGCCTTCTCCATCTGTAGCTCACCCCCTACCCCTACCTTCGCAGCTGCATCAGTGGATCGACCCCCCAACTTTCCAGCTTCTGGTTGGATTTGGCTGACAGACATCAGGCTGGAGTTTGAAAGTGGGGGTATTGAATCCTGGCTCCCACAGTGTGTGAGTAAATGGCTGTATTTCTCTACTGAAAGCTATGGAGAGCTAGAGTCCTTGTGGGTCCAGGAACTCCCTTACCCCTACCAGGGCTCTCCGGCTCCCAACAGAGCACCTTTCCATCCCTTGCTGATCTTCTGTAACCCTGCCCATTCGTGTAGACGGTTAACTCTCCCCGACAGACTCGGTTTGGTTTGCCTCGTGTTTCTCGGCTGGACTCTGGCAGTGACACACCCTAACGTGGGAAGCTGGAGATAAAAGTGGCATCAGCAGGTTTCTCTCCGCCCTGCTCCTTGCTGTGTGTCCCAGTCCATTGGACCCAAACCAGCAGGATCTGCACCACCTGGAGCTTGGTAAAAAGGCAGATTTCTACCATCTGAAACTGGGGGTGGGGCCAGCAGCCTGCCTCTCTGCGGTGCTGATGCACGCAGGGGTTTGGAGAGCCCCTGCCCTCTCTCCACCCTGTCCGTTCACACAGCCATGTGCATTCATTCCCCCACCTGTTGCACTCGGATCTGGGCACTGTGCCGTCGGGGTGCACCTTGCCCATTCTCTCTTTTTTTTTTGAGACTGAGTCTTGCTCTGTCTCCCAGGCTGGAGTGCAATGGCACAATCTTGGCTCACTGCAACCTCTGCCTCCCGAGTTCAAGTGATTCTCCTGTCTCAGCCTCCTGTGTAGCTGGGATTACAGGCACGTGCCACCACGCCTGGCTAATTTTTTATATCTTTAGAAGAGACAGGGTTTCACCATGTTGGCCAGGCTGGTCTTGAACCCCTGACCTCATGATCCACCCGCCTCAGCCTCCCAAAGTGCTGGGATTATAGGCGTGAGCCACTGAGCCCAGCCTGCCTATCCTCCTTTCTACACAGCAGTGCCATGCGCTTTTTACCTCTGCCTCCCGGGAGCGGCAGCGCTGGTTGTGTGTGTGCAGAGTCTGCTTCTGTCACTTCACTTAAAAACAGCAAACCAATTTATTAACCATTTGCTCAGTAGAAGTTTAATGGAGAAATCGTTGTTTAAAACAATCAGTCAAAAAGAACAGCTCTTTTACAAACAAGTTATGGCAGTGGCAAGTCAAAACCCCAGGTTCAATTTCCTATTCCTTTCACCTGCCCCTAGAAGGGGCAAGAGGCGGGTGAGCAGGAGAGATGGGGCTATTGAAATGGTAGCTAGAGGAATTACAAAAATACACTCTGATGTAGCAACAGGGTTGTGGTGAAACATGCCAGGGGGCTGGGGAGGAACAATCAGACGGGAAGGTTCTGGAGGCAAACGAAGCCTGCGGGATCTGCAGGCGCTCAGTGCCTTGGGGAAGAAGGAATCCTGATTCCCAGGCGGCAGGTCTGGGGCTGAGCACATGCTGTTTGGGGGATCACCTGGACGCCTGGGGAGACAGAAATGGTTAAAAAATGGCAAACCTGATGGTTTTTCTGACCCTTTTCTATTCCCCCTAGAGACGGAAGCAGTGAAAGGGAGGCAAAGAAAAGCTATCAACCCAAGTAAATCGTTCCTAACGTAGCCAGAGGGGTCCTCAGCATCTCCGCACATCTGCTCCCCCAGCCCCGGGTCTACTGGCTGGACTAATAGACTAAACGGGAGGTCTGTAGGCTGTGACTCGATAGGCACAGTGGCAAGCCCCTTCCCGGGGAACAGTTCTTGCTGGTATTCGGAGCCCATGCGAAATAGTGCCCTTGTTTTACAGTTCTTTTCTTTGCAAGTGCTCTTTGAGCCTGATGGCACTGATAACCTGACCACGAATGAATGTGCTCAGTTTCCATTGCCTAGAAGGGTCAAAGTCTAAGGGTAGCAGAAAAGAGGAAGGTAGTATAGGGTCAGGGGAAAGGAAGGCAGAACCCTAAGACCAGCTGTGACAAGTTCTGTCTAGAGGTGGGCCTGCACCCCAACACCTTTCCTTCCTAGGACATCATTACACTTTCTGAATAGTGTTCTTTTTTTTTTTTTTTTTTTTTTGAGATGGGGTTTCTTTCTTGTTGCCCAGGCTGGAGTGCAATGTGCACAATCTCGGCTCACTGCAACCTCCGCCTCCTGGGTTCAAGCGATTCTCCTGCCTCAGCCTCCCAAGTAGCTGGGACTACAGGCACCCACCACAACGCCCGGCTAAGTGGCTAATTTTTGTATTTTTAGTAGAGACGGGTTTTCACCATGTTGGCCAGGCTGGTCTCAAACTTCTGACCTCAGGTGATCCACCAGCCTCGGCATCCCAAAGCACTGGGATTATAGGCATGAGCTACCGCGCCCGGCCCTGAATAGGGTTCTTTATCCCATTCCAGTGTAAGGTGGCCCCACTTCTTCCCAGCCTTCTCCATGTCTATTAGTATTAGGTATCTTAGAAGTCAAGGACAGCATTGGTAACAAGAGTCCCCCAAGATGGAGACATCTCCATCATGTGTAGGGCAGGTTGGGGTGTGTGTATGTGGATGAAAACAAGGTTGAAGCCGGCTGTTATAGACTTATAAATATCCATATTGGAACTCACCAACTGTGCATGTTGGGGGAAAAGAAGCAGAGAGATGGTTGCAGAAGGAGAAAGGAGAGTCATCAATAATACCCAAATGAGCTGGTTAATGTTTCCAGTTTCCATCCAGAACTTGACATTTGAGCAGAGCCACAGACAGAAGCTCCTTACTGGCTTTGTTTCAGTGCCTCTCAGTTGGAAGCATAATAGAAGATTAGAAAAACCAATTGCCTGGATAGAGGCTCAAATCATTTTTTAAAAAATAAATGGATTCCTGTTAATGGGCCTGATTTTCAACTGTGTTTAGGTAAAGAACATTGCCATCGTTCAGAATTAGACATGAGCTTCAGTGTCCCTGAAGAGCCACTTTAAAGAAGAATGTCTTTAAGATTTGAAAGAATTCAACCCATGCTACTTCTGAACGATTTACTGTTAGGTGCTGTGCAGATATGTGTTAGAAAGAAATAGGAGGCTTGTGAAGGATCCAAGAGTGAGTATGACTTCAAAAGCAGTGCAGGTTAATTTGGGGCCTTTGGAGATGAGTCATCCTGCTAAAATAAACACATCAGCTTTCTCTTCACAACTTAATACACGTGTCCATATTTGGTAACAGGCCCGTGGTGAACATGTTGGCCTACCTGCAAAGGGGCCGTCTCCATGCTAAAGTGTGGGCACCAAACATTAGCATATGTACTAATAGATCATCAAGGAAGGTTATTAGTGACACGGCTACCTCTGACACATGGGACGCAACTTAAAATAGCACATGCAGACATTTTTCTCTTATGCTCGGACTCAGGGAAAAGCCCCACTTGGGTAATGTTTTGGGGTGATTTTGATGATCTGACTGGTTCTTTGTGTTAGGACAATGATACAGTTTAGAAGTTTGTCCTCTTCCAATTTCATGTTGAGATGTGATCCCTAATGTTGGAGGTGGGCCTAGTGGGTGGTGTTTGGGTCATGGGGGTGGATCCTTCAGGAATGCCTTTGTGCCCACCCTATGGTAATGAGTTCGTGGGAGATCTGGTTGTTAAAGAGGCTGGGACCTCCCCTTTTCCCCCTCTTGCCCCCTCTTGCCATGTGGCACGCCAGCTCCCCTTGCCTTCTGCCATGAGTAAAAGCTCCCCGAGGGCCTCACCAGAAGCAGATGCGGGTGCCATGCTTCTTGTATAGACTGCAGAACGTGAGCCAAATAAACTTTGTTTATGAAGTACCCAGCCTCAGGTATTCCTTCGTAGCAATGCAAAATGGATGAATATGGCAAGTTTCTTAGCTATTTAAGGAGACGTATGGGACTCTGCAGATGATCATATTCCCATATACAAATTAAGGCACATAGCCTTGATGGTTGGGAGTTTCCTAAATTTTCAGAAAATTCTACTGTGCTAGGTTGCCAATGCCACTCAAAGTGATGTATTGGTTGATATCCTAAGGAAAGTTGGGTTTTGAATGAACAGGCAATCAGTTAGGGTATTTGATGTATATTATGAGACATGTGGACTTGTATAAGGTGCCTGTGGGTATAGGAACAGAGCAGAAGAAAGAGAGAACAAGGAAGAAAGAGAGGAATAAAAGCAAGCAAACAAAACCAAAACAAAAATGGCACGCTGGAAAGAAGCCAAATGGAGGAAAGAAGATGAACCCCTTTAGTCCATATTCTAGTAGCTACTAGGTCCATTGGACCAAATTCTCCACGTCTTGCTCAGTAATGATACCGTTGACCACAAGGAATCAGTCCCTCTCTGGCAAGGTGGCAGGATGGACAAATGGCTTGTGGAAGGAGGAAGAGCAGAAACCACAACTCCTAATCTTAACAGGAACTCTTTGTCCAGGTAAAATGGGAAACTTTAATGTTTCCATGGAGCCAGGCACCCTGAGAGCTGGGGAAAGGAGAGGGGATAGGTAAGCCGTCTTTGAAGATGAAATAGCACCATCATAGCTGTGGTAATTGGACTCTGCTAATGGCTAAGAGTAGGTCCCACTCTTGGTGTTTAGAGAGACAATCTCGAGGAAAGGTGAGCTGACTGGTTGCTGTGGCAACTGGATGGGCGTATTGGTCCACTTAACTGTCCCCATAGTAACTAAGCTCCTGGGGAGTGATAGAGGAATTAGTTATCTTAACATACTACTATTATCCCCATGGTAACCAGTCTCTAGCCGGAAGTGGTCAGCTTCAAGGTGCAATCATAGGAAAATCTGCTGCCTAGAGAAAGGGTGGGCTGGACTCCTTGCGGGGTGTGTGTGTGTGGAGTGGGGAGGGGGCGGGGAGATGAATGTGCTTCTAGGCCTGGGAGCAAGGCTAAGACAGTTGGTGTGTGAGGTCTCTCCTTGCCCCCAGCTTATTGGTGCCCAACTCACTCATGGGTTGCAGTGGCCGGTACAGCTGGGAGGAGCGCCCCTTCCGGCTACACATTACCATTCTGGTGCAGGGTGCGCCGGCGCTGGCTGGACTGCATGCTCAGGACCAAGTATTGCCTCATAAACTCACTGAACCGCTTCTGATTGGCCAACTTCCTGGCCGACTTCCGGGCCCCGGTGAAGCCCCCAAATCTCTTCTGCAGCTGCTTCTGCTCCATCTCACCAGCCTCCTCCATGCCAGGCTCGGGCTCTTCCTGCTCCTGGAACAAGCTCCGGACTCGGGGCATTCGCCGCAGATGCTGCATCTCCGAAGCTCTCGGCTGGTAGAGAGCAGCCGCCACATGCTCTGGGGCGGCAGGGCTGAGCTGCCAAGAGCTCCTGGCCATGACCTTGGTGCATGGAGTCCAGAGGGGGCTGGGGAAGACCTTCTCTTCACACTCGAGGATGCACACCTGCAAAGATACGGGTGAGAGGAGGGGAGAAGGAACAAGGACCTCTGTTAATCCAGGGCGAGGGAGGAGATCTGGCCCACTGCACCAGTGCAAGTGCTTCTGAAGCATCTAAGTTATCAAGTAACGTGGAGCAGTTTTACACAGGTTTTAGGTTCGTAGAATTTCAGAATTGGAAACAAACAGAGAATCATCTGACCCAGCTCCATCATTTTACAAAGAAACCAGGGCTCAGAGAGGTGAGCGTAACTTACCTCTGGTGTCACAGCACGTTAACATAGGAAGTTAACACAGGATAAATGCGCCCAACACCGCACCTTGTTACATCTTTAGTCGGGTTTTTGGAGCCAAGCACAGCTCATGACTGTCACCCATAAAGAATTTTATTTTGTTCTCTCTTCAGGCTTGTGGGAGGTCACATGGGTTAAAGAAATTGGGGATGTGAAAGTATGTAGTCAAATCTGCAGGTTTATTTTAAGGTCACCATGTAAAGATCTACCTAGGTGTTGTTAATTTTTCATCCCGCGTACAGCAGTCGTCACTATCTGTGTATCATTTATAGCAAATGGGGTCAAGACCCTGTGGGGTGGTAGGCCGGCTGGACGTGCGGGGCTGAACCTGTGATCCAGTTCCAGGTGTGGGGAGAGATGCCATCATCAGACCAGAGCCCAGCAGACCCGCTCGGCTCCTAGGAACACTCTGCTCTGCCTCTCCTGCCAACCCTGACTTCTAGCCACCAGCTGGACCACGATGTTTCTCCAGCCCCTCTTGGCTGGTTCTGACCTTGGCCCCCCACCTCCCACGTTCTTGGTTCTGATTGGGTCTCCTGGAAGCCTCTGCCCCCAGCTTTTCTTCCTATTTGCTGTTTTGGCTTCACCCCTAATTTCAGTCCAGGTTTCTGGCCTTAGCCGGCTGGAAACCCCACTTCAACCTGACCTTACTGCTGTGAGTCAGTAGGCAGAGCTCCTCATCATAGCGTGGAGCTCCTGCCTGGCTTCCAGGTCACCTTCTGGGGCAGAGGCTGCAACTGGCCCGTATTCATCTCCCCTTCTCCTTATGCACAGAACACTGTTTTATTCCTAAAGGCAACGTATATGTTTCCCAAGCTTCCTTGGAGCCATAAGTAGCTGACGACATAAAAATGGAAGTGTAGGCCGGGTGCGGTGGCGCACGCCTGTAATCCCAGCACTTTGGGAGGCCGAGGCGGGTGGATCACGAGGTCAGGAGATCGAGACCATCCTGGCTAACATGGTGAAACCCCATCTCTACTAAAAATACAAAAAAAAAAAAAAATTAGCTGGGCGTGGTGGCGGGCGCCTGTAGTCCCAGCTACTCAGGAGGCTGAAGCAGGAGAATGGCGTGAACCCGGGAGGCGGAGCTTGCAGTGAACCGAGATCGTGCCACTGCACTTGACGCTGGGCGACAGAACGAGACTCCGTCTCAAAAAAAAAAAAAAAAAAAGGAAACGTAATCCCAGAACTTTGGGAGGCCAAAGCAGGCGGATCACTTGAGGCCAGGAGTTTGAGACCAGCCTGGCCAACATGGCAAAAACCCATCTCTGCTAAAAATACAAAAATTAGACGGGTGTGGTGATGGCTGCCTGTAATCCCAGCTACTGGGGAGGCTGAAGCAAAAGAGTTGCTTGAACCTGGGAGGCGGAGGTTGCGGTGAGCTATCATGTCACTGCACTCCAGCCTGGGTGACAGAGTGAGACTTTGCCTAAAAAGAAAAAAAAGGTGATCGGGCATCAGATGGGGTTTCCAAGAAAGTAGGAGACTGACTTAAGTGGGAAGAACATTCCGTTTTCCTCTTCCTCCAACTTTCTGTTTGGAATGTGGACATTTGGGCTGACATTGTGTTTGCCATCTAGAAACCATGCAGCGACTCAAAGGATGGGAGTCATGGGCTAGAAGCTGCCGACTGGCAGAGAAGAGAGAGGAGACTGGAGCTGCCACTGCAGCCCTGGGCTGTTCCCTTCTCACTCCTTGTGAGGAACTGAATCTATTGATTTCAGCCGCTGTCACTTTAGATGTTTGTTACTAGCAGGTGAATTTCATTCTTATCTGATATATTTGTCCTTCTGCTTGGCCTCTCGGTCCCTGTCTCTGAGTGGCACCTCACTCCCCAGTTGACTCAGATTTCAAACCCTGGGCATATCTTTTCCTCCTCTCTCACTGCCCCCATCCTGCCAGTCTACAGTTCTGCCCCTCCTCCCACTCCCTCTACCACCGCCTAAGTGCCTCTTAGGTGAAGTGGGTCCCTAACTGATCTCCGCATCTCTGGTCTTTGCCACTGTCATCAGTGTGGTACCCCTGGCAGGATACTCTTCCTGAAGAGTAACTAATCATGTCATTACCTTGCTCACAGCTGTCTAATTGTTTATCATATCCATAAAACAGCTCCAAACTCTTGAGCAAAGCATTCAAATCCCTCTACCACCTGGTCCAGCCCACCATCTAGGTCTTATTTCCGATTCTTCATCACACACCCCTTGAGGCCTATGAGGCTGTTCCTAGTGCCTTAAACACCGCAAAGCTCCTCGCACCTGCATGCCTTTCTCTCTGTCCCTTGGATGCAATGACCTCCTTGCATCCTTCCATCCATCCTTTGGGACCCAGACAAGCTCCAGTGCTGCCCCTCTCTGATAACTTCTAGTTCCCTGGCAAGAATCACTCTCTCCTGCCTCTGTCTTCCCACAGAACTTTGTATTCCTCTTGTGGAAATTTTAATGCTTTATGTCATTAAATTGCAATACCTTCTAAGGCGGAATATGACAAGTTAGGGACCACATCTTACTCATGTGTGAATCCCTTGCAGGAATCTTCTCCTTCCAGTAAAGAGTAGGGTTCCAGTAGAGGTTAGTTGAACTGAGATGAATTAATCAAGAAGTCACTCTATATTTAGCTAAGAGTATAAAAGAAGGGAATGAAAAGAGGTGAGAAAGAGTCCCTGGAAGAACAGGGGTCGCAGCTAGTTGCAACCAGGACTGGGACGCCCCTAGTGCTTAGCATGCGCACTGTTGCAGGCAGCTCCTGTCACCCTGCTGCCACCCTTTGCTTATCTGATTACTCATCTGTCCCATTAGTCCAGGATTCCAGGATTCTTTTATTCTTTTTTTTTTTTCCTTTGGAGACAGAGCCCACACCTGGTCTAAAGGGTCCCACACCTGGATGTGAGTCCCAATCACCTGCAGAGCTTTTAAAAACAGAATTTCGGCTAGGCGCAGTGGCTCATGCCTATAATCCCAGCACTTTGGGAGGCTGAGGCGGGCGGATCATCTGAGGTTGGGAGTTTGAGACCAGCCAGACCAACATGGAGAAACCCTGTCTCTACTTAAAATACAAAAAATAAGCTGGGCGTGGTGGTGCATGCCTGTAATCCCAGCTACTCAGGAGGCTGAGGCAGGAGAATCGCTTCAACCTGGGAGGCGGAGGTTGTGGTGAACCGAGACTGTACCACTGCACTCCAGCCTGGGCAACAAGAGTGAAACTCCTACTCAGAAAAAAACAAAACAGAATTTCAAGACTCAACTAAATCTCTGAAGAATAGAAGCAGGGATTAAAACTTATTTTTACAAAGGAATTAAAAACTTAATTTTACAAAGTTCAGGTAATTCCGATATTTGCCTGGGTTTGCAAATCATGAATATAATTCAACCTTTGCATTTTATGATGTGGTTGAGTAATGTGTCCAAAACAACACGGTTAGATAACAGTATAACCTGAACAAGAACTCAAAGATGCCTTGTGGCCCAGTCCAAGACATCTACTCAGCTACCTCTGTGTGCTTGCAATATGAATTGGTGGCAATTAATGCAAGAAGAAGGATTCTATGAGACCAAGAGCTGAGGTTTGGATGGGAGTATTGCCTATGTTCCACTGGACTGGAAGGGACAGGCAGGGACTAGGTCTGACAGGAGTGTCCCTTTCCTTCCCTGGCAGGGTTTCCAAGAAGCAACCTGTCCAAGTCCACCTATTAGTCACAGGAGGTGACACTGGCCCCTAGTGATGCTCACGCCGTGGTTTTTCTGAGCATGGCTTTTTCATTTAGCTTTTGCTCAGAGATGCTTAACACATGGAACCTAGTTGCTGACAGAATGACCTCAGCAGGGAGAGGAAGGGAACTACTTTTTCACACCTGCAATGTTACTGATTATAAAAAATGATAGGTAACTTCCATAGATAGGGAGGGCTGCCTTAAGAACAATGAAGTTGCAAACTTCTGGAGTATTCTATAAAAATTGCTACTGTGCTGGGCATGGTGGCTCCCGCCTATAATCCCAGTACTTTAGGAGGCCAAGGAGGGAGGCGCCTTTGAGCCCAGGAGTTTGAGAGCAGCCTGGGCAACATAGGGAGACCTCAGCTCTACAAAAATAAAAATGTTAGTGGGGTGTGGTGGTGCATGCCTACAGTTCTAGCTACTTGGGAGGCTGAGGTGAGAGGATTGCTTGGGCCTGGGAAGTCAAGGCTGCAGTGAGCTGAGATTGCTGTACTGCACTCCAGCCTTGGTGACAGAACGGGACTGTCTCAAAGAAAAAAAAATGCTACTGGAGTTTGTTAGAATGCAAATTTTTAGCCTAAAGCATTGGAGATTCTGATCCACTAAGTCAAGGGTGGGGCCCAGAAATTTGTATTTTTAGCAATAGCTCAGGTGATTCTGAGACTGGATGATACCTGGAGAAATCCTGTTTTGGAACTTGCTCTGAGGAGGAAGAAGCCATCACAGAACACGGTGGTTAAAGACTCCTACAGAGAAAGAGTCACCTGGGTCTGTACTTAGCCTGCTCCTGAAATACTTGGAAGAAAACCAGCTAGAATCAATGTGTAGTATATTCTTTCAGATCAGAATCCTGTCGAGTTAGTACTCTACAGGCGTGGATCTCAACTGGGAGTGATTTTGCCCACTAAGGGGCCATTTGGCAATCTCTGGAGACATTGTTGGTTGTCAGAACTGGTGTGTGTGTGTGTGTGTGTGTGTGTGTGTGTGTGTGTGTTACTGGCACCTAGAGGCCAGGGATGCCAGTAAACATCCTAAAGTGCCCAGGACAACCCCCACAACAAATAATTCCCCAGTCAAAAGTGCCCATAGTGGCAAGTTTGAGAAACTCTGCTCTACAAAGTCAACAGGGATGCAGAGAAGTGTGGCTAGCACTGGGAAAGTCATAGAAGGGTAGAGTGGGGGAGCTGGATCTGACTTTTGAGCATGCTTGGCCCAATCCTTGCAGAACAGGAGCCCCAAACTGCTTGTTGAATTTTTCTGCTCCGTCAGTTTATGGAAACAAGTGGAAGAGTTGTTAAACTTGGAGGTGCTTAGATCTTCTGTGAGCCCCTGGGTTTCCAAGCCCAGATAGTAATTAGATTTTGTGTCAGTCAGAGAAAATGAAATTGTGTGATCAAACCAGATGCCACAGTCCATACCCAGACTTGATGCACTGTTAGATAAATTAGATGCTAACAAAATCATCTCAACTCTTGACTTAGGAGAGGGTTTTGGGCAAATAGGAGGAAGCTAAATTCACAACGCATTTGTAGCACCAGATGGGCATAGGAGCTTAATGCCTGACCCTCTGGTGCGGGGAACTCACCAGCCTTTTTCCAGAGATGGGTTAATGGCTTATTAAGTGAGCTGGACACGTTTTGGCAGCCCACGCTGATGGCATTGCTATATTAAGCCAGAATGCGTATGGGCATCTGGAGTCTCAGATGGCTGCCAAATTCATCTGTAAAGCTGGGCTTATGGGGAAAGTGAACAAATGGCCTTTTGGGTGTCTGGGCTCAAAGATTAGGGTACAAAGTGGGAAACAGGCATATGAACCCATTGGGGATGAAAGGAGCAGCTCACAAAGGTGGTCAAGTTTCTGCCACTAAAGAGTCACACCACTTCTGACCAAGAGACATTTGGGAGCTATTTGCTTTGTGAGGTCCTGCTAGAATATCTGAGGACAAATACAGCAGATGAGCATAGAAGACAAACATATAAGGAACTCCTACTGCAAGTCACCTCATTAGAATTTTCATCTCATGAAGATAGAAAGAACTACCAGAAGGTAGCTCGTTTTGCAGTAGAATTTTAGGGAATTTTATTGATTGATTGAGACAGAGTCTTACTTTGTCCCCCAGGCTGGAGTGCAGTAGCATGATCTCAGCTCACTGAAATCTCTGCCTTTTGGGTTTAAGTGATTCTTCTGCCTCAGCCTCCTGAGTAGCTGGGATTACAGGCATGCATCACCATGCCCAGCTAATTTTTGTATTTTTAGTAGAGACAGGGTTTCGCCTTGTTGGCCAGGCTGGTCTAGAACTGCTGGCCTCAAGTGATCCACCTGCCTCAGCCTCCCAAAATGCTGGGATTACAGGTGTGAGCCACTGCACCAGGCCAAATTTTAGGGAGTTTGAAATAAATTTCCCCACACTCTTTCTTGGGATTGGTTGCCTTATTTTTGTCTCTAAAACAACTCAGTGAATCCAGTTTTTTCTCCTTGAGCTGATGAAGTAAGTACCATTCACAATTAGGTTAAAGGCCAGGACGTTGCAATGGATTTGGGTGTGAGTCATTTACCAATAAAAATTATAGTCTAACAACAAGCAGCCATACTCAAATAGTCTACTAGGAGCAGAAATAAAAAGTTTCTTGATGAAGCCAAGGATCCAGAGGATCCTGGGAATAGCTCAGGATTATGTAATTTGGTGGAAGGACTGGGGAAGTGACCCTTGCTGAAATATGAGTCCCCTGATCATTCACAGAATGGACATAGTCAAAGGCTGCCAGATTTGGAAATGGATTTGAGTGCCTACATTCTAGGCATTTCATTAAACTTAAACATAGGTTAAAAGTGAATACAAACTAGAAACAAAAACAAGCAGGCAGCCACATCCTCCGGGGGGTTAGCGAGCACTGTGAAGGTGTTAGTCCCCCATTGTGAGGCTTTTACAGGTCCATTTTCTGACTTGTTTCAAAGAAGTAGAGCTGATAATGTTGTCTAGACCCCAGATATTTAAGATGCTATGGAGAGATGCAGACATGCTCCAAATTTTTGAGTCTCTGAAAGATGGAAATGTAAAACCTTTACAGAGACTGCAGCAGATGTGCCTATTAGGAGACTAATGGTCTTAGAATCTTCCAATTTCCACGGGATGGGATGTGTTTATTGAGCTATGCTCTGTGCCACACACTGTGCTGAGTGCTGGGATACCCAGATCCATCAGTAAAGAAAGCTCACTCCATATGGGGAGAGAGAGTCCTGCAGATACAACTAACAATCAGAACATGAGGAAGGAGGGCCCACTCCACTGGGGTGGGTGGAGAATCAGTGCAATGTTCTCTTACCAGAGGACACTTAATCTGGGATTTGAAGTGCGACTGGGATTTATGGATGGGGGAGGAGGCTGTGGCAGGCACAATGGCAGGGCAGGAAGAGAAGGCAGGATTTCTGGGAACTATGGAAAGTGATTGGGAACACGGGTCTGGAGCCCAGGTGAGAGGAGTTCAGGAGGATTCCTCTAGGAGTTTTCTGCAGCCTGGGAGGAGCAGAAGGCCTGGGATGTATGGGTGGGTTCTCAGAGGGAGGTGAAAAGCAGAGAATCTTGGCGATCCTTTATGTGTAGGGAGTGGGGAGAGGACAAGGAACCAACACAGTAGCCAGAGTGAGGAAGAGAATGAGGCACATGGACCGAGAGAGGGCTGGTGTTCCTGAAGGAGGAAATCATCAGCAAGGTAGGAGCTCAGAGAGAAACACGGTGGATGAGTAAGAGGAGACATTTACTGTAACCACTTAACCGAGGGCCAACTGTAGACTATATTCATGGAAAGTAATAATGTTAATAACATGGGAAATTGATCCTGGTATAATATAGTAAGTGAATTGGTTAACTGGAGATGCCCTGGGTAGTTATGACTGGTTGGAAAATGGGCTTGAAAACCACTGAGCCCAAGAGCTTGGTGCTTTGGGTCTGCTGGATTTTATCTCCTCCTCTGTTATCTGGAGGTGGGAGACACCAGGGTGTGTTAGTCCCCCTGCAAATACTCGGTTCTACATTTGTACATTTGCCTTAAGGAACTGTGGTGCTTCTGGTGTTTTTGAAAGGTTAAGGGGTTTAAAAGATGGCATCTTTTGAAGGAAGTTATTTGACTATAAAGTAAAAAACAATTGAGCTATACTGGATTTAATAGGAGAGGAGTAACTATCTGGACTGAAATGTAGATAGTTGACAAAGCAGTTTATTTAATGAAGAAAAAGTTAATACTGGATTTGCACCTTAAGTTGGAAATTTAAAATATAAGAGAGCATTTTGGTACTAAGGGGTTCACTGTTGAGTTATCTGCAATATCAAAAATAAAGAGCACAGGCCAGGCGTGGTGGCTCACGCCTGTAAATCCCAGCACTTTGGGAGGCTGAGGCGGGTGGATCATGAGGTCATGAGATTGAGACCATCCTAACACGGTGAAACCCCATCTCTACTAAAAATACAAAAAAAAAAAAAAAAAAGTAGCCGGGTGTGGTGGTGGGCACCTTAGTCCCAGCTACTCGGGAGGCTGAGGCAGGAGAATGGCATGAACCCAGGAGGCAGAGCTTGCAGTGAGCCGAGGTTGCGCCACTGCACTCCAGCCTGGGCGACAGAGCAAGACTCCGTCTCAAAAAAAAAAAAAAAATAAAATAAAATAAAATAAAATAAAATAAAATAAAGGGCACATACCTGTTCAGTGGTTAAACAAATTACACGGTCCTTCTGTATCCACAGGGGATTGGTTTCAGGATACTAAATCTGCAGATGCTCAAGTCCCTTATATAAAATGGCTATGCGGAGGGGCACGGTGGCTCATGCCTGTAATCCCAGCACTTTGGGAGGATGAGGTGGGTGGATCACTTGAGGTCAGGGGTTCAAGACCAGCCTGGCCAATGTGGTGAAACCCGTCTCTACTAAAAATATAAAAAATAGCGGGGCGTGGTGGTGGGCGTCTGTAATCCCAGCTACTTGGGAGGCTGAGGCAGAAGAATTGCTTGAACCTGCGAGGTGGATGTTGCAGTGAACTGAGATCGCACCACTGCATTCCAGCCTGAGTGACAGAGTGAGACTCTGTCTCAAAAAAAATGAATAAATAAAAATAAAAATGATCAATAAAATGGCTATGCACATCCTCCTGTACACTTTAAATCATCTCTGGATTACTTATAATACTTAATATAATGTAAATGCTATTTAAGTAGTTGTTATGCTGTATTGCTTTATTTGTATTATTTTTCATTGATGTATTAGTATTTTTTATTTTTTTCTGAATATTTTCTATCCATGGTTAGTTGAATCCTTGAATGTGAAACCAGTAGATACCAAGGGCCAACTGTAGACTATACTCATGGAAAGAAATAATAACATGAGAAATTTATCCTGGTATAATATAGTAAGTGAAAAAAAGTAGGATTCTTTCTCTGACTGGTGTAATTAAGGAGGATTTAAATTTCTCTTGTTTTATACTTTTCTGAATTTGCCAAACTCTCTGAAATGAGTAACATTATTTTAATCCTGGGAATGACCTGGCATCACAGGCAGGGCTCTTCCTGCAGGTGGTAAGGTGGAAAGATCGTAAGGTTCTGGGTCAGAAGAGCAGCTCCTGTCTGATCTGTTTCCTATGGGCCATGTAATGCTGAGCAAGTCCTGTGAGCTGTGGGAGAGGCCTTGGCTTCTCACTCAGAGTCTGCTCTGGAGTAGGGAGGGAGGAGGTAGTCAGGGAGGAGGACAGCCTCTCTGCCTTGCCTTGGAGACCTACCTCCAGGTCGAAGCTGTCCAGGGCTGGGTGGAGCTTCTCCTGGCATGTGAGACAGTCCCTCTGACAACTGCTGAACACACTGGAGAAGAGACTGAGCAGCAGCAGGTCACAAAGCAGGACTTTCATGGTGCAGGAGCAGGAAGCAGGTGCTGGAACATACAGGAAGCATGGCAATGAGTACAGCCATTCTCGGAGGGCTGCTCAGGGCCAGAGACCTAACCCAGAGAATGCAGGAAAGACACTTCTCTGCTGTCTCTGGCAGGATGGCACTAGGGGCCTGTGATTCACTTTGCAGGGGTGTAAATTGTCAAGGCCATAGGCGACCCTGCCTATCACCTAGGCTCAGTGTTCATGTAGAGGCTTGTTAGTGTGTCTGGGTTCCTGGGTTAGTCCTGGGTGGCAGGACACCCCTGTGATTCCTGCCACCTGGCTGGCCTCGACACCTCATAGGCACTTTTGGGAGCAGCTGTGTGGTGGCAGAGATAGCTTTCTTGGGAGCTAAAGGCATCGCTTTGCAGTTTACCAGCATGTGACATTAAATCAACCACTTTGAGCCTCAGTTTTCATAGCCCATAAAAGGGGAACAGTGGCACCTGCCTTATCACAGGCCTATTGTGAAGATGAAATGAGATCTGTAAGGGGAGTTTTGCAAAGTGCTGTGCAAAAGTAAGATGAGTAAAATATGACATTTATTAATGACTCAAATGCTTCCTTTCATCCTCCTGGCCTTCCCTGCTGCAGCCAGGAATGCCCCCAACCCCCCATACCCCGAATTCTCTCTTCCAGGTACTTGCCTCTTATCCCTGTTAGATGTGAGCTAGTGCTATGGTCTATCTCTGTCTCCCTAAAATTCCTATGTTGAAATCCTAACCTCCAACGTGATGATATTAAGAGATGGGATCTTTGGGCCAGGCACAGTGGCTCATGCCTGTAATCCCAGAACTTTGGGAGGCCAGGGCAGGTGGATCACTAGAGGTCAGGAGTTCAAGACCAGCCTGGCCAACATCATGGCAAAACCCTGTCTTTACTAAAAATACAAATATATATATATATCCGGGTGTGGTGGTACACACTTGTAATCCTAGCTACTTGGGAGGCTGAGGCGAGAGTATTGCTTGAACCTGGGAGGTGGAGGTTGCAGTGAGCCGAGATTGTGCCATTGCACACCAGCCTGGTTGACAGAGTGAGACTCTGTCTCAAAAAAAAAAAAAAAAAAAAAAAAAAGAGAGAGAGAGATGGAACCTTTGGGAGATGATGAGATCACAAGACTAGAGCCCTTATGAATGGGATTAGTGCCCTTATAAAAGAGGCCCCAGAGAGCTAGCTAGTCCCTTCCACCACTTGAGGACACAGCAAGAAGGCAAAATCTAAGAGCCAGGAATAGACCTTCACCAGACACTGAATCTGCAGGCACCTTGATCTCAAACTTCCCAGCCTCCAGGACTGTGAAAAAGTTGTTTCTGTTGTTGGCAGGGCAGAGTGGCTCATGCCTGTAATCCCAGCACTTTGGGAGGCTGAGGCAGGTGGATCACTAGAGGTCAGGAGTTCAAGACTAGCCTGGCCAACATGGTGAAACCCCATCTCTACTAAAAATACAAAAATTAGCCAGAAATTGCTTGAACCCAGGAGGCGGAGGTTGCAGTGGTCCAAGATCACGCCACTGCACTCCAGCTTGGGTGACAGAGCAAGACTCCATCTCAAAAAAAAAAAAAAGAAAAGAATTTTATGTTGTTTATAAGCCACCCAGTATACGCTCTTTTGTTACAGTAGCCTGGACAGACTAAGACAGTTGGCTTCCCGAGCAAAGGGCCATGTTATTCACCTTGGCATTCCAGGCCAAGCACAGGCCCTGGCATGTGGAACTTGCTATTTAAAACCGAACAAAGAAACTATTCCAAGATAGTAGCTCCAAGGATTGGTTGATTAGATCAGTGGTTTGCAATCTTATGTAGGATTGCCTGAAAGGTGTGCAGTTTTCACTGTTTCTCCTTGAAACTTATCTTTTGATCAAGGCTTCTAAATCTGAAAGATGCTTCCCTGTACTGTATCATTTTGGGTCCCTGTAGAACCATCTTTAGGTAGAGGATTAAATGGAAAAGGAACAAAGAACTTTCTAGAAATGTAAATGTTCTTGACTGAAGTCGCAGGGGTGTATCCATTTGCCAAAACCCATTGAGTTGTACATTTACATTCTGTGCATTTCACTGTATGCAGTTCCCTTAATAAAGAGTTCAGTGTAGAAAACCAAAAATGACTGCCTTTATTGCTTTTTCTTCAGATGATATTGAGGAACTGTAGAAGGTCTTGGTACTCCAATGCACCCTGCAGACCAGCTGGAATCTTGTTAGAAATGCAGACTCTTGGGCCTCACCCCAGAACCACTGAATCAGGATCTGCATGTCTTTTTGTTTTTGTTTTTGTTTTGAGACAGAGTCTTGCTCTGTCACCCAGGCTGCAGTTCAGTGGCACAATCTCAGCTCACTGCAACCATCACCTCCCTGGTTCAAGAGATTCTCATGCCACAGCCTCCCGAGTGGCTGGGATTACAGGCACATGCCACAACACCTGGCTAATTTTTGTATTTTTAGTGGAGACAGGGTTTCACCATGTTGGCCAAGCTGGTCTCGAACTCCTGACCTTGTGATCTGCCCGCCTCGGCCTCCCAAAGTGCTGAGATTACAGGCATATGCTACCAGGTCCCGCTAATTTTTTGTAAGGATCCACATTTTTAGCAAGATTCCCAGGTGACTTGTATCCATGCCAAAGTTTGGGAAGTGCTGGTATGAGAAGGACGTGAACAAAGGAGGGACCTGCAGCTGAGCCCACCCCAGTTCTTCTTGTGCGTCATCAAAGCATTTCATACCCAGAGGATGATGACTACTGGGGTGCTCAATAAGTGTTTGTTAAATCAATGAATTGACTTTTTGTTTGTTTGAGATGGTCTCGCTCTGTTGCCCAGGCTGGTGTGCAGTGGTGCAATCACGGCTCACTGAAGCGTTGAACTCCTGGGCGCAAGCAATCCTCCCACCTCAGCCTCCCAAGTAGCTGGGAGGATTGTTTGAGCCCAGGATGCTTGGTTAGTTTTTAAATTTTTAGCAGAAATGAGGTCTCGCCATGTTGCCTAGGCTGGTCTCGAACTCCTGGCCTCAAATGTTCCTCCCACCTTAGCCTCCCAAAGTGTTGGGATTACAGGCATAAGTCACTGCACCTGGCCAATGAACTCACATTTGAGACGGGTTTTGAAACAAATAATGAACACAGTGCCTACATAAATGACTGTATCGCAAATGCATTTGAGATTAATTTTTCTTCTCTATCCCAAGGACCAGGGCTTTAGTTGAGATTTATTGCCTTGGTTATTGTAATAGCCTCCTAATTAGTCCACCTAATGATCTGGCTTCCCCCCAAGCCATCTCCAATCTGATGATGTCACCTTATATTTAAACTAATTTTATAACCTTGTTGCTGTCAGGGGGAGCTCCAAGGACTTAGCACTGACCAACTCCTGCTTCATCTCCTGGCACCTAACCTTGCATAGCCTCTAGTCTCAGCCGATCACGTGTAGCTCCCAACTGTATCAGCCTCTTAATGTCTTTCTTTTTTTTTTTTTTCTTTTTCTTTTTTTTTTTTTTGAGACAGAGTCTCACTCTGTCGCCCAGGCTGGAGTGCAGTGGCGCGATCTCGACTCACTGCAAACTCCGCCTCTTAAGTTTAAGTGATTCTCATGCCTCAGCCTCCTGAGTAGCAAGATTACAGGTGCACACCACCACATCCAGCTAATTTTTGTGTTTTTAGTAGAGACGGGGCTTCACATGTTGGCCAGGCTGGTCTTGAACTCCTCACCTCAAGTGATCTGCCTGCCTCGGCCTCCCAAAGTGCTGGGATTACAGACATGAGCCACTGTGCCTGGCTTCTTAATGTCTTTTTATCTTGGCACTTGCTGTTCCCTCTGCCCAGAATATCCTTCTCCAACTCATCCTTCACACACACCTCTAGCATCATCCCTTCTGGGAAGCCATGTCCACCCCCTGGTCTGAGTTAGATCAGTCTCCTCTGCTGCCCTGGCATCTGGAAGAGCACATCATAGTGGGAGGCCAGCGAGCCTCGGGGGCCCCATCTATCAACACAGGCACAACAGACCCACGCTGCAGAGTGGCGGTGATATGCGCTTTCTCATCTGCTAATGACTACAGACTGCCTGCTTCCGATCACAGCTCTGAAGCTTGCTAGCTGTACTTGACCTCTCATTTCCTCATCTGCAAAAATGGGATGAAATTAGTACCTATCTCAGAGGATGATTAGTGGGTTAACGTTTGTAAGCAATTAAAATAGAACTGACAGGCAATAAGAATATATACGAAAGGAAAAGAAGGAAAGAACCTGGCATGCAGCATTCACTCTAACACTCTTTTTTGTTTTTTGAGACGATGTTTCACTCTGTTGCCCAGGCTGGAGTACAGTGGCACAACCTTGGCTCACTGCAACCCACACCTCCCAGGTTCAAGCAATTCTCTTGCCTCAGCCTCCTCAGTAGCTGGGACTCCAGGAGTGCACCACCACCCCCAGCTAATTTTTGTATTATTAGTAGAGATGGGTTTCACCATGTTGGCCAAGCTGGTCTCGAACTCCTGACCTCAGGTGATCCTCCCGCTTCGGCCTCCCCAAGTGCTGGGATTACAGACATGAGCCACCATGCCTGGCCTTACATTTCTCATTCTACTAAGTTTCCGTCTTTCTAGACATTTTTGTAGAATTTGTTCCAAACAGCGTGGCTGTGCCCTCTACAGCCACATGGTGGCAGTGGCTATACGTCGCAGAAGAAAGGGAAGGGAGGAGAAAAGGAGCCGTTTCCTTTCCTTCCTAATATGAGGTTGTAATACAGAATGTGTGCATAGGCTGAGCTGACAAACTGTGACAGATGTTAGCAAAATGCTCTCTGGCTGAGGTTTTTTGTGAACTTCATTAACTGGGGCAACTTGCATGTTCAGGAAATGTTGGCTGGTTTGACTGATGCTTGCCAAAATCTGGGTAAATGGGATTTAAGGGCGAGGTATAAAAGGAAGATGAGCTTCTGGGACACGTAGTACATGTTCCATTTGATAGTCTTCCTGCAGGTGAAATGTGAGGCCCTGCAGCTTGGCACTTAGGGAGACCTTGTTGAGTGTCCTTGGCTCTAGCCAGGACCTCCCTGTGGGTCAGAGGCACGTCTACCTTTCGGACTCCAACCTCCCGACCCTTCTCTGTCTCCCCTCACTTTTAACAATTGACTCCACTGATTATTTGAGGAGCCATCCATATTCAATGCTATCCATTCCCCCCTGCAATTCACAGAATCTGCAAAATGGAGATGACCACATAGTTCCATCCACCCTACAGGTGGCTTGCAAGCTTTAAAATGAGATTAATGTCAGTGAAAACTCAAAATTATGTAAATATCGTTATAGAGACAGCATTCTGTATTTTCTCATACACTTCCCAACACCTACTACAACTGTGTTCTAGGTTAAATCAGATTTTGAACTTTGAAAACTCAGTAGATGTTTTTCATTTGTAAGAAGTCTTGACTATATCTCCATGCTGGATGATGTTCTGTATTTAAATGGAGATGAGTACTTAGTTAATTCACGAGTTGTATTTGTGTTTAAACCTTACACTGTGGACCTGTGTGACTGCAGACAAGTCCTGAGATGGTCAGTCCTTTCAACTACAAAGTGGGGATAATAACAGGTTTGTTGTTACATTGATGCTGAAACTTTATACTTTGTAACGGTGGGACTGTGTGCAAATTATTTCACTTCTGTGAGCCTCAGTCTTCTCAACTGTGAAATGGGAATAGTGACAGGTTGTTGCTATTTTTATACAACCATAGCAAACATCAGTAAATCAAAAGTTACCTGAGTAGGCTGAATTTTCCATGGCTTGTATTTCACTTCGTGAGCCAAGCTCAGCTAATACTTCTATGTGGCAATACTATATTCTGAGCGTCTCATATTGAATAAAGAAATGTTGAATTGCCTTTTCTTTTGGTAATGACACCTCATAAATTTAATTGTGCCTTGCTGTTTATAAAGATAAAATACCACTATGGCTTGGCCTTAATCGATTTGCATGTAATCTTGCTTCCAAGGGCAATATAATTAGTTGCTTATCTGTTTGGAGAATCACATATGCAGCTTTAGCCGAAGCTGGACCCTAATTGAGTTTTGTCTTATGACCTATTCGAAGTCCTGTAATTTTGATGCTGCCAGCAGAGAAGAGGGGACTGCTCTTGCTAGAGGCAGATACACCTCCATCCTTTTCATCAACCACATGTAGAGAATATTCTTGACAGGTTACCAAAAAATTTTATATTCATATATTATACAACCCTGTAATCTAGGGTTAATATCAACCCACCTTTTAAAATGAACATAAACTCTTAGAGGTTAAGCAAGTTGACTAGGATCATCCGGTTTATAAGTAGCAGAGCCAGGACTTAAACTCAGGTGTGTTGACTTCAAACCATGTGTTCTGGGAAACCATCAACTTTACACACTGTTTCTGCTTTTGGAAGATTGCCAGATTCTGATGGCATCTCATTGCGGTGGAATCTATTTGCATTTCATAGCAATCATATTGCTATGACTTTAGAGCACTATGAGCCAGGCTTTGCGCTAATTGCTTTATAAGCATCACCCTATGGGGTAAGTGCTATCATCCCCATTTTATAGTTGAGCAGATTGAGGCTTGAGGAGCTGATGTAACTTGAAGTGGCAGAGCTGGGACTTATGTCTGACCCTGCCTGTCAGTGATCCCAGCAGCTGTCTTCATGTAGGGCTTCCTCTTGTCCTGAAGTCTGTACTCCCTGTCTGATGACAACCTTTTTTATTTACTTCTTATTTTTTATTTTTTGGAGATGGAGTCTCGCTCTGTTGCCCAGGCTGGAGTTCAGTGGCGCTATCTTGGCTTACTGCAAACTCTGCCTCCTGGGTTCAAATGATTCTCCCGCCTCAGCCTCCTGAGTAGCTGGGATTACAGGTGCCCGCCACCATGCCTGGCTAATTTTTTTTGTATTTTTAGTAGAGACGGGGTTTCACCACGTTGGTCAGTCTGGTCTCAAACTCCTGACCTCGAATGATCCTCCCGCCTCAGCCTCCCTAAGGTGCTGGGATTACAGGCATGAGCCACTGTGCCGGGGCTGATGACAACCTCTTTATGGTGGCTTCTCTCCAGTCCACACAGGGATCCTTCATTATGCACCAGCTGCATGTCCATCAGAAGATAGGTGGGTCTTCCCGATGCCCCATTTCTTAGACCCATTGCAGATAAGACTCCTACAATGGAGCTTATGCTTGTTTACCAGCTATTATGGAGAGAGGCTGCTTTAGTTTCTTTTCCTCTTCTGGCTGATACAATTACACTTCAAGTGTCTCTCCTCTCATCTAAATTTCCACCTGGAAAGAGGGGGACGGCATAGAGGAGGTGGAGGAAAGAACAATTGCCCAGCCCAGCACAGGTCAAGCATTCCCCAGGCTGGAGAGAAATGAACGCGTGAGAGCTGTGCTCAGAAACAAGAGTCCTGGCTTCTAGTCTGGCTCTGTCGTTACCTGTGGGATTTTAAGCAAGACCTTTTCTCTCTGGGCCTCAGCTTTTCCCTCTATAAGAAGAGGCAGTTAGATGAGATGGTTGATATTCTCTGATTTTATGAATGGCCAGATATTTGTCCTTTCCTGGAAGTAAGGATGGAAGGAAGAAGGGAAGAGGAAAAGGAGATGAAGGCTTTATGGGGAAGTAGCTTCCGGGCAGCATGAGGAAAGCCATAGAAAGAGTGTGGAGGGGGCAAAAGACACACGTTCAGGGCTACTGCAGGTGGGAAGGTAGCTCTCAACTCCCATCTTCCTGGTTCTGGGCCACACTCCCACATATACTGGCAACATAATTTAAATAGATTTTGGAAAGCTTTTATTTACTTTTAGCTGGGTGTATTGGCATGCAACTGCAATCCCAGCAACTTAGGACGCTTGAGCCCAGGAGTTTGAGACCAGCTTGGGGAACATAGTAAGACACCTATCTCTACAAAAAAAAAAAAAAAAAAAAATTTAGCTAGGTGTGGTGGTGCACATCTGCAGTCTTAGCTATTCAGAAGGTTGAGGCAGGAGGATAGCTTGGGCCCAGGAGGTTGAGTCTGCAGTGAGCTATGATTGTGCCACTGCACTCCAGTGTGGGTGACAGAGTGAGACCCTGTCTGTAAACAACAACAACAACAACAAAAGACCTGCCTGGGCAATATAGCAAGACCTCCAACTCAAAAAGAAAGAAAGAAAAGCTTTTATTTACTTTTATGTAATAAAATCATTCGGTGTTCTTTTCTAAAATATTGGAAAACACAGAGAAACAGCAATGAATCTAGGACAACAATCTTCAAACTTCTTCTTCTTTTTTTTTTTTTTTTTTGAGATGGAGTCTCGCTCTGTCACCCAGGCAGGAGTGCAGTGGTGTGATCTCGGCTCACCGCAACCTCCACCTCCCGAGTTCACGCCATTCTCCTGCCTCAGCCTCCCGAGTAGCTGGGACTACAGGCGCCCACCGCCACGCCCAGAGAATTTTTTTGTATTTTTAGTAGAGACGGGGTTTCACCGTGTTAGCCGGGATGGTCTTGATCTCCTGACCTTGTGATCTGCCCACCTCGGCCTCCCAAAGTGCTGGGATTACAGGCATGAGCCACTGCGCCCGGCCAAACTTCTTTAACTTTGTACCCCTAGCAGTCGATTTTGAGTACACATTCCTAATTTATTTATAAGTTACATACATTATAAAATCCACTAAAATGCAAATTAAGAAAGGTAAGATAAAAACAAAAGTCTCAGTCTCCTGAAGCCCATTGTGAGTTTGGAGGAAGCCAGCGCTCTGGCCACCCTGTGCTCCTGGCACTTGCTCTGTGTGGCTCCTATCAGGAACCCCACACACGTTCCTTGGCCGAATGAATGAAAGGATGAATGGGGAAGGAGGGTGGGGGGAAGATTGCAGGCCAGTGTGGAAAGAGGGGAGGTTGGATCTGAGCCACTGTGGGATGGCAGAGCTGGGGTGCATGGTGAGGCATGCTATCTACTCCACCTGCCAGGCTGGGCCCCCGGGCTGATGATTTTGTGCTTCTGCAATGTTGAAGCAGCTGCCAGTATTTTGAAAAAAAAAAAAAAAAAAAAAAAAAAAAAGAAAGAAAGAAAGAAAGAAACAAACAAAAAAAACCCCACAGGATCGTGGAAAATTGAGACTGAAACTAATTGTAGCCTATCCAGGGAGATGCCCAGAAAACTGGCTTGCCCCTGAAATCGATGTGCTCCAAATCTCATGACTAGTTTGTGATTAGATGGAAAACTTTATGTTCGACTGTGGGATTTAAATAAAGGCGTTTAGAAAATCCAGTTTGCTTCATGACTGCCCAGCAATTCAAGCCACTGCCAGCCACTCATTGTCAGGACGGCTCCCGTTTTCTGAGAAGGGCCCGTCCCTTTCCTAAGATATCTGAGGAGTAGCTCCACCCAGACTCGGAATGCAAGATATTTCAAAGCTTCCTTCGTGGGCTTTGGGAGCTGTGGAGCTGGATGGAGAAATGAGGGATCACTGAACCGTGTCAGTGCAAGTAGAGAACGCTCACCTGAAACTTCCCATTCCTACCAGTGTGCATATGTGCATGTGTGTATTAGCATGAAATAAGCACGTAGACAAGCTTAGCTCACTGCCTGGCACAGAGTGGGTTTCAAGAAATGTTAATTCCTTTGCCCTCATTTTATGTGTTTGACCTGGCTGCTGCCTCCCTCTTCAAAGCCCTTCACCCATCCAAATTCCACCTGCCTTCTCACTTGGTAGGATCCCAGGAATGCCTGGAGGAAATGCTCCTTCTCCCGAATTCTTCTAGCACTTGCTCTCTGGATTATGTGATTTAGGACTGAATTACACCCTGCCTTGCATGGTCCTCTAATTGTTTCTCATGTTTGTGTTACGTCTCTCCTCTACCCCCGACCCCACTATGAGTTCATAAGCACCCCTGACCGTAACGGGGAGATGAACTGGAGCCACAATGCCTTGGCTCAGTCCTGACCCTGCCATGTACTGAATAAATCATTTAATCTCTCAGTTTCAGTTTCTCCAACTGCAACACCGAGATAATGGCACCACCTCACAGGGCTGTTGCTGGGATAATAGGTGTGAAAGCGCCTAAATCGTTGTACAAATGTAAAGTGCTGTTATTATCACCTCTGCTGAATCTACTAGAGCCCCTGCAAGCCTCCCTGCCTGGTGGAGTGTAGACGGTAACTACCTGATTGATTGAATACAGGATAGCTTAGTGACAGCTCTTGTCATAGGCTCCAGGGAGCACAGGTTTGAGCCTAATCCTGCAATCACTCCCTTCACTGACAATGCAAACTCGCCTGCATTTTACAAATCCGTAAGTACTCTCAGCCTTCAGCTGATAAAGCAGGGGCTGCTGCCCTGTGCGCAACAAAACTGCGCCCTCAAAATGACCCGAGGCTGTACCACAGCGCCCTCGCCAGGCAGCACCAGGCGGCACATGCTTTTACAGAGGTGGTGATGGTTGGGGATGGGTTTTCCAGGGACCCTCCTCTGCAGAAGACTCAGCAAGCCCAAAGGAGCACGAATCCTTTTTGTTAAAGGTAACATAGCCTCAGTGTAAGCTTGTAGAATATTTCCCTGCCACACTTTACAAATGAGAAAAAAAGAGGCTGCATGCAGTAGCCACCCACAAGCAGCGAAAAAGAGCAGTATTTGCTTTGGGAGGTTTTGATAAGAAGCCAGGCAGTTACTTTTCCCATCTATGTTGAAAACTCTGGTTTGGGCTTGCTGGCGAATGCCGTGCAAAGCTCATCTTTTGTTAGTCTGCCGAACAATGTTATTGGTTATAATTGGGGCAATTATGGGCTGCTTGAGGAAGCTAAACACAGATGTTTAAGCGCAGGATGGGGGTATTCAAGTCCAAAGCAGCTTGCTTTAAATAGTCCATTTCCCGAATCATCCTGCCTTACTTGAAATTCCCCCAGAACTTGCCCATGTTCAGAGCGAGATTCGGGGAGGAGGGGCTGGGTAGTGAAGCCGGGGAAGCAAGACTCGAGGGAGAGAGATGCACAAAGAGAGGAGGAAGAAAGAAGGTGGCTGAGAGAGCCTCGAGAGTTGGGATGCGGTGACTATGAACGGAGTATTCTGCATGACCTGGGCAAAGACCTTTAGGTGGGGGAGATGGGCAGGGGGAGAGGGATGCCAAGCAAGAGAAGAGCCCTCTAAATGAATCGGGTTCTGGGAGACCAAGGTCACGCCCGTAGAAATGCTCTCTGGAATTCACACGCCGTGGCGCTCAGCAGTGTGTGTATACAGGTGAAGCACACTCCCCAGATCTGGCGCTTCCCCATTATTTGTAGCAATTTCTGCTGGGGGCAGAAGGGAGAAGGGCTCCCTCCGGATTAAAAACTCCCATCTGGATGGCATCAAGTTCAGTGATAGGCGGAGAAGCAGCCTGCGCACCGCATCTGAGAGGAAAGGAAGCCACTGAGAGGAAACCCTCATGAGGGGGCCAGGGTCTTCCTGGGGGCCGCCCCGTGGAAGGCAAACCCCCTCCCAAGTGCCTGCCCCTCCTCTGGCCTCACTCCTCCAGCAGCCTCCTCTCGACACAGAGCAACAACCACGTAGGGGCCACAGCTGGGGAAGCAAAACTTTTCCTCATTTCCAAGTTCCCCTCTTTCTGCTTCTGCGTCTGTCTGAGGTTAAAAAAGAGACTCAGCCCTCCCCCGTTCCCCACCATCCAAGCGCTACAAAGGAGATGAATGAAGAAACCATCTCGCAAGAGGCCAGCAGCATCCACACTGGACAAAGGAGAGAGGCCGAGGAGCCAGCCCCTGGTGGCCCTGCCCTCCCGGAGCTCCACGCAGTTAGTCCAGTTAGTCGCGGTCGGGCTGGGGGCCCCGTGCAGTTGCCTACCTGAGAGCTGTCAGTCCCCGGCTCCCTCCGATGGATGCGAGGCTCGGTTCCGCTTTCTCAGCCACACCAGCATATATATCCTCTCCCCCACGCACAGCCCTCCCCTTCCCTGCCCACCTCCATGACACATACACACACTGACCCCCTTCAGCAACCAAACAGCAGAACCTGCAAGCCTTCCTGGCTGTTCCCTTCCCCCGGCTCTGCCATCAGACCTGTGACATCCCCACCTCCCCATCAATCCATTCTCAAGCCTGCTTCACCTGGACTCTGTTCAGCCAGGATCCCACAGCTGCCTTCCCTGTGCTTCCAGAGGCTCTGTGAGGACTGATGGGGAGCTCTGGCAAGTCAGAAAAAAAGCCTCCTGGTGACAGTGACGAGGCAGACCCCAAATCCTGGAGTCTCCTTGAGCAACCTTTTTGCCTGAGGAGTGAAGAATAGGAGGCAGGCAGAAGGGAGGGGAGCTCATGCCAAGCTCCTACCGACTCGGAGGAGCCCAGGGCTGAGCTAAGCCAAGCCCTGACCTAATGTCATTGCCCCTAACTAGGCCACTCAAGAGGTGGCTGCACCTGCCCTGGGCCAGGTCAGGAGGCATTTCCACAGGTGCCCACAGCATGGTGCAATGGAGAATGCTGAGACTCGAGGCTCAGATGGAAGTGTCTGAAATTCGGCTGTACAGTCAGAGCAAGGCACATCTCTTTGTGAACCTCAAGTCCTCCTTCCGGAAAATGAGTCTAATACTGCCCAGGATGGTTGTGAGTAGAAAAAGGAGATTCTGTTTGAATCTACAACACACGAGGCCCTTAATGAATGTGCTGCATCCTCCCTCTCCTCTCAGCCCGCTTTTCACACTGATTAGTACCACCTGGATGTAGAAATCCCATATCAGTGTCTGGTGTCACAACAGAGAGCTTTTAAAGCTTCTGCAACTTAGGGCATCACTACCGAGGGCCCTGGAGGCTCAGAAGCTCTGGAAGCTTCCCTGTCCCTTACTGCAGAGCCTCTTTGTCTTCTACAGCCGCCGGGGGTTGTGGGCTGCAGGAAAGGAGCTCACAGGCTGAAGGCACAGGCTTGAGGGTTTAGCATCCTTGTGGACCCCACGTTTCCTTACCTTAGGTGAATTTCACCATGACCCTGTCCTTGGTTTTCCTAAGAGGGTCTAAAATATTCCAGAATCCCAGGGTTTGAACCTATGTCATCCAAGGAGCTCAAGCACTCATTCATGTGGTTAAGTCCAGCTCTCTGGTCTACCCAGGACTGGGTGGAGAAGGATTGAGGGAAGCATCTGCCCTGACTGCAAATGGTATAGGGTTTCTTTTTGGGGTAATGGAAATGTTCTGGATTTAGACTGAGGTGATGGTTGCACAACATAGCAAGAATACTAAAACCCACCAAATTGTATGCTTTAAAATGGTGCATTTTATGTTATGGGAATTACATCTCCATAAAAAGAAAATAGGAAAAAGACAGCAAACATCTGCTCAGGTTAAGAGCAACAGGTTCTGAGAATAAAATTTCCCTTCCGTCTGTGTTCACAGCAAAAGGGCTCAGGAGACCAGCATACTCATGATTCTTCACTTAGATCTCTGTTGCCCAAACCTTACACTGCAGGTCGCAGCTACCATTTTGGACTCTTTGGGAAACCAGCATGTTCACTGACTGACACGGGGTCACTTTTGCATCCTGATGTACTTCAGTGTCTCAGGCCTGGAACCTGATTTCATACATGATGTGGCAGATATTGCAGGCTGCCTACCCAATCCCCATTTCCCTGTTCTTCCTTACTAAACGGTACCCTTGATTTTATTCCAGGCATCAATGCACTTAGCTAAAAGACTACATTTCCCATTGACCAAGGGTTGCCAATGAGCATTAAGCTGCAGGTCCTTGGGTGGGGTTTCCAGGAAAGCTTTTTTTTTTTTTTTTTTAGACGGAGTCTTGCTCTGTCGCCCAGGCTGGAGTGCAGTGGCGCCAACTCAGCTCACTGCAAGCTCTGCCTCCCAGGTTCATGCCATTCTCCTGCCTCAGCCTCCTGAGTAGCTGGGACTACAGGCACCTGCCACCATGCCTGGCTAATTTTTTTTTTGTATTTTTTTTTAGTAGAGACGGGGTTTCACCATGTTAGCCAGGATGGTCTTGATCTCCTGACCTTGTGATCTGCCCACTTCGGCCTCCCAAAGTGCTGGGATTACAGGTGTGAGCTACTGAGCCTGGCTGGGAAAGCTCTTTTAAAGGGGGTCAACTCACTGAAGGCCTCTCTCTCTTCTTTGTCCTCCCTCCATCCTGCCTGGGACACAAATGTGATGGCTGGAGCTCTAGCAGCTATCTTGGATTATGAGATAAGACAACTTTGAGGATGGAAGCCATGAGTAAATATGATGGAACATAAAGATGGAAGGATTTTGGGTCCCCCATGACTAATGGAATGGCCATATCAGTCTTGGACTCCAAACTTCAACCTTTTTTTAAAAACAAAAAAAAAACAAAAAAAACCCCAAACATTTATTTCAAATGTCAGTCAGGGTTCAGTTACCCATTGCTGCATAACAAGCCACACCAAGGCCAGAGGCTTGAAACAACAGACCACGTATTTGACTCATGATTCTACAGATTGGGAATTTTGGCTAGTCTCAGCAGGGCAGTTCTTCTGGTCTCAGCCTGACTCTCTTCTGCACCTGCAGTTGGACTCAGAAAGTTGGCTGGGTGTCAGCTGGGGACCTTGGTTCTCTTGCACATGTCTTATCCTTCATGGGTCTCTCACATCCCTCCAGCATATTAACCTGGCATAGTCTCATGGCAAGCCTGAAGTGAAAGCACAAGCAAATACAATCAAGCAAGGGAACAACCGCAAGCACACAGAACCTCTTGAGACCTAAGCATGGAGCTGGCAGTCCATTGCTTTTGCTACATTTGTTGGCTAAGGCCAGTTGCAAGACTGTCCAGAGCCAGGCTGGGTGGAGACTACAAAGTCCCAGGATAATAGAGGGTGGCTATGCAGAAGCCATTCATTGGAGGCATTTGAAACTTTTACTTCCTATGATTTAAGCCATTTAGTTGGATTTTCTATTACATCCAGTGGAAAATTACCTTAAACCAACACACCTGCCTTTGAGCACCTCGTCATTCCCAGGATGTTCAGGCAGCTAAATGCTTTTCTTCCCTTGCAGTTGAGGAAGAGAAAGAGCAAGAGTGAAAAGTCACTTAGCTTCTCTGGACTTTTCTTTCCTCATTTACCAGACAGAAGAGTTGAACCCAACACCTGGATATTCTTGGTGGGTTGAATGAAGCTGCATGTGGTGGCAGGCTGTCTCCAGTGATGGATGGGGAAGGGCAGGATGAACCCAGGAGGGAGTTTAAAACCACTGTTGGGTGGGGGAGTAGAAGAATCTTGCCCCTCAGAAAAGCACAAGTAGACTAGAAATGGTGCAGACTGTGTGGCGTTTGTGATGGCTTCAGGGCTTCCCCCTTGCCACACAGCCACTGAGACTTGGCACTTTGAGAGCCATGGGCTTCCCTTGGGTATGGTAACTGGTCACAGAGCAGCAAGCTGCCCCCTGCTTTTCTGATTGGCAGGATACATTTATTAAAATAGTTGGAAAAGAAAGGTCACATGTTCTTATTTCTACTGCTTTGTGTGTGTGTGCACGCGCGTGTGTGTGTATGCGTGTGTGTGTGTGTGCACAAGAACTTGGAATTAATAAAATTCTTGGCTGGGCGTGGTGGTTCATGCCTGTAATCCCAGCACTTTAGGAGGCCAAGGTGGGAGGTTTGCTTGAGCCCAGGAGTTCAAGACCAGTCTGGGCAACACGGCAAGACCCTGTCTCTATAAAATATAAAAAACTAGCCAGGTGTGGTGGTAAGCACCTGTAGTCTCAGCTACTTGGGAGGCTGAGGAGGGAGGATTACTTGAGCCTGGGAAGTTGAGGCTGCAGTGAGGCATGATTGAGCCACTGCACTCCAGCCTGGGTAACAGAGTAAGACCTTGTCTCATAAAAATAAAATAAAATAAAATAAAATAATGATTTCTTCTGCTTATGAGGTGGCGGAAGTTCACTCCTGCCCACACCAGCTTGGCATCTTCTTTGCAATAGAGGCCCAACCAGGGAGGCTGCAAACATTAGAATCCAATCTGTACTGATAGGTAAGTTTTGAGGCAGATTGAGAAAGCTCTTAAAATTGTCATCAGAATATCTCAGTAGAGGAAGTACAAGGGAAGGAGGCAGCTGCAGCTGGGCCCCATGTGCAGCTCAACGCACCTCCACCCACCTGCCAATTTTCCCCTCTCAGAGTAAAGAGCCTCTCCTGGCCAGGTATTTGGCTGCTTGGAATTTACTGATTAATTACGGCGCCTACCTCCAATTGGTCTCCTTAGTAACCACGTTAGCAGGGTCCCACTGGAAAAGCTGCTTCTTACTCAATGAGGGCAAACTCTTCACATTTTAAAACACTTTTAAGTCAGAACACAATGGATTTTAAAAATAGAGGGACACACACATTTCTTCACAACTTTGCATCAAAATATGGATGGACTTTTGAACTATTGAGGGCAAGTTACACTTTAGTAATCAGCAAGAGCTAGGTTTAAAGGAAGAGTTGGGTGAATACAGTTTCAATGCAAATGGCCAATGATTGCCTTTGCAAGTATAGGTTTGACTACCAGAGTATCCAGCCTCGCTGGGCTAGGTGATGTGAGAATGAAAGATGTCCTTACACTCAAGAAGCCGGCCCAGGGGACAAGTTAGATCAATGAATGGTGACCAGCACAGCATTTGCTATAGTGACTCAGACTATTTGAGAATTAGGGAGCACATGATAAGGTGCTAATTGTGGATCAGACTGGAAGTGAAAGAGAAGTTCAAGAGAGGAGAGTGATGTTCAAGTGATGTTTATCTTATTTTTTGAATGACGTGTTAAGATGCTGAGGACAAATTGCAGGTTCTGAGTGGGCAGGAAAGTGGCCACTGGGCTTTAGTACAGGCATGTAGAAGGATTAGTGGGTGTATTAGTCTGCTCGGACTGTTAGAACCCAGTGCCACAGACAGGGCTTCAACAACAGAAGTGAATTTTCTCACGGTTCTGGAGGCCGGGAGTCTGAAATCAAGGTGTCAGCAAGGTTGATTCCTTCTGCGGCCTCGCTCCTTGGCTTGGAGATGGACATCTTCTCCTTGTGTCCTCACGTGGCTGCCCCTCTGTGTGTATCTGTGTCTTCATTCTCCTCTTCTTTTAGGAACACCAGGCCTATTGGATTAGGGCCCACCCTAATGACTTCCTTTACCCTACATCACCTCTTTAAAGGCCCTGCCCCCAAATGCAGTCATGCTCTGAGGGGCTGGGGTTAAGACTTCAGCATAGGAATCTGGGGGATGGGTGTACAGTTCAGCCCATAACAGGGGAGTAATGAAACTGTGCTCACCACATAATGGGGATAAAATCCCAGAAGGGGAAGTAAAGGTCACCGCAGGACATGCGTGAATAATATGCACAGGGCATCCCTTCCACCCTCAGCCCTGAACCCAGGAGCTGGAATCCCTGGACACTAAGCTGACAATGTGCCCCAGTGTTGCCATGTCACAATGTCCTGGGAACACCCCATGCATGTCCCATGGCTACACCTTAAGAGCCCCATCAATATGACTAGAAGCTGTGTCCTGAAACTTGAATGTTAAGATCATAGAAACCTAAAAAATGCCATGCTCAGAATAAGAAGGCACCCAGGTGTCCAGATGTCCAGGCGTCCCAGCATCCAGGCACTTCAGAAGCCTGATCACAATCCCTGAAAAGCTTTGTAGGATGGTGCAATTGATTTGAATGCCATGGAGGGGGTCTGATACCCTTCTGTTTCATAATTTTTCAGAAATAGATGTATGTTCCACGTTGGAGAGCCAACCCCCCTTCAGCTTGGCCCTCTGTTAAATTAGTCACAGGTTTCATAGGTTAGCTCATTTGCTTTCACAACTCCACTCTTTGTGGGGGTCTCTTGGGGCTCCCTCCAGCCCAGATCTCCGCTTGGATTTTGGTACCATAATTCCAGCGCCTTTGAGATGTTCTCACTCGGATGTCATTTTGATGCTCACAAGGATGTTGTGATATCCCTGTTAGCTAAAACCCCCATCTGCATATTCAGTGTCAGTGATGACATTCTCTCAGCCACTCTATTTTATAACCTGAGCCATCTTTCTTCTCACTCCTTCCCTCATCCTTTGTATTCAGGTGTTACCAAATGTAATCAATTCATCTCTACAGCCATTTGTCACAGTTCCTAGTGTGTGCATGCTCTCTCCCCACTCTATTTCTTCAATCTATCCTATATACTGCAGCCTGCCTAATATTTTTAAAATGGTATTTTCATTTTGCTTCAATCCCTTGCTCCAGAATTCTAGTTTAAAGGCAAAGAATGATAGTAGTAGAAGGTAGTGAAACTGAACTCCAAATGCCAGTGGTTGAGTTGAGTCCTGGCTTAGCCCCCACATTGCCGTATGATTTGAGCCAAACCACTCCTGCTACCGGGGCCTTTTTGTAGAGATGGGGTCTCACTATGTTGACCAGGCTGGTCTCAGACTCCTGGCCTCAGCAATCCTCCTGCCTAGGCCTCCCAAAATGTTAAGATTACAGGCACGAGCCACAGCAACCAGCCTTGAATTCTTATTCTTTAAAATGGGCATAGGGGCCAGGTGCAGTGGCTCACGCCTGTAATCCCAGCACTTTGGGAGGTCAAGGCGGGAGGATCGCTTGAGGCCAGGAGTTTGAAACCAGCCTGGGCAACATAGTGAGACCCTTTCTCTATGAAAACAGAAAAATGATAGGCATAATAATACCTAACAATGGTGGTGTAATAATTTATTCAGTTAATATAAATAAAGGAGCTTTGAAAACTATAAAGTAGCAGACAAATACAAAATATAATGATTATTCCTCAAGGCCATCTCAAGTACAACTAACTCTTAGGCCTAATTAAAAGGTGGCCTTTTCCTTTTATAAGCTTACAGCATTTTTCTGGATGATATGTCTGGACAACTGTTACTTTCAGATTTGCAGTTTGCATTGCAGAATGCACCTCATACCGTTCTCTGCTTGTACTGTATCTTGCCTCTCTAGAAAAACTGGAAACTGCTGGAGGGAAGCAACTTATATTCTTTCTTATTTCTATGCAACTGAGCACAGTGCCAGCCACACTGAAGTCAGTCAATTTCACATGCATGCATTGGGCACCCAATGCTTGTTGATATGCAGAAGGCATGTATTAATGGGCAGGGGATTCAATACCATATAATAAAAATTTCTGCATTCAAAGAGCTCACAGTCTGGCTTGGAGGATGAGCTGCAAGAACTAAAAAAGGTACAGATAGCATTTCTAGTGTTAGCAAAAGACACCTGGGTACTCAAGGCGAATGCATCTCCTCCAGCTGGGATGGTGGAAAAGGTTTGGCCGACGGGAGATTTGAGCAGGGTCTTGAAGGATGGGCGAGATTGGATAGGCAGAGATGAAGAAAGGGTGAGAATCAGAAGGCCAGGTGAGCTGGCCTGGAGGAGGCTTTGCAGAAGGCAGCAGCAGCAGAGGCTGTAAATGCATGTAGGGTGAGACTGTAAAAGGCCTTGAACAGTGGCCTCAATAGCTTACACTTTACCCAGTGGGGATTAGTAGGGCATTGGGAAGACATTGAATGTTTCTGTGCATGGGGAGTGATGCTATGGCAGTATTTTAGGAGTGGTCATCTAGGGCCGACACTAAATACTTATTTATTGGGGAGAGTGGGAGGGCCTCTATAGGTGTTCATCTGTCTTTATGTGGCTGGTTCTGTATGGATGACTGCAGCCTCAAAAGCCAGCTAGAAATAGACATACAAATGGTCCAACAACTGCACTGAAAGCTTTCTATTTTTTCGGCAAATAGTGTCACGTGAAAATCTCCTAATCCCTAGATGTTTCCTGTTTCTAGATCAGAAAATCTCAAATCTCAAATCTTGCCTTCACTACCACCATCAGAGGCGTGACAGCTTGCCACGGTCTGAATCCATGCTTAAATGGAAGAGAGTCCCTTCTTTCTGCTTCTCCCCTGTTCCTCATCAGAGTGTTGGTGTAAAGCTGGTGAAATGCCATTTCACAAAATTGTGTTTTTGTTCATGCAAGATGACTATCTTCCCAAAGCTATTTTGTGGTTCTGGAAAAGGAAGATATGAGACAGGATTTTTTTTTTTTTGAGAAAGAAAATAGTTTTAGTCCTTTGCAAAATCAAATAACAGATCTCTAAGATTTCTAAGTTCAGGTTTTTGGTATTAATTAAAAGACATGGCCAGAACAGCTTGTTGTAACCTTCTCCCTCCCCCATGGCTTCCCCCTACCCTGCCAAGGCTTCTGCTGGCTACATAGAGACGCAGACGCAGACACACACACACACACACACACACACACGTGCACACGCACACACAGCTGGTAGTTCCAGCTCTGTCATCATTACAATCAAAGAGCGTTTACTAAGCATCCACATGAGCTGGCGCTGTTAGAATTATTTGCCAAATGTATCTCGCTGAAACACATGAACACAACACCTAAAAAAATCTGAAGCCACATGGTCGGTTAAGATAATGCAATTGTTTCTCTGAGGGTAAGGTATGTGATTAACCTCTGTTGTCTTGTATAACAAACTGAGTGCAAATCCCCAGGAGAGGAACTTTTTCAGAGTGACTGACCGGACCTGCTGAAACTTTGCTGCGCCTTTCCCTGTGGCTTTGTGCCCCAGTGTTGACGAGGTACCCAGGCCTGGCTCCAGGAGTCCAGGCTCCTATCCTCCTGACAGATAAGGCTAAATGAGCATGGGGCTCCCTCCTGGGGAAACATATCTGTATTCCACACTGCCGCAGGCTTCCCTTGGGGCCACATCCAGGACCTGAATGTTTTATTGAACCATTAATAGTGAATTTTCTGCTTGAATTCCCTGCTGCTTGGAGACAAAAGGCACCCGAGGGCCCTGAGTCAGGGCTCAGAGTTTGGGTGCAAATGTTCTTATTTGCATTCCATAGCTCTGTGCATGTGTATACTCTAAACGAGACCAAGTCACCCCTCCCCCTAAGCTAACTGTACATATTGGTGTTCATTCATTTGACACACATGTGTGAAGGGCCTGTTAGTGCCAGGCACCATGCTAGGGGCTGGGCACAAACAAGAATGAGTCTAGATCCCAGCCGAAATGCACCAGAGCCCTCGAAGCTTAAAAACTGCATTTGGTACGAACACAAAGCAGTGCATGTCCCAAATGTGAATAGGCTCTGGAAGGTCTTAAATTAACGAACAATAGACTCAGAAGAGGGTAGTCAAAGGACGGTAAGATGATCATACTGGGTAAAATAAATACAGACGTGGATTGGTGGGAGACAAGAAAGCAAGCATTGATGTGGTGATTTTTTCTCCTTTTCCTTCCTTCCTTCCTTCCTTCCTTCCTTCCTTCCTTCCTTCCTTCCTTCCTTCCTTCCTTCCTTTCTCTCTTTCTCTCTTTCTTTCTTCTCAGAGTTTCACTCTTATTGCCCAGGCTGGAGTACAATGGCACAATCTTAGCTCACTGCAACCTCCACCTCCTGGGTTCAAGTGATTCTCCTGCCTCAGCCTCCCAAGTAGCTGGGATTACAGGCATGCTCCAATATGCCTGGCTAATTTTTTGTATTTAGTAGAGATGGGATTTCACCATGCTAGTCAGGCTGGTCTCAAACTCCTGACCTCAGGTGATCCACCCTCCTTGGCCTCCTGAAGTGCTGGGATTACAGGTATGAGCCACCATGCCTGGCCAAGATTTTATTTTATGTTCTTATATATATGGTAAAGTAGGGAGAAAAATTTTAAGGTTAGATGAGAGGACCTTACATATCTAGAGTCTTTGCAAGCAATACAATATTTTATACTGAACTATTTGCTGAATGAATAAACATTCTACCACAAAACAATTGTCCCAATAATTTCCTCAGCTGGAAAGTTTACTTACGGAATAAGAAATGGTATCTCCCCCACAAAAGAGAGGGTTTTTTTTTTTTCTCTGATTATACGAGCAATACATGCTCTGTGTAAAAACAATTTTAGACTATACAAAAAACTATAAAAATGAAAGCAATCTCAGCTCACTGCCACCTGCGCCTTCTGGGTTCAAGCGATTCTGTATTCCCAGCTACTCGGGAGGTTGAGGCAGGAGAATGGCTTGAACCCGGGAGGCGGAGGTTGCAGTGAGCTGAGATCGTGCCACTGCACTCCAGCCTGGGTGACAAAGTAAGACTCCATCTCAAAAAAAAAAAAAAAAAAAAAAAAAGGAATCCAATTAAGCTTATATATTACATTTTTTGGTCTTTTACTTTTTTAAATTTTGAGGCAGAGTCTTGCTTGCTGCAGTGCTCAGGCTGGAGTGCAGTAGCACTTCTTTTGTTTCTTGACATTGACTTTTTGGAGTGTTCTGGCCAGTTGTCTTTTGGATTGTCCCCATTCTGGATTTGTCTGGTGTTTCTTCATGATTAGATTCATTAGGAGGCAACTGCTGGTGATACTAAATTTGATTAATTAGTCAATACAGTAACTGAACAGTCTTTCCATTGTAATGATAATTTTGCCTTTCTAGTCAACGAGAAATCTGTGAGGTGATAACCTTGAGACTGAATATTCTGTTTCTCTATAACTCTTTATCCAATATATTTTTTGATGATTCTTGCTGGAATCAGTGATTATGTTGGGGATTGCACAATGATAATTTTCTATGGCTCCATCCTCATTTATTAATGGTTTTCTTGTAAAGAAGAGCTTTGCCCCATTTTCCTTCTCTCATTCTTTCTCTTTAGGAGCACTATGGATGTACATATCTTAAAAAAAAAAACACAAGATACTACAAACACTTACTGTAATTCTTTTCTGATGTTCAAATTGCCCCAGATTTGGCCTGTGGCTTCTGTGCTCTGGCATGACTCCATTAGTCTTTGAACACTGTTTTCTGGCACAGTGTGTTCTGGAATTACCTTGCACTTTCTTTACCCCAAATCTAAAATCAACCAAAAGAGAGAATCTGAATGGCCAGAGGAGAATCTCTGACCATTCACCCTTTATCCCAATGGCAAAAGAGGAGGGTGGGGTAAGGAAAGGGCCCCATAAAACAGATATTCCTGTCTATGTTTGTGTGTGTGGAGCGGGGAGTGGGGGCAGAGGGCAGGTGGAAGGGGAGTCCTTTGAGTGGTGGAAAAATCTGGAAGCCTTAACACCCCAGGACTTCAAGATTGGGACCAGTGTGCCTATTCTAATCCTTTCCTATGTTGCCCTCCTGGGACATATCCATTGCATGTTTCCACGTCACACTTATCTCTGTGTTCATTTGAACCCAGTTTTACCTGTATGAGAATGCTGGTGGGGGCATGACTGTGTTATTTACCGCCCTAGAGATGCACAGTCAGATAAACCCTGATAAACTCAGCTAATATGTACTGATCTCCTACTATGTGCCAGGAGAGCTGATTTCACAGACATTATCTCATTTAGGCTTCAAAGCAACTGTGCAAAAGAGGTGTGATTATTCTCTTCTGACAAGTGAGGAAATGGGTTTTAGATGAAGTAGCATCTCAAGCTTATGTGCTGCTAAGGAGCAGAATCTACACTTGTATTCAGTTCTTCAGACCTCAAATGTGGTATTTTCTCTCCTATTCCTTACAAGCCTGTGTGTGAAAACAACCCAGTTCCCTGATAGAGTCAGTCACCGGATGTGCCCTGATTACTTACTACATGCTCACCACTGTACTAGGCATGTCCAAGGATACATCATTTATTAAGCACTGACTGTGTAATTTATAAATTACCCACTGACTGACTAATTTATAAAGGAAAGAGGTTTAATGGACTCACAGTTCCACATGGTCGGGGAGGCCTCACAATCATGGCTGAAGGTGAAAGAGGAGCAAAGGCTCGTCTTACACGGTGGCAGGCAAGAGAGCGTGTGCAGGGGAACTCCCCTTTATAACACCATCAGATATCATGAGAATTACTCACTATCATGAGAACAGCATGAGAAAGACCCACCCCTATGATTCAATTACCTCCCACTGGCTCTCTCACACAACACGTGGGAATTATGGGAGCTACAATTCAAGATGAGATTTGGGTGGGGACACAGCCAAACCATATCAACTTGTTTAAAGAGTTTTCCAAAAAGGATATTGACTTGGGTGTCAAGATACCTTAACTGACAATTAGATACTTTTACATTGAGCATCTGTGGTGTACTAGGTATGTACATAAGGCATATGCTGTGGCAGGATGCTGTGGCTCATGCCTATAATCCCAGCACTTTGGGAAGTTGAGGTGGGAGAATCACTTGAGGCCAGGAGTTTGAAACCAGCCTGGGCAACAAAGCGAGATCCCTGTCTCTACAAAAAATGAGAAAAGTAGTCAAGTGTGGTGATGTGTGCCTGTAGTCTCTAAGCTACTTGGTAGGCTGAGGTGGGAGGATTGCTTGAGACCAGGAGGTTGAGGCTGCAGTGAGATATGATTGCACTATTACACTCCAGCCCAGGCAACAGAGTGAGACTGTCTCTTAAAAAAAAGTATATGTATTAATCTTCATAACACTCTGTTATGGACTGAACTATGTCTCCCTTAAATTCATATGTTGAAGCCCTAACCCCTAGTGTGACTGTGTTTGGAGTTAGGGCCTTTGAAGAGGCAATTAAGGTAAAAAACAGTCGTATAGGTACACCCTAGTCCATTATGACTGGTGGCATAAAACAAGAACAGAAAGAGACACACACACAGAGGGCAGGCCATGAGGACACAGCAAGAAGGTGGCTGTCTGCAAGCCCGAGAGAGAGACCACAGGAGCAACCAAACCTGCTGCCACCTTGATCTTGGACTTCCTGCCTCCTGAATGGTGAGAAAATAAATATCAGTTGTTTAAGCCACCCAGTCTGTAGCATTCTGCTATGGCAGTCCTAGCAAATTCATACTCATCTTTTCAAGAAAGGAAATAGGATCTCGACTTCTCAGATAAAATAGGACATAGTTCAGAGAGGTGAAGACATTTTCCCAAGGTCCCACAGATGGGAAGTGGTGATGACAGAATTCAAACCCAGGTCTGTCTACACTAAAGCTCTGAGCCTTTCCACTGCACTCTCCTTTGATCTAGTTCTGGCACTGGCACAGCCAAGGTCCTGGGTAAATGCCATGAAGGCAGGGATGAGGTCTAATTTGCCTACTATTGTGTCTCCATGGCCAGCCACAGTCCCTGTCAGCACTTGAGTGTTTGTTGGATGAATGTCTTTGCCTCAAAGAGCTTTATGATTTGGGTTAGATAAGAAACCAAGCAAGTATTAACCTCTATTAACCTCCAAACTGTTTTGGTGGAAGTTCTTAGAATAATAATTCAGAGAAGAGAAAGTTCTGGGTGGACTGGAACAACAAGAGAAAATTTTAGAAGGTAGACAGGACTCTGCCTGGACGTCAGTTCTCAGGACGCCAGGACAAATGGTCTTCACCATTTACCATCCATGTCCAATGGATTATTTATTTACTTTCATATCATAAGTCATCCTGTGAATACTTTACAGAAGTGAGAATAAAAGTATAGTGAAAAACAACTTTACTAAAAATTTTCATGAGAATGCAAACGTAGCCGACCTCTTTGTATCAAGTACATTTTGAGGCACAAACATAATTAAAAATGAAACACTGCAGTCATGTGCCCTTTTTTTTGAGACAGAGTTTCACTCTTGTTGCCCAGGCTGGAGTGCAATGGTGCAATCTCAGCTCACTGCAACCTCCACCTCCCGGGTTCAAGTGATTCTCCTGCCTCAGCTTCCCAAGTAGCTGGGAATACAGACATGTGCTACAACGCCTGGCTAATTTTTTTTTTTTTTTTGTATTTTTAGTACAGATGGTTTCACCATGTTGGTCAGGCTGGTCTCGAACTCCTGACATCAGGTGATCCACCCGCGTCGGCCTTCCAAAGTGCTGGGATTACAGATATGAGCCACTGCACCCAGCACACATGTCTTCTTAACAAAAGGAGATGGTCCAGGTTCTTGCCACAAATTTTTGCATGATGAAATCCTTTCTGTTGATTAACAGGGCAAAAATGCTGTATTTCATTTTTGTTCTTAAGAAGACATTTTTTGGCTGGGCATGGTGGCTCACACCTGTAATCCTAGCACTATGGGAGGCTGAGGTGGGCGGATCACGAGGTCAGGAGATCGAGACTATCCTGGCTAACACGGTGAAACCCCGTCTCTACTAAAAATATGAAAAATTAGCCGGGCGTGGTGGCGGGCACCTGTAGTCCCAGCTACTTGGGAGGCTGAGGCAGGAGAATGGCGTGAACCTGGGAGGTGCAGCTTGCAGTGAGCCGAGATTGCACCACTGCACTCCAGCCTGGGCAACAGAGCCAGACTCCATCTCAAAAAAAAAAAAAAGAAAAAAAAAGACATTGTTCATGCATTGATTCTTAAGTTTGAGGACACTTACTTAGGATGGTGTCATCTGAGGCCTAATAGCCTGAGATTTCACTTTAAGGATATATTTTACCATCATTATTCGTGTCTACAGTGCCACTCTCTGTCTCTTTTCATTTCATTTTCTGGTTCATCTAATAATTTGGAGTGTCTTTTTCTGTCCATTTTATTTTCTTTGCCTTTATGGGTGGAAAATGAAAAATTCAGATTTGTCAAGTGTGTTCAATGAAAGCAAAAAGCAGCCTACAAAGATGGTGTCTCCTGCCTTCTTTTGTACTTTCTTGAGAGACGGTGTCATTCTTTGGGTAATAAGAAAATGAAAGGAACAGTTCGGAGATTCCTCAAAAAAACTAAAAATTGAGTTACCAGATAATCCAGCAATCCCACTGCTGGGTATAAACCCAAAATATAGGAACTCAATATATCAAAGAGGTGTCCTCACTCCTATGTTTTTTGCAGTACCATTTACGGTAGCTAAGATTTGGAAGCAACCTGTGTCCATCAACAGATGAATGTATAACGAAAATGTGATACACGTGCACAATGGAGTGCTATTCAGCCATCAAAAGAATGAGAGCCAGTCATTTGCAACAACATGGATGGAATTGGAAATCATTATGTTAAGTGAAATAAGCCAGGCACAGAAAGACAAACTTCAAATGTTCTTACTTATCTGTGGGACCTAAAAATCAAATCAATTGAACTCATGGACATGGAGAGTAGAAGGATGTTTACCAGAGGCTGGGAAGGGTAATTGGGAGGGAGGTGGGGATGGTTCATGGATACAAAAAAGTTAGAAAGAATGAATAAGACCTATTATTTGATAGCATAATAGGGTGACTATAGTCAATAGTGACTTCATTGTATATTTGAAAATAAAGAATGTAATTGGATTATTTGTAACTCAAAGGATAAATGCTTGAGTGGATGGATAACCCATTCTTCATGACGTGCTTATTTCACATTGCATGCCTGTATCAAAACATCTCATGTGCCTCATAAATATTAGGTACTCACAAAAAATTTAAAAAACAATTTGAATTTTTTTTTTAAAAAAAAGGAAGGATGATGATTTGCTTCACTATTGCACCATCCTTCTAGGCAATTCCATCATTCGTCAATTTAAAAATTGTTTTCAGGCTGAGCGTGGTGGCTCATGCCAGTAATCCCAGCATTTTGGGAGGCCAAGGTGGGCAGATCACAAGGTCAGGAGGTTGAGACCATCCCTTCTCTACTAAAAAAAAAAAAAAAAAAAAATACAAAAATACAAAAAATTAGCCAGGCATGGTGGCACACGCCTATAGTCCCAGCTACCTGGGAGGCTGAGGCAGGAAAAATTCCTTGAACCTGGGAGGCGGAGGTTGCAGTGAGCCTAGATCATGCCACTGCACTTCAGCCTGGATGACAGAGTAAGACTCCGTCTCAAAAAAAAAAAAATTATTTTCATCATTCTTGGCATGGTTGGGAGCAATTGTTACTTAACAGTTGGGTTACTTATCAGTTGTTCCCAACCATGCCAAAAAAGATGAAAATAATTTTTAAATGGAAGAATGATGGAATTGTCAGGATAATAATAATTGAATAACAATAATTCCCAGGATAATAAAATAATAAAGTACCTCAAGATATAAGAAAAATAAGATCAGCTAGATCCTGTAATGCCTCTTATACACATTGCCCTTAGATAAAAAGGATCACAATAGACCCATATGGTAATTGCAAAATAAAATACGTTTTATTTAATTAAAAATATGTAAATTCTCTCTTTGTTCTTTGGAAGACCTCTAAGAAGAAAAGGCATAGAACATCAATCTTTATAAAGCGTTAGAGCTTACAAAAAGAAACATAATAGGGAATTGGGAACCATGGGTGAGGAGAGACAGGCACTTCCGCTATTGGAGGCAGCATTGGCAAACAAGCACAACAGGGAGAGGCAATACAGGTGTGGGAGTCAGTGAGTAAATCAGATTCACCACTGCTGATGCTTTGTTGGGGAGAGAGGCATCAGGTTGGAGGACCAATGATGGCCGCACATCAATTTGAGCCACGTGGACGCTATTCTGCAGGCAAGAAGCAGTGAGTCTGGAGGGTTTTGAGCAGGGTGGCATGAGGCATGCAAACATTTTCTTGGCTGTTTGTTTTGTTTTGTTTTTACTAGGATTGTGGAGCTTTATTCCCAAGGAGAAAATATTGCTTTTAACATGTAATAAAAACCGTACATAAGAATCTTTTTTTTTAGTTGTTGTCCATAAGTTTATTGTCTTTATTTGAAAAATCCTCATAGAAAATTGTTTGGTTTAGCTCTCAGCAGCCTGCTCCTAACTGAGGAAGCTTGCCTTCTTTTGAGCTACCTGATCTTTCTTCTGAGTGAGGGACATTTTGGGATGGTTCCACCTCTTCTTTTTAACTTCTTTCTTGGGCCTCTTTTCATAGACTGGATTCTCTCGTATAGCAGCATGAGCTTTCTTATACGTCTCCTCCATCGTGTCTAGAGTTATGCTGTTTTTTTTATGTATTGAGAGAACTGTTTCTTGTAAGCATCTTCATCTTGTTCCATTAAGTAGCGCATGTAATCTGCAACATTCTGGCCCATGATGCGCTTCTGGTGTACTTCTGCATTGCTTTCAGAATCATAACCAGGGAATCGTTTGGTACTGTGAGGGATAGACAAGCTTCTATCCACAGTTCCCTTCAGTGTGCCAAAAACTTTATTGCCAGTGATAGTTCTGGCAAGGCCTGCATCCAAATAGCAGGTAAAGGCACCTGGCTGACCATCAATGTTTTCCACATTGTATTCATCACCAGTCACCTCCATTTGGCCGTCATAGATGTTGTCCATGCCAAACCTATTGAGAAGACTGCAGGCCAGCAGCAGGCCAGTACAATATGCTGCAGCATAATTTGTTAGGCCAACCTTCACATCATATTTTGGCAGTTCGTGTGCATATGCCGCGCAGACTATAATTTCCCCCTCTATACGGGCATAAGCAATCTGATAAATGATATCTCTGTTTGTTACATGAACTATCATCCTGTATTTGGGTGTGCTGTATTTATTTTTATCCTGTATCACCAAGCATTTCCGAGAATAGTAATCAATTTTACCCTCTTGGCATCTTCTAAATTTCACTTGCTATCTCTTAAAGTAGCCCTTGTTCTTAACAACTTTAACAAACCCCATCCTGCGGAACAGAGGCCCAAATCCATGGCTCAACAGAGACCTGCAGGCCCAGCAGCGCTAGGGGGCAAAAAGGGCAAGAATCTTAACATTGAATTCAGATCATTGTGTATTTATTTTCAAGTACTTCAGTAGGGACTATATTCATTAACATGAATTAAAACCCACATGCTGTTTTCAAAGCCTATTAAAACTATATACCTATTAACAAATAAGCTATTTAGTTCAACTCTGTTTCATTGGAAGTTTACACTAACTCCCCAGGTCTTGAATGTTTTAGGTACCACACTGGCTTGCCATTAGGGATTGTGACGAAAAATACCAGACGACTCAGTCTGGGAAGGGGAAGTTGAAGAGTGAACATGATCGTAATCTCTAAAATGGTAAGAGCAGTGGATAAAGTGGACATGCATTTATTTTTCAAATTCTGGAGGAGTTTCATAGGGAAGAAGCTTATGGAACCATTATCCCAAGAGGTGGTAGTGCCTGCAAAAGTAATTTCAAAGATTAAGATACTTGCAGAGATGACAGTTATAATTGGCTATTAGAGAAAATGGAATGCTTTGGGTGGCGCACCCCAGAGGCTGCTGTCAGGGCTGTACATTTCCAGCTGCAGAGGCAGAGAGTCATACCTAGCTTGGCCCTTCTCATATCCTTGGGAGGCAGTTTGCTCCAAGAGATGCATCTTGCTTTCAGAACACATTCCCATTGACTTTTTTTTTTAAACACAAAACAATCATTTATTGCTGACTGAGCTCAGGAGGTGGTTCTCACTGGGGGTCTCTTGTGAGGATGCAATAAGACATTGATGGGAGGTGCAGTCATCTCAAAGGCTGTCTGTTGATGCTGTCTGTTTGCCAGGACCTCCACTGGGGCTGAGGACTAGAATGAATATACTCAGCCTCTCCATTGTTGCCTGGGTTTCTTCACAACATGGCAGCAGGGATTGAAGAGCAAGCGTCCCAAGAGAGAGCCAGGCTAAAGTACCTTTCATAGTCTAGCCTTGGAACACATGCAGTGTCACTTGTGCTGTTTTCTGTTGTCTTCCTTAGAAATGTGTCCCTAAGTCCAGCCCATATTCAAGACTAGGGGAATAGACTTTACCTCTCGAGGGGTGACCCATCAACTTGAAAAAAAAAAAAACCTGGTTGTTGTTTTATCATTGTCACACATTGATAATAATTATACCTAACATTCCCCCCATTCCACCCATTCAATGAGTCAAGCATTCAATCATTTAGCAAATACTTATTGCTAGGCATTTTGTCCATACTTACATCTGAATAGGGCTTCACAGTTTCCAGAGAAACTTTGTAACAAGTATTTGACTCGGTGTTCTCAACAACCATGCATGAAAGGCTAGGTGTGTTTAATTACTTCCATTTCTCAGATAAGGCAGTAAGAGGCTGGGAACTCATCCAAAGTCTCTGAGCTAGTGCCTGGTCCAGAGGTCATTCAAACCCAAGTCTGTCCTGGAAGGGCATTCTTTCCACTTACCACCCAGGACACCATCTTCCTCTCTCTCTCAAAATATCCAAGACCGGAGAGGAGGATAGACAGCCAGATAGACTTGCTCTGAGGTACTATGGCTTTTGCATGGGGTGGCCACAATTGAGGTATTTGAGGCATTTGAGGGTGAAAGGCAGCGCTATTGATAATGACCCTGGGGTGACAGGCACGAACCAGGCATACTGGACATAGGGTCACTTCACCCACAAATGCTCAAATAACTGGAACCCAAGTGTCTTGTGCTTTTCTGCCAAATCATGCCTTATTTTTTTAAACTTCCTACCTCTTTAAGCAAAACCAACAAATGCTATCAATGCCACAAGGATATGAGTGACCCATAGCTCCCCAGGAGAAGGCACAAGGGCATCTATGTGCTCACATGCAATTGCTTGGCCAGCTCCTGGAACCTGCTCCATTCCAAGTGAACTGAAGGGGTCTGGGGTGTGAGTTTGGGGTTGCTGGGCAGAGGCCTGCAAGGAGATGGTCCAGCCACCCCAGGCGTCTCATTTCCCTCTCCTGCTGCATCATTGGTTGGGGAGGCAGGAAGACCACATTCTGGAGAGAGTGGCATTGGGGAGCCGTGGAGTGAATATTAGGCCTCGGTGTAGCCCTTGCTGGGCAGAAATGGCTGGGCCTTTGTACCCCACCCACCTCTGTCACTGGGTGCTGGGTTTCCCAGGAAGGATGCAGCCTCCAGTGGCACAGACATCTCTAGTCGAGGCAGATCCCGAAGGAACTGAGAGCTAGCAGCTTTGTGCTGACCATGCTTCCCACAGCCAGGCCCTAAGGCTTTCCTTCAAGGGGGACCTGGGTGGAGCATCTCATGCCCCCTCAGGCTGTAGAAAGAACCAGAAAATAGAAAGAAAATGTCTATTTAAAATTAGATATGGTCTCAGAACTTAAGGGATCCAGATCTGGTGTAGATTCTATTACTTGTTAGTTCGCGTGACCTTGGACATGTCCTTTTCCCTTCCTGGAACTCACTGTCCTCATCTGTAAAAGTGAGAGAGCTGAATTAGCTTTGGAGCTGGCCTGGCTCCACCCTGCTGTTTTGTAGTCATGAAGTCATTTAATACCTGGGCTGGGCAGACTTCTCTCTCTGTTAGAGTGGGTTGGAGCAAGCCTATCTGCTCTTGGTTGGGAATATTTGTTACAGGCTATTCAAAGTAAACTAGAAGACCCCCCAGAGAATAACGTTTTAAATGGAACTGCAGAAAAATCTATTGTGACTGGTAAGTGGCTAAAGAACAGAAAATCCCTAGGGAGTGATTGGATGCCACTTGTCACACTTGGAAAAGATTTAACTTATCCATTAATGGGAAAGAGTGTGTAGAGTTGTGGCTAATAACTGCATTGTGCCGCACTTAGCATTTATGAAGAACAAATTGTGTTTTTCCTGTTGTTTGGATTTTACTTCCTTCCTGAAAACCCTTCACCAGCCTCTTCTGTGTCTTGTAAGCATCGACTTCAAATGGCACATTGGATGTGCAAGGTTTTTAGAAACTAATGAATTATCTGTAGCTTTCCATTACTCTTATCTCCCGTTCCAAGGTAATTAAAAGATGGCTGTGCCACTGAATAATTTCAAGCGTGTTGTCCAGTTATCTAATCTGCAGTATTTATCTTCTCTGCATTGCTGAATACCTTCTTCTCTCCTGGTCAAAGAAATCTCGGAGGCTTCACTTCTTTGGTAGATTGCTGACACCAGGGATGGCAGGTTGCCCCGGCCCCGTGAGTCCTCTGGGCAGTCAGGTGTCAGCAGAGTGGAGTGGGAGCTTCAGTGACAGGTTGGCGTCTTAGAACATTCCACCCCCTGACTCCTTGCAGAATGGGTGGGACATAGAGTGAAAGCCAGGGACTTGGGGAGGCAGGAGTCTCTGCAGCTCGCAGACGCAGAGTTCTGTCTTCTTGTCATCTGCTGGAGAGAGATTCAGGGAGCCATCATTTCTGCCAGGTCGGGGGGCCCAGATGCAGCCCCTTTGGGCAGCAGGGCCAACTCTGTGCTGCTAGTCTTCAGTGGGGAGGAGGGGACAGGGAGCCAAAGTTGGGGGGCTTGTCCAGTTGGCAATGGTCATTTGTGGGCTACAGTTGAGGCAGCCCCTGAAGGGGCAGAGTTTTCTAGAGACGACTTCCAAGGTGGGTTTTGAGGAAAGCAAGGGATCTTGAGGAATGGAGGGGAGTAGGGCACCATAAGGAAACACCAGCACAGGACTCACATATGCTGGGAGACAGAGCTTGGCTGCCACCAGGGCCCAAATGGGGTTGGAAGGCAGATGCAGCGGAATGACCGTTAGTGATCAGAAGTGCTTCCTCTCCGTTTTCTGCCAGGAATCCGATGAGTTGGACTGGAATCACTACAGGTTCTTGAGCTAGTGGGGAAATGCATTTGGAGCATTTGGAAGCTTTGGAGAATGGATCAGAGTGGGGAAGAGACTGCATGGTAGGGGAGCAGCCCTCCTAGGGAGACAGCTGTAGCCCAGGTATGAGGAAAGGGAGGGGAAGGTGTTGTGGAAATGTCAAAGTCAAAGTGCTGTACATTTCTTGCTTAATGTCATCAATCCCTTCCAGGAACCTGGACCTCTGACCCTGGTAATATCCCAAACAGCTCCACAATGCTCCATTTCCAATGTCACTGCCCTGTCCCTAGTTGGGCCCCTAATGTTGTAAACTTGGACTGTTATAAAGAGCTTACCAAGACTTCTTGGCTCAATCTCCTCTTCTGATTACAGCATCTTCACTGCTTCCAGAGTCATCTTATCAAAACACAGCTAGGAGCCCCTCGTCCTGCTCACACACCCTCCGAGTCACCCATTGCCTCCAGGTGAGACTGAGACTCCTCAGCAAGCACTAAACCCTCAGCTTGCTTTCCCGTTCTCGTCTCCAGGATCCCCCCTCCCTTCAATCTAATAGAAAGTCACAGTTTTAATTTCGCCACTGTTTTCGTCTTTATCACTTGTCCTCTGGATTCGAATCTCCTTTTTTCCTCCTTCCCCTGTGACCTCATCTATAGAACTCTACCATCTCTAAGGCCCAGTCCAAATGTAGCTTGGTTCATAAAGTTTCCCAAGATTTCTCTGAGCAGAATCTGTCTTTTCCTCTTCTCAGCTGCCATAGCACTATGACTACATGTAACTCAGCTTGTTTTGATCATTGTTTTTTTCTATCCTCTCCATGATCTGCTGGTAATTGAAGGGCAGGGAAGGTGTCTGATTGATCTGTACCTTGGCATTCAGAGACAAGTTGTTCTACCCCTTGTCTTACTACTCTCTCCCCTGAAACTTAGATACCATTTATTTTTGGCTTCCTACGTGCTACTCCTCTTGGTGATCTTGGACCAAAGGTCCTGATTTTGATTTTCTGGAGAGCCAATGCTATTCTGCTTCCAAATCTTCCTCTGAAAGATAGTAATAACAGGTAATCTCATCGTCCTTTTCTTGCGGCAGAAGCTGTGATCACACAAGTTCCATTTTCTCTGTCCTAAAACTCAGTGTGGTAACCCATTAAGGTCAGGAGGGCTGAATCTTGGGAAAAGTCCCATGGCCCCATTTTGCAGATGTGAGAAATGGAGGTCAATGACTACTTCTCAGGGGATGTTAAAGATAAAAAAATCAGCTGGGCCTGCTGGCTCACACCTGTAATCCCAGTACTTTGGGAGGCCGAGGCAGGCGGATCACGAGGTCAGGAGTTCCAGACCAGCCTGACCAATATGGTGAGACCCCATCTCTACTAAAAACACAAAAATTAGCTGGGCGTGGTGGTGCATGCCTGTAATCCCAACTACTCAGGAGGCTGAAGCAGGAGAATTGCTTGAACCCAGGAGGCAGAGGTTGCAGCGAGACAAGATCACTCCACTGCACTCCAGCCTGGTGACAGAGCAAGACTCCGTCTAAAACAAAAAAAGATAAAAAAATCAAACTGCTGGTGAATGAGTGTCATGGGTGATGACTATCTGGGGCTGGTATCGTGCAGGTGGTAAACAGCTGAAGGTAAAGAAAAGCAGATTTATTAGAGAAAGTAATAAAATTTGTTGCAAGAAAGCAATGGGCAAGTCAGCAAGAGAGGAGCTGACTGCAAGGGGGTTTTATAGGATGGTGCTTGTGTTGGAGAAAACTATGTGCAGTACTAATAATGCCAAGGTTGCAGTGAGCTAACTTGCAATTTTCTCTCAGCCGAAGGTCTGGTGATAGCTGGGCACAGGATGATTGTGAGTTATTTGTGCAGGAGGACTATGTGTCCTGGACCATGAAGAAAGGCAGACTTGTAGCTCATCTGCCTTCTCTTTTTGCTGTCCTCTGCTCCCACCAGCCTTACTCTTTTTCCATTATTAAGACTCTACAATGAGGACTTTTGTTGAAAGCTTGAGATGCAAAATTTAGATGATACTTGGCTTGTTATATGATTGTTAGACGTTTTTAAAAATGTCACTTTACCCCCACTTATAATCTATAATATTAGATCTAAGTGTTCTCAGAAATACTTGTCTAACTCCCTGGAGAGTGTGAGGAATGGACAGAAGGTAAGTAACTGGCCCAAGGCCACATAGCTAGTGGGTGCCACATTGTGTATATGATACAGCGTTAACGCAAATATAGAGAGAAGAGGAAGTTCTGCTTGAAGCTAGGGATGATGAGGGCATGTAGATTTCTTTCCAAAACAGATAGACTTGGCCTCTTCTCAACATATTATTGAATTGGTTGCTACAGCCACAATGATTGACTAAATTGGTCACCTAACTTAGTCACCCATACCTTTTCCCAAAACGATATATGTAACTGTCTCAGACTCTGCCTTTGGGACATCACGCCAGAGGCAGCTTGCAAGCACTGCCACTATAGAAAAAGGCAGTGTGAAAAGACCTGGCCAATGGGGCAGAAATGCTCCTTCTAGGCCAACTTGAAGAGCTGTTGGGAGGATTAAAAGAGAGTGGCTGCAGAGGGCACCCTCTAGCTCCTGACTAAACATTTAATGATGATCACCCATATGAACTACTCTTTTTTTTTTTTTTTTTTTTTTTAGAAATGAGGTCTTGCTTTGTTGCCCAAGCTGGAGCACAGTAGCACGATTATAGGTCACTGCAGCCTTGAATTCCTGGGCTCCAGGGATCCTCCCACCTCAGCCTCCCAAGTAGCTTGGACTATAGGCATGTGCCACCATGCCCAGCTAATTAAAAAAAAAAATTATTTAGAGGCGGGGTCTTTCTGTGTTGCCCAGGCTGATCTAAACTACTTTTATATAATCTCAGAACTTGCATCTGGAAGAAGCTGTAGAGATCTTCTATTTAACCTCTTCAATGAGGGATACCTGATGGATGGTCTAGAGTAGAGACTTACTACTCAAAGCATGGGCTGCACCCAGTTGCGTCAGTGTAATGTGTATACCTGGGATGCTGTTAAAATGATCTAAATGCACACGTATGTTTATTGCGGCACTATTCACAATAGCAAAGACTTGGAACCAACCCAAATGTCCAACAATGATAGACTGGATTAAGAAAATGTGGCACATATACACCATGGAATACTATGCAGCCATAAAAAATGATGAGTTCATGTCCTTTGTAGGGACATGGATGAAATTGGAAACCATCATTCTCAGTAAACTATCGCAAGAACAAAAAACCAAACACCGCATATTCTCACTCATAGGTGGGAATTGAACAATGAGATCACATGGACACAGGAAGGGGAATATCACACTCTGAGGACTGTGGTGGGGTCGGGGGAGGGGGGAGGGATAGCATTGGGAGATATACCTAATGCTAGATGACACGTTAGTGGGTGCAGCGCACCAGCATGGCACATGTATACATATGTAACTAACCTGCACAATGTGCACATGTACCCTGAAACTTAGAGTATAATAAAAAATAAAAAATAAAAAATAAATAAATAAAAAAAAATAAATAAAATGATCTAAATGCTACTCAGGTTTCTCTATGGAAAGGGGTACTAACCACTCCCTCGTTGGAAAGCTTTGTTAGTTATTCTGTGTGCTGAGTTGAGGTCTTCCTCTCATGATGTACATCCCTTGGTTGGGATTCGGCCTTTTGGTGCAACACAGAGCCAGTCTTTCCTGCTTTCTCAAGGGCAATTGCTCAGTCATTTGAAGATAACCATCATTTGTCTCCTGAGTCATCTCTCTGCCTAAGAAGCCTGATTCCTTCAGCTGTACATCGTGACCCGTGATTTCCTAAACCTTCCCAATCTTGCTCCCCTGCCTTTGGACAGTTTTCAGGTTTATAATGAATGCAGAGCCTCCTTCCTGAAAAGATTAGAGTTGGTTTATGGCAACAAGAGCAAAAATGCAGCAAGGTTTATTGCTGCATTTATCTTTATTCTTGATAGAAAAGGGAAATTAGGATCAGGAAAAATGAGGAAGCAAATATGATAACCATAAGGATTAATAAAATTGATATAATCCAGCATAGAATTTGGCTCTGAGCATCTAAACAGCAAAAGTGAAAAGAAATGAACAATAGTTATGAGTATTTCTTGTTAAAAAGGAGAATGCATACAAGACTCTCATGGGAGATGTGTTTTTTCTTGACTCTAAGCTTCTCCAGCAAGTCATTTATTTATTTATTTATTTATTTATTTATTTATTTATTTATTTATTTATTTATTTTTTGAGACGGAGTCTCGCTCTGTCGCCCAGGCGGGACTGCGGACTGCAGTGGCGCAATCTCGGCTCACTGCAAGCTCCGCTTCCCGGGTTCACGCCATTCTCCTGCCTCAGCCTCCCGAGTAGCTGGGACTACAGGCGCCCGCCACCGCGCCCGGCTAATTTTTTTTGTATTTTTAGTAGAGACGGGGTTTCACCTTGTTAGCCAGGATGGTCTCGATCTCCTGACCTCATGATCCACCCGCCTCGGCCTCCCAAAGTGCTGGGATTACAGGCGTGAGCCACCGTGCCCGGCCTTTATTTTTATTTTTTTTTGAGATGGAGTTTTGCTCTGTCGCCCAGGCTGGAGTGCAGTGGCGTGATCTTGGCTCACTGCAAGTTCTGCCTCCTGGGTTCATGCCATTCTCCTGCCTCAGTCTCCCGAGTAGCTGGGACTACAGGTGCCCGCCACCATGCCTGGTTAATTTTTTGTATTTTTAGTAGAGACGGGGTTTCACAGCGTTAGCCAAGATGGTCTTGATCTCCTGACCTTGTGATCCACCCGCCTCAGCCTCCCAAAGTGCTGGGATTACAGGCGTGAGCCACCGCACCTGGCCTATTTATTTATTTATTTTTAAATTTATTTATTTTGAGACAGAGTCTCTCTCTGTCACCCAGGCTGGAGTGCAGTGGCACAATCTTGACTCACTGCAACCTCTGCCTCCTGGGTTCAAGCAATTCTCCTGCCTCAGCCTCCCAAGTAGCTGGGACTACAGGTGCACACCACCATGCCCAGCTAATTTTTGTATTTTTATTAGGGACAGGGTTTGGCTATGTTGGCCAGGCTGATCTCAAACTCCTGGCCTCAAGTGATCCAACTGCCTCGGCCTCCCAAAGTGCTGGGATTACAGGCATGAGCTACTGCGCCCGGCCTTGCAAGTCTTTTTAAAAAATAAACTTTTAATCTTGGAATAATTTTAGATGTACAGAAAAGTTGCAAAGATAATGTCAAGTTCCTGTAAACTCTTCATCCAATTCCTCCTAATGTCAACATCTTCTAGAACCATGGTACATTTGCCAAAACTAAGGAACTAACACTGGTACATAACTGTTGGCTAAACACCAGACTTTATTTTGATTTCAGCAGTTTCCCCACTAATATCCTTTTACTGTTCCAAGATTCAATCCAGGATATCACGTTAGCTGTAGTCATCTGGTCTGCCTGTTCTCCTCTGATCTGCAAGTTTTTCAGGTTTTTCTTCGCACAGGGTTTTTATTGCTGTCCTTCTTGTTCTTGTCTGGAATGTTGAGTAATCTCCTTAATAACAAGATTTATAATAAAAGCAGCGTCAACTTTTGTGCTCCATCTCTTGTGACACTCAGTGAAAGTTGATATTAAACTTTCCAGGGCATTTCAGTGAAAGATGATTTTGTAGACGGGGCCAGTAGGGTCTTTTTGGTGGTTTAACCTGAACAGTAGATAGGATCGAAGTCAGAAGTGCATGACTCTAGGCCTTCCTTCTTAAACATCACTTCTCTTAGCAAGGCTTTCTAAAAGAGGTGGGAGTAGGTAGTTCAGGGTTATATTCTCTGAAAATGGCCTGAAGGGATGGTATCTGTACTGCTGATTAAGAAAAAATCCTCACCTTATAGGAAAATGGGTGATGTATGTGGTTCATCATCACGCTGATATAAAATGTATCTTCTTTGTTAGCTTAAAAATGTACTCTACGCAGAGTCCCCCCGCCTCCCCCAACCTGCCAGTTTTCTCTCCTTTCCATTAAACTTAGGAGATGGGTGCTCTCAAAGATTTTTTCCCCCAAGCTGTTGTTACCTGAGCTTTGGGGAAAAATAAGAACTGATGCCAGATCCAGTCCCCCACAGGAAGTGGGCCGTGGGAATAATGTGGTGATGCGGCAGAATCAGGCCGCAAAAAAAGGAGCTGGGAAAGGAATGCATCATAACAGACTGGAAAATGTGGATTATTCAGGGACAAACAGACACTGTGGTCTGGTTGAAAGAACCTTTCTGGCAAAGCAGCCGAGTCCTCAGCCGGCGTAAGAATCTCTCACTGCTGATAGCAACACCTTGGCCTGTTTCACATGGTGCGTTATAGAATTTTGCAGCCTTGACAATAGGAATGAGTTCTCTTGCTCTAGATGAATAAGAGTTTCAGATATCGAACAATCAGGATGGTATTATTTGGGTAAAAATATCCATCTACAGAAATCTGAGGCCAGGTGATATTCTCTAATCTCAGATGGCTTCTGAAATGCAATATCGCCTTTCAAGGGTGAAACATTCTTTGTTATGGGAGTTGTATATTAAATGGTCGAATTTAACTCACTAAGTACTCCTGGGGCATTGGTGGGGGGATTGTAAAAAGAGTTGAATTTCAATCGGTTGGAAACTGTGACATATGTTCAATTTAACTCAACAAATAATATTTTGTGGACATGCCACGTGGCTGGTACTGTGCTAGGCTCCGGGGATACAGAAATGAGTAAGACAGAGTTTTCAGCTTTGAGGGTTTGATGGCCTAGAAGGAGACAGCATAACAGAAGTTCAACATAATGTGTTGATTCAGTTCTTCTACTAGGTCGATGTGTTTACGGGTCATTTACGTGTTCTTTACATTGCTTGAATTTTGCTTCTATTATGGTCACTTTTGTATTGTAATATCTAGAAAACCAGTGAAATGAAGAACAGGGGAACTTTGTATCAAAACCCACTGGAAACAGTGACAGCATTAGGTGAACATTAGAAGAGAGGCATTCCCAAAGTGCTACGGCAGCACAGATAACAGGTATTTCAACCAACCTGGGGGTTAAGGGACAACTTCCTGGAGGAGGTGACACCTGAGCTAAATCTCGAGATAAAAGAAACACTGGAAGTGAGATGTAGCAGCATTGACAGGAACACACAGGAATGCAGCAACGATGTTAGAACCACAAGCAGTTCTGTCCTATTCAGAGTAAAATGTGTGTTAGCGAGTGGTGGAATGAAACTAGTAAACCGTGCTCCAGAGCTTGCACTTCAACTTCGGCTGATGGAGAATCACAAATGGTTCTCATCAGGGCCTGACACTTTCGTGTTTTAGATAAATCTCACTAGTGACCACCTGAAGGATGAGTTCAATGAGAGACAGATTGGATATTGGGGATTCTGGAAAGATGTTGGTTGGAGAGCACTGTCATGACCCCCCGTCCCTTTCTCTCTGCTGGGTTCATTGACCAGTAAGACAAGTGTGTCTCCCTATTGGAGGCTAGAGAGGGATCCCAAACACATCTGGAGCTTTGAGCATGAGAGGAAGTGCAGGCAAGGGCCAGTGGAGGGTTGCATTGGTGCATCATTATTTGCAATACTGAGAGAACACCCAAGGACCTGGGAGGAAGCCAAACTTTCTGGCAAAGCCTAGGCCAGAGCCCAGTGATCCAGAGGTCACGGGCTGCTGATTCCACAGGTCTTGGTCCCCCTCAAGAGGAACCGCCGTGCTGGGTCGAACTGCTCTCTTTTCATGTGGTTGGGAGAGAACTGGTCCTCCCAAAGTCCCTGAGATACTGGGTGTCTCCTCAGGGGCTTCAGTCAAGAGACCCCTGCTTGCCAGGCCACTGGGCCCTGACTCACAGGAGAAACAGTTCCTTCCCAAGCGGCCAGCTCCATGGGGCCTGCAAGAGCTCAACATCCCAACCTGCATTAAGTCTTTGCCTACTTTCTTTGCAAACAGGAAAAGAAAGACCCTGAACCATTTAGCAGGCTCAGCGGCTTGAAGCGAAAACTAGCCAAAGCCAGGCTAGGGAGTGCTGATTCAGACTTGGGAAGAAACAAGAGATTCAAAAACATTGTGTAAACCTTACTGAAATATTAGACTATATTGCAAAGGAATTGCCAAAGAGCAAAAAAAAAAAAAACAAAAAAACAAAAAAACAAAAAGTTTCTGGAAATAAAAAAATTATTTCTAAATTTAAAAAATGAAATAGGTTAACAACAACAAAATGAAACAAACATTGATTTAGTAATTTGGACAATCAAAACGGTGACCAGATCACTGATTACTTGTGGTCCCAGCTCAGCTATTAAGTGATTCACAGGTTTTAAAAGACAACAAATGAAGTCATAGTGTTCATCTTCTCAGAGGTTGTGTATGTATTGCATTTTCACAATATCATCTTCTGCAACATTTCACTGAACAGAGTCAGTTCTTCTAGGTCCATGTATTTACATGTCATTTACATGGATTGAATTTGGCATCTATTATCATCACTTTTGTACTGTAATATCTAGAAAAGCATTGAAGTGAAGAGCAGGAGAACTGTATCAAAACCTATTGCAAACAGTGAAAGCAGCAGTTAAGGGAACATTTATAGGTTGAAATGTGTTGTAGCATTTCTCTAACTTAAAAAGGATAGATGGCTCATAAGTGGTTCACAGAAGCATCAAAATGGAGATGAAAACAATAATGTAAACACCACAACCCAAACATAGAATGTGCAAATACAGAATGTGACTCTGTGTGCTGGAAGAAGTAAAACTGCACAATTTGTCAAAAGAGGAGTGCAAATAAGAGGTATGAGAGTAAATAAATGAGAAATTGGATTTTAATGGAAGCAATCTATTTTCTACCTGGTCCCTAATAAGTTGTTTGCTATGAAACTTTGTCAGGTATAATAGGGAGACTTCAAAGTTCTTGTGTTGTTCCCAAAGCACACAAACCTCTTTAGTAAACTTCCAACTGATTAATCTTGTTGCTAATGGCAGAGACAAGACTGAAACTACAGTGACATCATTTAGAATTCCAGAGTCCTCATAGCAGAAAAAGGTATTAGTTACACTTTTGATGGGAAGCTTGTAAAACCAGCCAAAAACTGATGATAAATATACATGGAGCTAAGCAATATGAGTTATTGAGAAATTCATTTAAAAAATGGTGCTCTTGAATATCACAGGCAATGTGAAAGAGCAATTGCAATCATGCATGTTTGGAGGAAGCCCCTGATGTGTAGGTAGAATGTGAATTGGCTTGTGGCACAGGTGTGATGCATACATGAGGGAAAAGAGCTTAGAAAACTTTTGTCTTTTTTTGTCACTAAAAAATTTATGCTACAGAAAAGGTTTTTCATTTAGTTTCTGATTAGTTCATGAGCTGTGGTATAGATTAGCAAATATGTGTTGGTATAATCTCTGAGTATACTTACCTATGTGTATAGCAAGGCAGTGCATTGATCGATAAAGGTTTGCTCTGCAAGGTTTTTATTTTTTTAAGACAGTGTCTTACTCTGTTGCCCAGGCTGGAGGCAGTGGTGAGATCATGGCTCACTGCAGCCTCAACTTTCTGGGCTCAAGGGATCCTCTCACTTCAGCCTCCGGGTAGCTGGGACTACAGGCACAAGCCACCACGCCTGGCTAATTTTTGTATTTTTTTTAGGGATGGGATTTCACCATGTTGCCCAGGCCGGTCTCAAACTCCTGGGCTCAAGATTACAGGTGTGAGCCACTGTGCCCAGCCTGCGCTGCAATATTGATCCACACATGACTCTATTCCCTGAGAACAATTGGTAGCCAATGGTATTTATGCATCTTGATCTTGATTCAAGATTGATGAAAATAATGAAAATTGTGAGTCTATCCAAATTATACCCACTGGGCACCTAGTACAAGACATTTTCAACACTGAAGTACCCTGTCAAAGAGAAAGCAGTGCTCAATAACTTTTGAAATCAGGAATGAGATAGAAACATTTCTTTATGGCACTGATAATGTCATAAACTATTTCTGAGACTTCAAGTGCTTTGCTGAACTGGTGTTTTCTCAGCCACGTGTTTATTGTCTTTAGAGCCCGAACCTATTGCCTCAGGGCTTAGTGACCATGAATTTTAATACTGAGGATAAGACACTAGACTGTCCGTGGTACAAATAGGACAGTTGCAGAAAGTTTGTCTTTTCTCTAACATTTGATGATTTTCTTCTCAGGGAGAAAGAAATCAATGATGTATTATTGGGCATATTTTAAAATTACCTCCAGGGGCTGCAATGGAGCATGAAAAGCTACTTTCCAAAGAGTAGATTAGGAATCCATTCAGCACTGATGCCAAGCCCAGAGTCATCCCTCCAGCTTTTCAGTGTGATGTGCTTATTGACTTAGCATCTGACAGAGAGCTGAAAGGAGTCTTCAGTGAGTCATTCCCCACGATTTTCGTGTCCCCGTTCAACCCAAATATCTAGCACTCTCCGACAGAGCCAAACTCTTGCTGCCCTGCTCAATAACTTACAACTGGTAAGTTTAGGTAAATATAGAAGAAACCAGTCGGATGTGGAATCCTGTGACACAAACTATGTCATCCCTCCAAAGAGCGAAAGAGTTCAAACTGTCATTTTTTTCATTGATCTGAAATGAATAGTATTGATTTTATGTATTTTTATTTTTATCATAAAATTTACAATCTCTTTAGAGATGACCTAAAATTTGTGCTCCAAATGTCCATTAAGTGGTCTGTGGATGGATAGCCAAAGTTAGAGAAATCTTGGTTTAACCTAACAGATCTTGTTAAATAAATACCCTTCCCTTCCTTACCGGGTGAAGCACATTTCCTTATTCCTCTAGGAACATTTCTCTCCAGAGAGGGTCTCTATTAGGGATTTTCCAGAGAAACAAAACAGATAGGAGATATATATGTATGTATGTACACACACAGACAAACCTTGGAGACATTGCTGGTTCAGTGAATATTGCTATAAAGTGAGTCACATGAAATTTTTGTCTTCTCAGTGCATATAAAAGTTATGTCTGCACTGTATTGTAGTCTAGTAAGTGTGCAATAGCATTATGTCCAAAAAACAATGTACATACCTTAATTGAAAATACTTTACTGCCAAAAATGCTAATAATCATCTGAGCCTTCAGCAAATCATAATCTTTTTGCTGGTGGAAGGTCTTGCCTTGATGTTGATGGCTGCTGACTCATCAGGGTGGTGGTTGCTGAGGGTTGGAGTGGCTGTGTCAATTTCTAAAAGTAAGACAACAACGAAGTTTCTCACATTGATTGACTCTTCCTTTCAGGAAAGATTGTGCTGTAGCATGGGATGCTGTTTGATAGCATTTTACTCATAGTAGAATTTCTTTCAAAATTGGAGTCAATCCTCTCAAACACTACTTCTGCTTTATCAATTAAGTTTATGGTCTCAACTTTTGTGGTCATTTCAACAATGTTCATAGCATTTTCACCAGGAATAGATTCTATCTCAAGAAACTACTTTCTTTGTTCATCCGTAGGAAGCAACTCCTCATCTGTTCAAGTTTTATCATGAGGTTGCAGCAATTCAGTCACATCCTTAGGCTCCACTTCCAATTCTAGTTCTCTTGCTATTTCCACCACACCTGCAGTTCCTTCCTCCACTGAAAACTTAAACTCCTTAAAGTCATTCATGAGACTTGGAATAAATTTCTTCCAAACTCCTACTAATGTGGATATTTTGACCTTCTCTTATGAATCACAAATGTTCTTAATGGCATCTAGAGTGGTAAATCCTTTCCAGAAAGTTTTAAACTTAGTTTTCCCAGGTCCTTCAGGGGAATCATTATCTATGGTAGCTATAGCCTTATGAAATGTATTGCTTAAATAATAAGACTTGAAAATCAGAATGACTCCTTGATCCATGGACTACAGAATGGATGTTGTGTTAGCAGGCATGAAAACTTTAATCCCCTTGTACATCTCCATTAGAGTTCTTGGGTGACTTGGTATATTATCAACAAGTGGTAATACTTTGAAAGGAGTTTTTCTTTTCTGAGCAGTAGGTCTCAATAGTGGGCTTAAAATATTCAGTAAACCACATTATAAACAGATGTACTGTCCTCCTGGCTTTGTTATTTCATTTATAGAGTACAGGAAGAGTAGATTTAGCATAATTCTCAGGAGCCCTAGGATTTTCAGAATGGACAATACATTGGCTTCAATTTAAAATCACCAGCTTTATTAGCCCCTAACAAGACAGTCAACCTGTCTTCTGAAGCTTTGAAACCAGGCATTCACTTCTCTCTAGCCATGAAAATCCTAGAAGGCATCTTCTTTCAATACAAGGCTATTTTACCTACACTGAAAATCTGTTGTTTAGTGAAGCCACCTTCATCAATGATCTTAGCTAGATCTTCTGGAGAACTTGCTGCAGCTTCTACATCAGCACTTGCTGCTTCACCTTGCACTTTTATGTCGTGAAAATGCCTTTTTCCCTTAAACCTTATAAGCCAACCTCTGCTAGCTTCCAACCATTCTTCTGCTGTTTCCTCACCTCTCTTATACTTCATAGAATTGAATAGAGTTAGTGCCTTCCTCTGGATTAGGCTTTGGCTGAAGGGAATGTTGTGGCTGGTTTGATCTTCTATCTAGACAATTCAAACTTTCTCCATATCAGCAATAAGGCTGTTTCCCTTCCTTATCATCAGTGTGTTGACGGGTGGAAGGTCTGGAGTAGCTCTTTTAATTTCCTTCAAAAACTTTTTCTTTGCATTCATAGCTTGGGTAATTGTTTAGCACAAGAGGCCTAGCTCTTCACCTATCTTGACTTTAGACATGCCTTCCTCACTAAGTTTAACCTTTTCTAATTTTTTTTTTTTTTGAGATATAGTCTTGCTCTGTCACCCAGGCTGGAGTGCAGTGGCATGATCTCAGCTTGCTGCAAACTTTGCCTCCCTGGTTCAAATGATTCTCCTGCCTCAGCCTCCCGAGTAGCTGGGATTACAAGTGTACACCACCATGCCTGGCTAATTTTTGTATTTTTAGCAGAGATGGGGTTTCGCCATGTTGGCCAGGCTGGTTTTGAACTCCTGACCTCAAGTGATCTGCCCACCTTGGTCTCCCAAAGTGCCGGGATAATAGGCGTGAGCCACTGTGTCCGGCCTGTAGCTTTTAAGTGAGAGACATGCAATTCTTCCTTCTACTCGAATACTTAGAGACCATTGTAGGGCTCTTCAATGGCTTAATTTCAATAATATTGTGTCTCAGGGAATATGGAAACCCAGGGAAATAAAGAGAGATGAGGAAACGGCCGGTTGGTGGGGTAGTCAGAACACCCACATTTATTGATGAAGTTCACCATCTTCCATGGGCACGGTTTGTGGTGCACCAAAACAATTACAATAGTAACATCAAAGATCACTGATCACAGATCACCATAACAAATATAATCATAAGAATAATGTTTAAAACATTGTGAGAATTACCAAAATGTGACACAGAGACACAATGTGAGTACCCGCTGTTGGGAAAATCTTAATGATAGAATTGCTCAACATAGGGTTAACACACACCTTCAATTTGTAAAAAACACAATGTCTGCCAAGTGCAATAAAGCAAAGCTGAATGAAATGAGATATACCTGTATGTATGTGTGTGTGTGTGTGTGTGTGTGTATATCTTATATATCTTATGTATGTATGGATATAGATGAAGAGATATAAGGAATTGGCTCATGTAATTACAGAGCCTGAAAAGTCCCAAGATGTGGAACTCAAAGACTGAGAACCAGGAGAGCCAATGGTACAAGTTCCAGTCCAAGTTCCAAGGCAGGAGAAGATCAATATTCCAGTTCCAAGGCCATCAGGTAGACAGAGAGAGTAAATTCCCTCTTACTCAGCCTTTTTAAAATTCAGGCCTTCAGTTGATGGGATGAGGTCTGCCCACACTGGGGAGGGCAATCTGCTTGATTCAAATGTTAATCTCATGCAGAAACACCCTTATAGACATACCCAGAATAATATCTAACCAAATATTTGGGCACGCCATGGAGCAGTGAGGTTGACATGTAAAATTAATCATTGTAGGGTCCTCAGCCCTCCTGAATGAAGGATTACATGTGCCATTCCAACAGTATCTATGCAAGATGTGGATGAACTCCAGAAGAGAATAGAGCTTAAGTTGTTTTTCCAAGAAGCACCACAGCCCACATAATCACGTTGATATGCTTCTACTGTGACTGTACCATCAATTTTCTGGGTGTGCCTGGAACCTTGATGTTTCTGAATCACTCATCCTCAGAAAAGGACTCATATATCAGGGTCCTTAATTGCAAGTAACAGACACTGATTCTGACTGACATTAGTAGCAAAGCGATTTATTAAAAGGATGTTGGGTAGCTCACACCTACTCACTGAGAGGCCTTGGAAAACTAGACTTGAAGGCTACATAACCAGGAGCCATGATCAAAATTACTTTTATGGATTGGTTCTATTTCTGTGTGACTATCACTGCTGCCTCTGCCACTGTATGGAGATAGCAACCCAGACACTTCTGGCTCTGGATGAGCAATAGCCATTGTTGCCCTGGAGTCCATTCTTGGTACAATGCTGCCAGATAGAATGATCTGCGGTTTTCACTTCTTTGCATAACTGCCTACTGGCTCAAAGTCTGCAGCAGGTGTTTCGTTGTTGTTGTTGTTGTTGTTGAGATGGAGCCTGGCTCTGTCGCCCAAGCTGGAGTGCAGTGGCGCGATCTTGGCTGACTGCAACCTCCATCTCCCAGGTTCAAGTGATTCTCCTGCCTCAGCCTCTTGAGTAGCTGAGACTACAGACATGTGCCACCATACTTGGCTAATTTTTTTTTATTTTTAGTAGAGACAGGGTTTTGCCATGTTAGCCAGGCTAGTCTCGAACTCCTGAACTCAAGTGATCCTCCCGCCTTGACCTCCCAGAGTGCTGGGATTATAGGCATGAGCCACCGTACCTGGCCCGGGTGTTTCTTATTGGTGGAGTCTAGATCATGTGCCCATGACTGACATGCAGGAGAGCCCGGGGAAGTGAATTTCTGGAATTTTCTAATGGTTTCTAAAGTGACAGATGAGTTCTGCCTTCTACCAGAAACTGCAAGATTGGAATTCTCTGAATTTTGCCAGTACAGTGAGGACAATACAGAATTGTAGTTAAAAGTGTGAACTCTGTGTGGAGTCCAAACTCCTTGGACTCCAAAATTTGAGGTCTGCCACTTACTGTATGACTTTGTTTTTTTTTTTGTTTTGTTTTGTTTTTTTTTTTTTTTTTTTTTTTGAGACAGAGTCTAGCTCTTCACCCAGGCTGGAGAGCAGTGGTGTGATCTCGGCTCACTGCAACCTCCACCTCCCGGGTTCAAGTGATTCTCCTGCCTCAGCCTCCTGAGTAGCTGGGATTACCGTGCCCGCCACCACGCCCAGCTAAGTTTTGTATTTTTAGTAGAGACAGAGTTTCACTGTGTTGGCCAGGCTGGTCTGGAACTCCTGACCTTGTGATCCGCCCGCCTCAGGCTTCCAAAGTGCGAGATTACAAGTGTGAGCCACTGTGCCCAGCCAATATGACTTTGATTAAATTATGTAATATCCCTACGACTGAGTTTTCCTATCTGTAAAATGAAAATAGTAGTGCCTAGCTCATAGGATTTGGGTGAAGATTTTCTTAGTTAATATGGATAAAGCACTTAGAACAGTGCCTGACACACAATAAGCACTCATGTTAAATGTTAGCTCTGAAGGTGGGGCATTCGAGTGATTGTGGTCAAACAGCATGGTAACTGTTCATCAGAGACCACTAGTTTGGTTGTCCAATGCACATAATATACTCTTCTTCCCATATTTACATTTCCAAATGTAAACTGCAAAGCTCCAGGCTCACATAGTGCAGCAGAATATGACAGAAAATATATCTGCCCCTCTCCCAAAGAGGAGTGCCCCAGAGACTCTTGGTTACCACATCTAGCTCCATGATAGGTTATTTGGATAAGCTTCATTCTCATGGACCGAGTACTGATACACCCTACATAAAATGATGAGGGAAAAGGAGAGGAACAGGAAGGATAAAATTCACAAAGAGACATACATACTTACTTGACACACCAGAAAAGAAAACATGGTGAGATGCTGTAGTTCTTGTTCCTAACCTACTGTTGAAGCCGTGGTTAATAATTAGGACTTCTCTTCTAGAGCTTCCCTTCTAGAGCTTCCATTCCTTGTAGCCAAGTGTATTAGTCAGGGTTCTCTTAGAGGGACAGAACTAATAGGAGATATATATATATATACACATATATATATATGTAAATTCATATATATATGAGCTTATTAATTCATATTTATGAGTTTATTAATAGGATATATATATGAGTTTAGTAAGTATTAACTTACATAATCACAATGTCCCACAATAGGCCGTCTGCAAGCTGAGGAGCAAGGAGAACCAGTCCGAGTCCCAGAACTGAAGAACTTGGAGTCTGATGTTCAAGGGCAGGAAGCATCCAGCACGGGAGAAGGATGTAGGCTGGGAGCCTAGGCCTGTCTCTCCTTTTCATGTTTTTCTGCCTGCTTTATACTGGATGGCAGCTGATTAGATTGGGCCCACCAGATTAAGGGTGGATCTGCCTTCCTTAGCCCACTGACTCAAATGTTAATCTCTTTTGGCAACACCCACACAGACACACCCAGGATCAATACTTTGTATCCTTCAATCCAATCAAGTTGACACTCAGTATTAACCATCACTCCAGGTGAGGTGGGGCTACTAAGAAATGGATAACAAACGTTGCAGTAGTTTTTAGTAGTGTGTTCAGGGGAAAATCCTTGATCAGGTGACATTGGAGCAGGGACCTGAAGGAGATAGGGAATGAATGATGGGGTTGTCTAGGGGAAAGCCTTCCATTTTCAGATTAAGGTGGGTTAGGTTATTCTGGCAAATCCTGTTCCTGAAAATAACTAAAATGTTGGATTTTTAAAATACACTTTTTATTTTGGAATAACTTTTGGCTTATGCAAACATTGTTAGGATAGTATACAGACCCTCCGTCTACCCCTCACCCAGTTTCCCTTGTTGTTAATATCTTGCAGGACCACAGTACATTTTTCAAAACTAGGAAACCAGCATTGGTACAAACCTATTAACTCCAGCCATTATTTGAATTTCACTAGTTTTTAAATTAATGTCCCTTTTCTGTTCCAGGATTTAATCCCGGATACCACATGCCATCTACTTGTTATATCTCCTCAGTTTCTTCTGACCTCTGACAGCCTGGCTTTGTTTTTCCTGACCTTGACAGTTTTGAGTACTGGCTATTTTGTAGAATGCCTCTCAATTGGATTTTTTCTGATTTATTTCCTTCCTTCCTTCCTTCCTTCCTTCCTTCCTTCCTTCCTTCTTTCCTTCCCTCCCTCCCTCCCTCCCTCCTTTCTTTCTTTCTCTTTCTCTTTCTTTCTTTCTCTTTCTTTCTTTCTTTCTTTCTTTCTTTCTTTCTTTCTTTCTTTCTTTCTTTCTTTCTTTCTTTTTCTATTTCTCTCTTCCTCTCTTTCTTCTTTCTCTCTTTCTTTCTTTTACCAATTTTTAAAAAATGTGTTGAAATACACATAACCTAAAACTTACTGTTTTAACCATTTACATGTGTACAATTCAGTGGTATGAATACATTTATAATGTTGTGCAACCATCATCATGATCCTTCTCCAGAACTCTTTTCATCTTGTAAAAATGGTACTCTATAACCCATCAAACAATCCGCTTTTTCCCTTCCCCCACAGCCTCTGGCAACCACCATTCAACTTTCTGTTTCTGTGAATTTGTGCTTTCTAGCTGCCACCCTATTTGTGGAATCATACAATATTCATCCTTTTGTGACTGGCTTATTTCACTAAGCATAGTCCTCAAGGTTCATCATGTGGTAGCATGTGTTAGAATTCTCTTCCTTTTTGAGGCTGAGTAGTATTGCATGGTACGGCTAGACCACACTGTGTTTATTTATTTACCCATTGACGGACATTTAGGTTGTTTCCATTATTTGGCTGTTGTGAACAATGCTGCCATGAACATTGGCCTACCAAGTGTTTAATTTGAAATGTTAGATAGCTAATATATTTACATGGCTCAAAGATGAAAGAACGAATACCTAGTGGAAAGTCTTGCTCCCACCCATGCCCATGTCACTCAGTTCCCTTCTGCAACGTTTGTTATCAATTTCTTACGTGTCCTTCCAGAGGTATATGATTCCCTTTCTTTTTGGCACAGATAACACTGACTATCCTATAAACATTATTGTGCACCTGTTTTTAACAATGTTTCTTGGAGATCTAAGTTAAGAGCATTCTCGTTATACAATATACAATGAATTCTGCATAGAATATCATTGTATGGATGTACCATATTTTATTCAACCATCCCTGATTGATTGGCATTTAGGTGGTTTCCAAGCCTGTACTTTAGAAACACAGCTGCAATGAATAATCCTGTAGAACTGTCATTTTTTATGCATAAATACATTTGTTTGATACATTCCTGGAAATGGAATTAGTCAAAAGACATTGCATGAGTAATGTATATGTATAGAGTCAAATGTATATAGATAGATATCTATATATATCTCAAAATTACTCATATATACGTGAGTAATATATTTAGCCAAATTGCCCTCCATGGAAGTAGTTCCAGTTTATGCTCCCATCAGCAGTATGAGAGTGCCTGCCTACATGACCTTGCCAACAAAATGTGTTATCCAAGATTTTGACCTTTTCTAATTGGACAGGTGAAAAAGTGGTTGCTGGTATCCAAAGAAAGACTTGTCCAAGAATGTACATAATAGCCTTATAAAAGTGTATAAGAAACAATATACCAGTTAAAAAAAGAAAGAAAGAAAGGAAGAAAGAAAGAAAGAAAGAAAGAAAGAAAGAAAGAGAAAGAAAGAAAGAAAGAAAGAAAGAAACAGCTGTGCCAAGAATAGTGGTGTGTGCCTGTAACCCCAGCTACTCGGGATGCTGAGGTGGAAGAATGGCTTGAGCCCAGGAGTTTGAGGCCAGACTGGGCAACATAGTGAGACCCCACCTCTAAAAAATAAAAAAGACTGTGAAAATCATGCAACTCCAGGGGATCCTCCTCAGTGCCCATCTCAGAGGGGCTGTGGAGGACAGTGGGCAAGGCAGCACCCCCAGGGTCCAGGACAAGGGGGCAAAGAGGCCAATGGGCAGAGAAGGTCATTTCAAAGGCAGAACCAGGGGTTGCTGGCCTGGCACACTGAAGAGCTCAAGACTGCCAACCAGAGTGTCTGCTCTGTTCACTTTTGGTGGGATATGGCATGCGTGTTGTGGATGGGTGACTGCCTTGTATTTTTCTCTTTTCTGAAAAATGTTGATTCACTTATTCTATTACTTGCTTAATACTGTTGAGCAGGTGAATTAAATAATTTATTTATTTTTTAGCTTACAGGTCACTAGACCTTGAGAAGACACATTTGGACCTAAGATTCTGGACTTTGAGCTGGATGTAGCACCTGGGTCAGATATTGGGATGTTGGGGGATCTCTGGGTAGACTGTGGCAGACACTGTCGGATCCTTGGTGAACATTCATCCCACTCTCCTTTGGCCTCTTCTTCCTTGTTTACTAGTTTTGTTGGGGACAGTTAGCATTTGCCCAGCTGAAAGTCATGAGTAATTATGGCTTTATCCCAATCCAGAAGGCTTCAGGGCAATGGTTTGTTTTTCTGGTAAAAAGATCAGATGCAGCTGGTGCCAGCTTTTCTCTCATCTTCCTACCTTGATGCAGACAAGCTGCCTGGACCTGCAACAGCTATCTGGTAACAATGAGGCGACAACTAATGATGATAGGGCAGAACAGGAAAAAGGAGCCTGGGCCTTTGGCCTCACTGGGCTTCTGTACCAGCTCTGCAATTCTTATTTCCAGAGTTCTTGTTATATGATATAATTAAGTCTTTATTGCTTAAGCCACTATTAACATCAATATTCCATTGCTTAGAGCTGGGAGCATTCCTAATGTATACACACGAATGGCTAAAGTCTCATTTCTTAATATTAATGTTTTTTTTAAGTGTCATAAGCTCTGATCAGTTCAGACAACCAATCTCAGGTCCCCCTCCTAGTTTCCCTGAAGGTCGATTGCCCGAACCACCCTACTTTCTGTGTCACTTTTCAAGGACTGTGAAGGGTCTGAGATTTTATACTGCTTGCAAGCTAATAAGTCAGCTTGCCAGAGTTTCATGGATGCTGGCAGAAGACATGAGGCTCCTGGGTCAGAGACAAAGGACTCTGTTACTTATTGCAATGACTATAGCCAGAATACCATCATTTATACCGCTTCCTTGAGCCCCAGGGATGTGAAGATGTTTAGATGATAACTGCATACACAGTGGGGTTCATTTCACGAGAGGAATCCCAAGCCTAAGTAACCTGAATCTTTTATAATGAGTTTAAGCCTTCCTGACTTTTGCCCTGGAAGGAGGCATTATCTTTGTTATTCTGCACAGAGAATCAATAAGCCCTGCCTTCTGCTTCTGAGGACATACCACTGTTTTCCAAAGCTGTTCATTCTCCAAAATCCTTGGAGAGATACCCTGGAACAAAGACAGTGATAACCTCTGCTCTAAGACATGCAGAAAGGTGAGAAACCCATGGCAATTGTCTCCCAACATCAGACTGCATTCTTAGTTAAAAGTAATAGAAATGGGCCGGGCGCAGTGGCTCACACCTGTAATCCCAGCACTTTGGGAGACTGAGGCAGGTGGATCATGAGGTCAGGAGATTGAGAGCATCCTGGTTAACACGGTGAAACCCTATCTCTACTAAAAATACACAAAATTAGCCAGGCATGGTGGCAGGCACCTGTAATCCCAGCTACTTGGGAGGCTGAGGCAGGAGAATGGCGTGAACCCAGGAGGCAGAGCTTGCAGTGAGTGGAGATCGTGCCACTGCACTCCAGCCTGGGCGACAGTGCAAGACAGTCTCAAAAAAAAAAAAAAAAAAGTAATAGAAATGAACTCTGGCTCATTTAAGCAGAAGGAACTTGTTAAACTAAAATAAGATACAACCACTTTAGAGAACTAGATATATGGCATTATCTAGTAAGCCTGGGGAGGCTCATGTGGTAGGACCTATCAATTCTACTCCTAGGAATATACCCTCTAGGAACCCTGGCACACAAAGACCAAGAGCTATGTACCAGAGGGTCTACAGCAGTATTATTTATATTACCATAACATTAGAAATAACTCATATGTCTGCCCGTAAAGGAATGTACAAATTGTGATACATTCTTTCAGTGGAATTCTATTAGAGCCACAGCAGTAAAAATGAGTGAACTAATAGCCACATGTATCATCCTGGAATAATCCATAATCATAGTGTTGAGTGAGATAAAGCCAGTTTCAGAAGGATACATAGAGTATGACACCATTTGTATGAAGTTTAAGAGTATACAGGATGATTGCTGTGTAGTGCTCAGGGTTCCCTAATATAAAGTATTAAAGATGCATGAAAATGGTAATGTCAATTCCAAGCAGTCTGTTGCCTTTCTATGGGGAGGCAAGTAGGATTTAACTGATTTGTCCAAGTTTTACATTTAAGCTTTATTATTGATTAAAATTGTCTAAGAAATAATGTTGGTTAGCTCAGTAGAAGGGTAGAGACATGCAGACCTGGGCTCAGAGGCCACTGAGCCAGGACCAAGGGATATAATCCCAGCACATTCCAGTACAGAGCTGGTCTGGGGAGGACAAAACCGTTGTCATGCTGAAGACTACACCCTCGGTACCAGCACCAGGAGCCCTGGCTCTGGACACAGGTTGCCGCCCCAGCACTATACCACTCCTCCTTCAGGGGCTCAATCTCATTAAACTTCAGAATCATCTGTGGTCTTCGCTTCCTTGCCTCACTCACTCCTGTTTCAAAGCCTCAGCCATGTGATCATGCTCTAGCAGCAAGGGGACTGGGAAGGTAATCAGCTGGCATTTTTGGCCCCTGTAGTGGGAGGTAGCCTCTGCCTGTCACTAAAATTCATAAGATTGGGAGCACCCCAGATGTTGGAAGGAGGTTCAGATGCTGGGTGATCCAAAAAGTGACAATGTTCATGACAAACTTCAATCCATGTGGTCAGGTGGAGTGTGTAAAGAAATCATCCTAGGAAACAGAAATAGAAGAAATGACAACATTCAGGTGGTGTTTTTCTAGAATGTAGGAAGAAAACAGATAAAATTTCATAGGCTAAACTTTACCCAGTTATGAGGAGTACTGAAGTCTCAATTCCTCTGTCCATGGTTGTTTTCTAATGGGTTATTTTTTAAAATTAAACTGAAATGATCTCCTTTGTTAGGCTGTAAGCTCTTCAAAGTCTAGGACCATTCCTTATCTTGGAGAGATGCCATATTTTCTCTGGAAAGCCAGGGGCATTCAGGTCAGAGAGAACTGGGAATGAATCCTGGGTCTGCTGCTGCTTAGCTTAATGGCAGTGGCTCCATTAGACAGCCTTTCTCAGTCTTGGCATCTTTGAAGCCATCCCTATATACTTTATAAAATTAGTCATGGAAGAAGGAAGGGGAAGAAACGAAGATAAACCAAGCTTGCAGCACACACAGTATTAATCATGAGGGCAGCCTGCTCTCTGACCTGCTTCCTCATAGCTGTTTGGTGCCTGTTGCCTCAGAATCACGTAGACCCTGCAAGATTATAGTTCCCCTTAACTGCTCTATAGATAACAGCTTGAGTGTTATAAAGTGTTACATTTTCCATTTGAGATATTCTTTCAGGTTCTGCATACCAATGAAGCTACTGACGTCAGCTGGTCTGAAGGACCTCACAGGAACTGACTCACCAAAGAATGCAGTTTCCATATTCTGATGATTTCATCCCCTCTCCTCTAACCAATCAATGACCCCAATTTTCCAGCCCCTTTCCCCTCCATGATCCCCCTAAAAACCCCAGCCTAGAGCTCCTCAGGGTGATGGATTTGAGGGTCTCCTTCCATCTCCTTGCTTGGAGCCCTGTGATCATTAAACTCTTTCTCTGCTGCAAACTCTGCTGTCTCAGTGTAGTTGGTCTGTTACTGTGCAATGGGCATACCCACCTGTTGGTCCTGTAACACCCTCATGAGCAAAATGGAGCTTGCATCTACTTCTCTGTGTGGTAAAGATGAAATTCAACATGAATAAAATTAGAGAGTAGATGTTCAGTAAATATTTCCTCCTTTCCCTTATCTTTAGGCCCTTTCTATTTCTCTTCAGGCTGCAGCACTGGGCTTAGAAAGCCCTCGGCTGGTGTTTGCTGAATGAACTTGGCTTCATTATAACATTTGCTTCTTCCCTTCCTGTTTGTAGCTGCCATGTGTGAGTTTATCTATAGCCCTTTTGGCAGCTTGGTATAATTCTTTTTTTCATGGGCAGCCTTTAGGAAATTCTTATGTGCCAATGCAACTTCACTGTTGCTACTTTTCTTCATTCGCTAAACAATTCATTTAACAAATGGAAAAACCAGATATGTGCTTGGCTCCAGGGGTAAATGACATGGATCTCACTGCCACGAAACTGGTAGCTGCAATCAGAGGGACGGGCTTGACAATGTCTCCCCTAGAATGGTGAGCTCAGACAATGCACAGCTCTCACGGCCACCTAACCCAGCAGTTCAACATGTGCAGTTTTATTCTGCTGTTATGCCATATAATTCTCCACATTAAAAAAAGAGTTTTCAGTTGATTATGGTTTGGTTTAATTATCTTATCAGAATATTTTGAGAAAATGACATTCCTACATATGTCTCCCAACATACCCAAAGCACAACTTTTACTTTACTTTTATTTACCAAGTCTCAGTGGTCTTTTGGGTAGGAATTAGCCAGGTCCCATTTTAAATTTCCTGCTTCATGTAGTTTCGAAAAGCTCTATTTCCAGTTTTATCTCTACCTCTTCCTACTGAGAAGGATCATGACTACAACAACTGCCACTGAGAACTAATTATGAAGCGGCAGTGAAATTACTGTATCAACAGTCTCATTAATCCAATCACTTGGGATAAACCCTGGTGGAAATTAATAGTGGCTGTAACGTAGCAGGGGATTGGCCTACCGGAAGCACAGGACAGACTGCTGAGCCCATCTGGCTCCAAATTCTGACGCTCAATCCTGTGGAGGAAGGGAAGAAAGACAGGAAGGCGCAGACTTCCAGCAAGGCTGTTGAAAAGAGGTGACAGTGTAGAGTACAGTAACAGTTGAAATGAATGAATCAGGGCTAATGTATGGATAAAGTTCTAAACCACCGTGGAAAGAAAAAAAAAGCAAGTTGCAGAATGACATAAAAGGTTTCGAAATCTACACAACAACTCTTTATGGTATTTATATGTGCATACTTAAATAAAAAACTATTAAATAGGCCGGACTCAGTGGCTCACGCCTGTGATCCCAGCACTTTGGGAGGCCGAGGCAGGTGGATCACCTGAGGTCAGGAGTTCGACACCAGCCTGGCCAACGTGGGGAAACCCCGCCTCTACTAAAAATACAAAAATTAGCCGGGTGTGGTGGTACACCCCTTCTCGGCTACTCAGGAGGCTGAGGCAGGAGAATTGCTTGAACCCAGAGGCGGAGGCTGCAGTGAGCTGAGATTGTGCCATTGCACTCTAGCCTGGGTGACAAGAGCAAAAACTCCGTCTCAAAAAAAAAAAAAAAAGCTATTAAATATACATGGGCACGACAGGTTCTGAATTCAGTATAGTGGTTGTCTCTAGAGAGGGAGGAAGGAGGTGGGAGCTACCTGGGGACTCAAATGTTGCAATGCTTCAATTAAAGACAAGAAAGAGCTGAAGCAAAAGGAGGGAACATGTGTGAGGACAGGAGCTTTGCCACCTCAGATATACAGCCAAGGTGATATACCCAGGAGTAGTTGGAACTGGATGGGAGACCTCAATCCACGTATTGTTTGTGCTGTGGCTGGGTTGTGAGGACCTTGAGTGAGTTTTTGCAATCATTTCTGCACTTCCTTTTGTAGAATGGAGAAACTCATATTGGCCCTGCTTCCTCAAAGTGTTTCTGTGAAAATCCTTCCTTGATGTACATAAATACCTTGTGAAGACCTTTGGGGGAGGGATTCTTAGCAACCCATGAGAGCTTTAGAGCAGGTATGGTCAAGCTGGGAAAAGAGTGAGATGCTCCCAGCAAGGGACCTCTGTATTCATCAGCACTACAGAGCTTAGATGTGGAAAACAAAATCATTCCAAAAAATATGAGGAAATACCTGGCAATTATAGAGAAAAATGTCCCTAAGGCTATTCTACATTTCTTACCTTTAGGGATGGCTCCATGCCTGACAGTACCTGTTGAGACCTTCCAGACTGTTCTGTGTACAGGCTCACCGGGTAGAAGGAAAAGAAGGTGAATGGGAAAAAACATCTGACATTACCTACCTGTAGCAAATCAGTCTGCTCTTCCTCAAGGGCACAAATTGTGCAAGATTCATTTGCATGCATGAGCCTGGGGGCTCTCTATTCAGGGTTTTTACACAGGGGATTTTTAGCTTACTGGGGACATAGAGTGGATACAGTTATATCTTGGAGATCCTCGCCTGCAGTCTCCCCTCAAAAGATGATCCCTTCAATGGACCCTATACTTGCCACCAAAATTTTGACTAATTGTTTGGGTTATTTTATTTTATTCAACTTTTATTTTAAGTTCAGGCGTACATGTGCAGGTTTGTTATATAGGTAAGCTTGTGTCATGGGGGTTTGTCGTACAGATTATTTTGTCACCCAGGTATTAAGCCTAGTACCCATTAGTTATTTTTCCTGATCCTCTCCCTCCTCCCACCCTCCACCCTCTGACAGGGCCCAGTGTGTGTTGTTCCCTTCTATGTGCCCATGTGTTCTCAGAATTTAGCTCTTACTTATAAGTGAGAACATGGGGCATTTGGTTTTCTGTTCCTGCATTAGTTTGCTAAAAATAATGCCATCTAGCTCCATCCATGTTGCTGCAAAAGGCATGATCTTGTTCTTTTTTATGGCTGTGTAGTATTCCAGGGTGTATATGTACCACGTTTTCTTTATCTAGTCTATTATTGATGGGGATTTAGATTGATTCCATGTTTTGCTATTGTGAATAGTGCTGCAGGGAACATATATATGCGTGTGTCTTTATAATAGAATGATTTAAATTCCTTTGGGTATATACCCAGTAATGGGATTGCTGGGTCGAATGGTATTTCTGTTTTTAGGTCTTTGAGGAATCACCACAACGTCTTCCACAATGGTTGAACTAATTTGCAATCTGCTTGGATTATTTTAAGACAAACGACCTCTGCCGGAGGTTGTGTGTGTTGTCTGTTGGGTTTTGGGTATTCATTGCATTTGTCTCTGCATGTCTGTGTCCATTCTCTGTCTCTGGCTGACTTACTGTGTCTGGGTCTCTTTCCTTCCATGCTTCCTCTGTCATTCGTTCTTCTCCCCTTCTTCCTCTTCCAAGACCTTTGCTGCTGCTGTCCACACAATTTCTTCCTGTCTTGGATGACTGCTCTCTTTTCTCTCTTTTTCTTGTGTTTGATCTTTCTCTCCTTATCTGATGTTTCTTTGAATGTTTTCTGGTGCCCATTGGTTGGGGACCAATAAGAAGCCTCTCTCTGTTGAAATGGTCACTCAGACTCAAACTATGACTTCTTCCCTATTTTTCTGCAGGAACACACTTTGCCTTGAGTAGAGCTTGCCGGGAGAAAGTGAAGGGGAGTGGCCATCCATTTTCTTCTGTATGTGGTTCTCTCACTTCTACCAGACACCTAGAGGGAGATGAGGCCAGGACTATGTTGAATTGTCTTTGCCTTTGAGATGATGCTGGGCTGTGGTTGAGATAGTTGCTTTCAGGGAAGTAAATCCCAAGAAGGGGGCGCAATATGACATTGCTGTTCAGAGATGATTATCCTTTGGGATTTCAGAGGGCAGTTCAGTAGACAGAAAAATCCTCATTCAGGCAGTTATAGCTTTTCGCTGTTGCGTGTCCCTGCAGATGGTATCAAAAAGAAAAATAACAGAAAAAAATGGTTCCATTTCTCCTAAGATCTGTGTGGCCCCTTGTCTGGCCTGTGCTCACCACATTGGGATTGTGGAATGAGGACTGAATTTACTTAAGCCTGTGGAATTAATCTGCACCTCTACACTGACGAAGGTGCAGACTGAGACATCGAACAGTGAAATAGTGGGATTGTAAGGCCGTTTGAAGTGAGCAGACAGCGTGAGTTCAAGGTAGCAAGGAAGAGTTCCAGCTTCTTATCTGGGTCTCAGAAAATTTTTAATTTTTTTGGTCAGTGATGACAAGCACTGTGGACTCAGGCTCAGAAGGTTTGGCTGCTAGTTCACAACTAGATATGTTTCTTTAGTTTTTTGTTTTGTTTTGTTTTGTTTTGTTTTGCTTTTTGAGACAGAGTGTCACTCCATCACCTAGGCTGGAGTGCAGTGGCATGATCACAACTCATTGCAGCATCGACCTCCTGGGCTCAAGCGATCCTCCTGCCTCAGCCTCCCAAGTAGCTGGAACTACAGGTGTGTACCACCTCACCTGGCTGATTTTTACACTTTTTGCAGAGACAGGGGTCTTCTTTGTTGACCAGGCTGGTCTTGAACTCCTGGCCTCAAGTGATCCTCCTTGCTCCAGTTAAATGTTAAAGCCAGAGTTAATCTGGATTAAGAGTACATCTATGAGATGCACACACAAACCCTCCCACCCATGTGTGTATCATATAGATGAGAGTGTAGATGCAGCCTATCTAGAGTGTAGACAGATTGCCTCTTCCCTTTGGAGGTGACCCTGCCCCTGATGCATGTCCTACAGGCTTTGATGGGCACTTGCTTCTCACCAACAGGCCTAGCGCTTCCAAGTGCATGATTCACACCTCCTCCGGGGCTCTGTCCCACCACACTGGGAATGTATGGTACGGTCCTGTGCCCTGCCTTCCAGCCCTGGGCCACGGCTGTCTTCCTTGTTCGGGACATCAGGACATGAAGGGAGGCTGCATGGCCGAGTGGGTCAGAGCACAGGCTGCAACCTCTGTGTCTGCCTCCTCATTCCTTCAAGAGGGATAATAGTCCCTACATCGTAGAGTTCAGTGAAGATTAAATGAAAGCACTTAGAGGAGGACCTGGAAGCTCAAAGACGTAGAATTGTCAGAGAGCCAGGTCAGCCTCCTTTGTTTACCCTCTCTCCTTGGGCCTCAGGAATCTTCGGTTGGAGCCTGTGGAGAGGGAGGGTTGCTCAGCTCTCCAGATGGAAGGCCCTGCCCTGGCCCCTCCAGGCCTTGCATCTCCAAGCCCAGGGAGTCTCCTCCATTAGCTCCTTGGCCTCAGGCACCCTCTCCATGCTGGGTACCTGGGCTATTTTATTAAACTGGAAAGCACAGGTGTTCACAGAAAATGTGCCTTGTCCCATCTTAGATCTGAATGAAAGCTCCAAAGAGGTTCATCTTCCATTTAATGGCCCCAAGAAGCAGGATCCGGATGGAGAGTACAGGATTTCACCTTATCAAAAAGAAATTTCCAACAGAACCAGCCAAAGATAGAATGGCCACACCTGGGAGAGGCTAATGTCGGCAAGGGGCAAGAGTTAATTGGGAAAGTCGTTGGAAGGACTCTGGCATTAAGTAAGCAATAGGGCAAGGTGTCTTTAAGGTTGCATGCTATTCTAAGGCTCTGTGTCTGTGAAAGCCACGTGGCTCAGTGGGGCATCGTTGTTTGTTTCGTTTGCTTGTTTTTTATACCTTTAAATAAGTTGTAGTACTCTTTTCCCATCTTAGAGCACATTTGACTTTTATGGCAGCAAAGCCCAGTGAGGATTCTGATTCTTAGTCCCTCCCTCCTGCCTGATCGCCTCCTTCCTCCCTACTTTAGCCTTTCTTCTGAAGGACACATCATTCATTCACCCATCATTCATTCAGCAGATGCCAATCATCTGCTGTGAGCCAGGGCAGGGCTAGGCTCAGAGGAGGAAATAATCTGAATGAGATGTGCTTCCTGCCTTCAAGGATGTTTCATTCTGGGATAGGCAGACAGACACACAGGACAGAGAAAAGAATTTCGTCTGTAAAAGAATTCATTTTTTGTTTGGAAATTTAATTTTCTTAATTTGTAAGCATTCAAATGCTATTAAAAAAGTACATAATAAAGAAAGTAGACATCATCTGAAATCCTGGCCACTCTGAGATAACCACCTTTGTGTATATAAAAAGTAAAGTAGATGTTCCTCTTCAAAGAGACTTTCCTCCCGTCTAATTAGGAATAAATAGTAACTTCTCTTAGAAGCAAAATTTATTCAAAGACCTGTGCTAACATGCTTAGATATCTGCTAGCCGTAACAAAGAAATCAATGTACTTTGTGTTCTTAGCTCCCACAAATTAGCCTAAATATTTGCCCTGGTATGCTTATACTGGTCCAAGGAAGCATTAGGTCATAGCCTATTCCTCTTCCTTATTTGAAGGTGTTTTTACCTTTTTACCTTTCTCAGCATTCCACAAGTTACTCCCTTCTTCCTTTGTTCTCCTCTGCCTTTACCTCTTTTAAAAAGTTCTAAGTTGCTAGCCAATCAGGACAAATACAGAATGTGAGGTCCCGTTCCAGCCAGTGGAAACTGGACACAGCAGTAGGGCGGACGTGTCAGGTTATAAATAACCCCGTCTCCGTTGTTCAGTGTACTCTACTGGCAAAATTGCTCGTGAGTGTACCCTTTCTGCAGAAAGTAAAAATGGCCTTGCTGAGAAAATTAAATTTGTGTTCAAATGCTATTTCTTTGCAGCACCAGGGAACAAGCATTTCAAACATGTATCAATTATATAAACATATGACAAAATAGATATAAGCAAAATGATGGGGTGACACTGTGAGTACTGAAAACAGATTTCTATTGGATATGGAAAGAGTAGTGATAGATAAAAACACAGGGTATTGTGGGAGTCCAGAATTAGATTGGGGGTGGGACACTTTCAGAACCTGAAAACATTCTAGATCCTTTTCCGTCCCTCTTTCTGCCATCCCAGTTCTTTTTTCTTTTTTTCTTTTTTTGAGACAGGATGTCACTCTGTCACCCTGACTTGAGTGCAGTGGCATGATCTTGATGTCCTGGGCTTAGGCGACACTCCTGCCTCAGCCTCCAGACTAGCTAGGACCACAGGCACACAACACCACATCTGGCTAATTTTTAAAATTATTTGTAGAGACTGGGTCTTGTTATGTTGTCCAGGCTGCATAGTTCCCAGTTCTACAGTTTCCAGTCTAGTTCTCCTGGTTCCCTCATTGCTGTTTCTATTGTCCCTGCTTAGAAAAATGAACTTGCCTCTTCCCACTCAAATCAAAGAGCAAATTTATTGCTTGAAGCAATAAATGTTTGAAACATACAGATAAAAATAAAGAATAAAGCAATAAATGTTTGAAACATACAGATAAGAATAAAGAATAAAAACTCACATACCCATTATCCAGCTTCATCAAATTTTAATATTAAGCCATATTTGCCAGAGAATTATTTTAAAGAAATTATACATGACAGATAACAATTGAGGCCTCCTGTGTACCCTTCTTGGATCTTTTCCTCTCCCTCCCTCTCCCGCCAGAGGAGATCATTCTCACGAATTCAGCCTTCATCATTTCCATTCACATTTTTATATTTTTGCCACATAGGCTGTATATCCATAAAAATTATAAAGCATTGTTTCCTGTTTTAAAAATTTATATAAATGGTATCTTTGTTGTAAATATGTCCCACTGTATCTTGGGGTTTTTTTTGTTTTTGTTTTTTGGGCTTTTTTCTCAACATTCTTTCTGGAATTTATTCAAAGCAGATAGATGTAGCTCTCGTTCTTTCATTTTAAATGCCATATGGTGTTCCAATGTCTGAATATAACACAGTTGACTTATCCATTCTTCTGTGGTGGGCATTAGGTTATTTCCATTTGGGGGGACTTGTTTTGTTCTGTTTCTGTTATGTACAATCAACATTCTTGTACATGTCTTTTTAGGCTCATATGTAAGAATTTTTTCAGGCCATTTACAGATTTTAAACTGGAAGATCAGAGTATGCACATTTTCAGCTGAACTGGATGTTGCCAATTTGCTCTGCAAAGTCCTATGAATTTATACTCTGATGTTTAGTATGGGATTTCCTGTTTCTCTCCATCTTTCCCAATCTTTGCCTGATGAGTATTTTGATGTTTTGCCAATCTGATGGGTCTGAGTGTGTCTGGAGTTGGTTCCTTCCAGTGGGTTTGTGGTCTTGCTGATTTCAAGAATGAAGCCATGGACCTTCGTGGTGAATGTTACAGCCCTTAAAGATGGCACAGACCCAAAGAGTGAGCGGTAGCAAGGTTTATTGTGAAGAGCGAAAGAACAAAGCTTCCGCAGCATGGAAGGGGACCCGAGAGGGCTGCCGCTGCTGGTTGGGGTGGCCAGCTTTTATTCCCCTTATTTGTCCCCACCCATGTTCCATTTTTGTCCTATCAGAGTGCCCTTTTTTCAATCCTCCCTGCTATTGGCTACTTTTAGGATCCTACTGATTGGTGCATTTTACAGAGCACTGATTGGTGCATTTTACAATCCTCTTGCTAGCTACAGAGTGCTCATTGGTGTGTTTTTACAGAATGCTGATTGGTGCATTTTACAATCCTCTTGTAAGACAGAAAAGTTCTCCAAGTCCCCACTTGACCCAGGAAGTCCAGCTGGCCTCACCTCTCATGAGGACATCTCATTGTTGCTCTACTTTGTATTTTCCTCATTGCCAGAGACATTGCGTATCTTTTCATGTGTCTGTTGGCTACCTGGGGTTTCTCTCCTGGGAACTGCTCTTCCTGTTGAGACAGCCAGGTGGGAGAGGGTTCCTGGAGAAACTCTAACCAGCCCGCCCACTGGGGTAGAGACTTGGGAAGTTTGAGCCGTTTGCAGCAGGGAGGAGCCTGGCCCCTCCTCTTCCTGTGTGGAACCTGGAATTCAAGCTGCGGCAGGAAGTGCTCTAGCAGGGACTCTGGCCTGAATTTTCATGGCCATGGGACAAAGAACCCTGTTTGTTCAGGAAGCAGGATGCTGCTTCCTGACAGCATCCAATCTGGAGTATTGCCTTCCTCAAACCACCTAACACATGCCCAAACCCTTGACTAAGTCCTTCTGAACACCGTCTTACTGGGACACTCCACGCTCCCCGATGGAGTGTGTTTTCCTTGGCTACAACGCGTGATAAACCGGACTTGTCCAGCTGCAGGTGTGTTCCTGTGGTCTTTGACTGGAGGATTAGGACCTACAAGGTGGGTACCGCAGGCCCCAGGGGACAAAGAATTTAACTGGAGATTTGAGCATTACAATTAGCTTCGGCACTCACTGACCATGTTATACAATGGAGTCACCTACTTTTTGGGATCCTAGTGTTTTCATGAGTAGAATGAGAAGGTGGGGCTGGGTGATCTTTAAGGAAGCTGCGTGGTGGAGTGGAAAGACTTCTGGAGTCAGCCAGTCCTTGGTTTAATCTCTGTTCTGCCCTCACCAGCCACGTGGCTTTGGGTAAACATTCATTTTCCCAAGCCTCGTTTGCTTCAGCCTGGCCAACATAGTGAAACCTCATCTCTACTCAAAATACAAAAATTAGCCGGGCATGGTGGCGCACACCTGTAGTTCCAGCTACTCGGGAGGCTGAGGCAGGAGAATCGCTTGAACCCGGGAGGCAGAGGTTGTGGTGAGCGGAGATCTCGTCGCTGTACTCCAGAATGGGCAACAGAGCGAGACTCTGTCCTAAAAGAAAAAAAAAAACAAAACCCTACACCTCATTAACCTCCACCTGTTGGCTTCCCCTTCAGAAGTCCCCTTTCCTTCAGGTCTTCCTGGGAGTCCCCAGTGAGTGTCTTGGGGCTCTCACATGAGTGGAGAGGCTTCCCGCCCATGCTGGACTGTGGCTTCCAGTCCTGCAGCCTTGGGCTGGAGCCTGCCGCTCTGAGCCCTGCCTGGCTGGCTGTTCTGCCATCGTTCTCAGATCAAAGCAGTACTTCTCCCAGGCCTCAGTTTTACAAGCGTCGTCTGTGAAGGAAGACTAACAGGAGGGTCTCCCAGCAACACTGTTGGGATCTCAAGGGGTGACAGCAAATGCAACCACTCCTGCAGTTCACCCATACCCCTTTCTTCCAGGTGGCCACCAGCATGCCCACTTCAGCTGGACTTGAGGGAAAGTCCCACCACTCCTCTCCACCCCTTAGTTCTGTACCTGTGCCAAGTTCAGCTCATCTTGTCTAAACTTGTATTCATTAGTTTCTCCAGAGCAACAGAATGAAGTTTCTGAGGAGTCAGAGATTGATTGATTGATTAATTGATTGATGGATTGGAATTAGCTTACATGATTAGGGAAACTAAGAAGTCGCAGGATCTGTGGTCGGCAAGATAAAGACCCAGGAGAGCTGATGTTCTAGTCCAAGCCTAAGGTCTGAGAAGCAAGAGAGCTGATGGTGTAAATCCTGTAAATTTTATTCCAGTGGCTGGAGAAGATTCATGTCCCACCTCAAGCAGTCAGGCAGAGAGAGAGAAAAAGAGATTGATTGATTGATTGATTCTCTTTTTCCTACTTTTTGTTCCAATGAGATCCTCAGTGGATTGGATGATGCCACCCACACTGGGGAAGGCTGTCCACTCCACTCGGTCTCCTGACTCAAATGTTCATCTCATCCAGAAACCTCTTCACAGAAACACCCAGCGTAATATTTAACCAAATATCTGGGTGTCCTGTGGCCCAGTCAAGTTGACACATAGAATTAACCACTACACAGCTCTTCTTCAGGGACGACTTCTCTGTCTGGCCCTGAAATCTCTCTGCTCCCCCAAAAGTTGCCTTCAGTTGAGCCATTGTAGTTCTCTAGACATATTTATGTATATTTGAATCTAAATCACCAGTAACTCATTATCTTGACACTTGTCCTTGAGCACCCCTCTGTGTCATGCCTGATGCCATGTGCTGGCGATAGAATGGGGATGAAGGGAGTGAACTCTGCTGCGGCCAGGAGACCCTCATGGTGACAGGGCACCAGTGAGTGAGTACAATGATAAATAACAATAGAATCAGAGAGTGTGATTGATGCCAGGGAGGGAATAAATAGAGGTGGAAGGGGAGTGGTGGTGGGACACTCACTGTAGAGCTGTGGGCCAGGTGGGACCTTCTGGAAAGCAGGCAGCTGCAGGACAGCAGGGGTGCCCCACTTGCAGAAACTGCATTATACAGTGTCCTTGTATTCATCCATTTGGCTGCCATCACAAAGTACCACAGACTGGGCAGCTTCACTAGCAATTTACTTTCTCACTGTTCTGGAGGTTGGAAGTTCAAGATCAAGGTGCCAGCAGGGCTGGTTTCTCCTGAGGCCTCTCTCCCTGGCTTGTGGATGGCCGTCTTCTCTCCATGTCTTCACCTGGCCTTTCCTCTATGTGTGTCTGTGTCTTCGTAGCAGGACACCAGTCCTGTTGGGTAAAGATCCACCCTAACAGCCTCATTTTAACTTAATCACCTCTCAAATATCCTGTGTCCAAATGAGGTAGGTCAGATAGATTGGCCATAGACTCCCTTAAAGGAGAAAAAAACTTGCCAAATAGGAGGAGAGAACAAACCACCTGACAGTGTGCAAACTGCAGCCTGGGCTCGGTTCCCAGCAATGTTGGGATCTCAAGGGTTGACAGCTAGAACATCCTGTAGCAAGGAGGGAGAAGGGAAGAGGGGAAAATCCTCGTTATTTATTTAGGGACAGAGGCTGGCTCTGTCGCCCAGGCTGGAGTGCAATGGCGCGATCTCAGCTCACTGCAACCTCCACCTCTTGGGTTCAAATGATTCTGCCACCTCAGCCTCCCAAGTAGCTGGGATTACAGGCACCCGCCATCACGCCTGGCTAATTTTTGTATTTTGAGTAGAGATGGGGTTTCACTACGTTGGCCAAGCTGGTCTTGAACACCTGACCTCAGGTGATCCACCTGCCTTGGCCTCCCAAAGTGCTGGGATTACGGGCATGAGCCACCAAGCCCGGCTGAAAATCCCCGAATTCACGCAAGCACAGAAACCCATGCTTAGTGTCCTTGGGCTGACCTATGCTTATTATAATAGTAACAAACACGCCCCTGGGTGGAGAGTTAAGATGCTAATGAGACGTGATGTGTGTACTAGCATGTACACCAATAGCACGTGTGCATCCAGGGGACCACTTAAAACATGCTTCACAGCAATGCCTGTTCCTGCCGCTTCACGAATAACCTTGTAAGCCTCCCATGAAGGGATTTCCCCATGTCAGTCGGTGCTGTCTCGCCTTTGAGGGACCTGCTTTGATCAGCTGTCAGAGGGAATTTTCACGTTGCAAGAAACTCTCTTGCCAACTTTGACTTTGGTCTTGTTCTCAAATTGTTTTGTGCAGTGAAGTCAAGAACCTGAACCGACCCACTGGCAACACAAATACTGTCCCATCCTGAGGTCCTGGGGGTTAGGGCTTCACCATAGGAATATTCCAGAAAACACAATTCCACCTATAACAGCCCTGTAGGGCTTGGTCTAGACAGTGTTGGAGTTCATCCTAAGCATAACTGATCTGAGAAAATTGAGTTCCGTAGATTAACTGAGCTATGTGGAGTAAAGTCTAGGCTGATGTAACAAGGTGACCCAGTGACATTTAGTGGCTTTAAGAACACAGAAGTTTATTCTTTTTTTTTTTTTTTTTTTTGAGACAGGGTCTTGCCCTGTCGTCTAGGCTGGAGTATAGTGGTGCCACCATAATTCACTGCAGCCTCCACTTCCCAGGCTCAAGTAATCCTCCCACCTCAGCCTCCTGAGCACCTGGGATTACAGGTGCACACCACCAAGCCTGACTAATTTTTTTTGTATTTTGTTGTACAGACAGGGTTTCACCATATTGCCCAGGCTGGTCTCAAACTCCTGAGCTCAAGTGATCCGCTTTGGCATCTCAGTGCTAGGATTATAGGTGTGAGCCTTCGTGCCTGGCCAGAAGTTTATTCTCTCAAGTTTAGGTCCAGGCTTCTGTCTTATGACCTCACCCAGGAGCCTGGACTAGTGGGTGCCATCCTCAACAAGTGACATGAGAGTTGTACATGTCACTTTCAACTACAACCCATAGGTTAGAGCTGAGTCCCATAGACACACCTGGCTGTAGGAAAAATTAGGGGATTTTGCCTCTAGCCGTCCAATCCCACACCAAAAAAGCAGGAAGAAGAAACTGGAGGTCACCTAGCTTGGCAGAGTCTGCCCTGCATAGCTGGGATTACAGACACGTGCCAACATGCCCGGCTAATTTTTGTATTTTTAGTAGAGAGACGGGGTTTCACCATTTTGGCCAGGCTGGTCTTGAACTCCTGACCTCGTGATCTGCCCGCCTCAGCCTCCCAAAGTGCTGGGATTACAGGGGTGAGCCACTGCGCCTGGCCCCCATCTGATTCTTTTGCGATCCTAGAGAAAAATACACCTTGCTTAAGTTCCATATGATTTCCTCTGCTAATTTATTAACTTTTTCATTTGCTCCCAGGAGTCAGCTATGAAAGATAAATGTATCCGTTCTTCGAGGAGAGCCTTGGTTGGAGATTGAGGTTATTGGTGGGAGGGGACTTGCCAGGAGTTAGAGCTTCAAACCCCAGCTCTGCTACCGAGGGCTGGAAGTTAATTGAGCAGAAACATGAGTTAGTCAATTGTCATTCGAGTCAGACCACGCGGCGGCCACACTATATCATCAAAGCCAAGGCATTCTGGGAAAGACTATGATTACCCCCATTCATTATGCTGGGAGTCTTTAGACACTTCAAACACGCTAGATTACAAAGTTGCTGGGGCGGAACCTGGAAAAGATAAAGTTATAATTGAAAGCTACTTACGTGATATATTTTAAATGACTTTGACTTTCTACTTCTAGGCATGTTAAGAAATCTCAAATAATTGTTTTTGGCCAGAGCTAAATTTAGACCCTCTGAGATGGATGGCTGTGTCGTGCTCTTGCTCAAGGAATGTTAATGGTTTCTTGTTGTTTCCTAAGTGCTGTCGCTTAGAAAACACAGCGCCTACTGTATGTGTGCCTCTGACAGGCCCTTGGAATCATTTTCTTTAATCCCCGTGATACCCTTGGATAAGGTTGTCAGATTTAGCAAATAAAATACGGGATGCTCCATTGCATCTGAATTCCATATAAACAATAAATTTTTAAAGTAAAAATAATCCCAGTGCTTTGGGAGGCTGAGGCAGGAGGATCACTTGAGGCCAGGAGTTTGAGACCTGCCTAGGCATCACAGCAAGTCCCCATCTCTACAACAAAAATAAAATAAAATAAAATAAATAAAAGCCAGGCATGGTGGCAGGCACCTGTAGTCCCAGCTACTCAGGAGGCTGAGGGGGGAGGATCACATAAGCCCAGGAGGTCGAGGCTGCAGTGAGCTGTGATCATGCCACTGTACTCCAGCCTGGGCATCAGAGTGAGACTCTGTTTCTCTAAAGAAACAACAACAACACAAATTAAAAGTATGTCCTAAATATTGCATTGGACTTACTTGGGCTAAAAAAATTATTTGTCTGAAATTCAGATGCGTCTGGGTATCCTGCATTTCATCTGGCAACCCTACCTGGGAAATAGGTGGTACCATCTCCATTTTTCAGACAAGGAAATGGAGAGTCAGGGAGTCTTACTTGGGGTCATGCAGCCAGTAAGGGCGCAGCAGGGTGAAACACAGTCTTTTGGATTTAGAAGGCCGTGGTCTCGCCAGCATACTGTGCTGCCACTCAGCGGCATGTGCAGACCATACCATCGTCTCCAGCTTCGCTTCTCAACGCTCCTGACCTGGCCCTAACATACGCCCCGCCCAGTTTCCTCTTCTCTGCTCTGCTCACCTCATCCAGGACCCTTTGCTGGCAGTGAAGGGGGCGTTCTGGTTCTCAAGAAGCTCCTGACCCACACTTTGGGTCCATATGTGCTGACCCAATGTGGAAACACTATTCACCAAAACTAAGACTTGCCGAGTGCCTGCTGTATACCTACAGCTAGCTCAGCCTTTCCCACGTGATATCCGGCCACCAGTAGGTGATGCAAAAATTTTAGGTAGAACAAGGTTGAATGTTCTTAAAATAGCAGTGTGTTTGTCTTAATGAGTCATAGGAAAATCATAAGTTCCCTACTGGCTTGCACGCATCAGGATTCGTGGCTGATTGCTCAGGAGGAGTAACTGACTGAGTCTGGCAAAATCAGATGGATGGCCCACAGGTGACCCAAGCTGGTAGAAAATCCTGCATTCCTGCTCTGGAGGCCTCCAGACCTCAGCATCATCCTCTATATAATAAGGGGGCTGAACTCGTGGTAATGAGGTGCCTGGCTCATGTTTATGGAGCATTTGCGTGGCTCCAGACACTCTTACATGTGACACTCACGTACCCGTTTTGCAGCGGAGAAAACAGGATGGATGGGTGTAGCAGCAAGTCCAGCCTGCTGGATTTGGCCTTCTCTCTGTTTGATCTCACACCTCCCACTCCAAAACAGTGCCTCTCACCAGAGGGTGATCCTTGGTAATGTCTCAAGATATTTTTGGTGTTCAAAACCGGGAGGTGCTACTGGCGTCAAGTGGGTGGCAGCCAGGAATGCTGTTTAATATCCTACAATGCCTGGAATGGCCCCCACCACAGAGAATAATCCAGCCCCAGATGTTGTTAGCACAAGGGAGAGAAACCCCACTCTAAACCCGAGAGAGGAAGAGGGGCAACTGCCCCAGGACACACTGTCTTCCTCCAGCCACCCACCACCCTGCTCTCACATAGCCATGCCCTGCTCAAGAACACTCAATGGCTCCCTAGTACCCATGGTCTGACCTTATATTCAAATTCAGGGCTTTGGAGAAGGGTGTGGCTGGTGCTGTCCCACAGGCCAGAGACACTGGGCTTGAACTTCCTATTCCTATCACTTCTGACCTCCAGATCACCTTAAGAAATTAAAAATCTACTTTTCATTAAAAAAGCACAAGGTCCTGTTCAACAGAGATCAGACAGGTATACAAGTTATTATAGTTGTATATATATCAAGTTATAAGTGTGGGGAGTTGAGGAAATCATTTACTCTTCCTGCGAGGGCTGGCAATGCCTCATGGGGCAGATGACAGTCAAGCTAGGTCTAGAAAAACAAGCAGGGATCAGCAGAGAAGGAAGAGGGGTTGTTCTAGGCAGAGGGTGGGGAATGACGTGCTCCGTTGAGGAATGGTGAGCCTCTAGGGGCTCTGAAGCTGTGGCGCTCAGGCTTTTGTGAACCTGAACATCACCTGGTGAATGTGTTTTCAATTCTGTCTGGATCTGTGTGTGGGTTCGGGAGTCTACACTTAAATCAGTACACAGGGTGATTTCCTTTCTCTTTCTCCCGTCCCTTCTTCCCTTCCTTCCTTCCTTCCCTCCTTCCTTTCTTCCTTTTCCCTCCTCTCTCCCCTCTCCCCTCTCCCCTCTCCTCTTTCTCCCAAACCCCTTTTTTTTCTGAGGCAGGCCCTCATTCTGTTGCCCAGGCTGGAGTGCAGTGGCATGAACACGACTCACTGAAGCCTCGACCTTCTGGGATCAGTTGATCCTCCCGCCTTAGCCCCCTGGGTAGCTGGGACTACAGGCTCACACCATCATGCCTGGCGAATTTTTGTATTTTTGGTAGAGATGGGGTTTTGCCATGTTGCCCAGGCTGGCTTATGAACTCCTGGGCTCAAGAAGTCTTCCTGTCTTGGCCTCCCAAAGTGCTGGGATTACAGGTGTGAGCGACTGCGCCCGGCCCTCAGGTGATTCTGATGCAGGTGCTCTACCGACAGCTCTGAGAAACAGGTTTCCAGGGAACACCCAGAGAAGAAGCTGAAAGTGCAGACTAGACCAAGGGAATGATTTGTATGTTCGGTTGAGGAGTTATGATCTTATTTTAACTTAAAGACAACCTTAAACTCTCTTAAGGAAAGGTCAAGACATAGTCTCCCAAAATAAGAATAGAGGTGTTTCTGGAAGTTTAACTTTGAAAAGATTTCAAATAATGAAATTAGAGCAATTTTAGCTGGATCGCTTGAGCCCAGGAGTTTGAGACCAGCCTGGGCAGCATGGCGAGACTCCATCTATACAAAAAATACAAAAAAAAAAAAAAAAAAAAAAAAAAGCAGGGTGTGGTGGCACACACCTGTGGTCCCAGCTACTTGAGGAGCTGAGGCAGGAAGATTGCTTGAGCCCAGGCGTTCGAGGCTGCAATGAGCTATGATTGTGTCACTGCACTCCAGCCTGGGCGACAGAGCAAGACTCTGTCAAAGAGAACAAAATTAGAGTCATTTTAACAATTCAACTAGATGGGATGTGATGGGAGAATTTCATCTATAAATTTGGGACTGAGATTAAATTCCAAGGATCAGCTGGAGACAAGGAAGCTGGCCAGCTGGGCGTGTGGGTTGATGAACTTTCAGATGTTTAACTTCCATCTATCACAGAGCTGGACCAAGCGTCATTTTTCCCTCTTTGGTGGAATACTTAGCTGATAGCATCGGGAAACTGGTAAATGATTCTTTCAGGCTGAAGAAACAAGTATATTTGCCTTCATAGCACTTTGAAAGAAAGTATCCAGTGGACATAATGTCATAAATGATAATATGATTTCTGTTTTCTGAGTTACTCATGTGAAAATTTATTTTTATTGTAAAATGAGCACACATTTATTTACAAAATACAGGAAAACACGGAAGAGTAGAAGGAAAAACGTCCTTCCTATGCTTATTTTCCAAACAAAATCCATTACTTTTCTAGTTTTGAAATAGACGATTATTTGTCATTTGATGTTACTTTCAGTTTGGACTGACTTGGTATGCAAGTGACCCCAGCTTATCTCAGAAAAGGTGACTTTTTTTTTTTTTCCTGGCACAGACCTGAATGAATGACCTCATTTAAATTACACTCAACTTGACAAATATCATTGAATGCCTGCCACGTGTGTGGTGCTGAGCTAGAGCCTGTGGTGGTTACAAAGATTAATAAGACACAGCACTTGATGCAAGCAGGTTATAAACTAGCAAGAGAAGCAGACCTGTGTAGAACAAGATAGGAGGATAACCCCAAGGTTAGCAAAGACAGAAGCTCATTCCATGGGCTGTTGATATGGAGAGTGGGAGTGAGAAGCATGAAAAAAATGTTTTGAGATTGTGGGATTTGAGCTGGAACGGAAAGGGCTCCTTGGTGTTGGACCGTAGAATCTGCAGGGAAAAACAATGAAGAGGTAAAATACATGGAACTTGGCAAGGGTGGCTATTGTGGCTTGAGTATGTAATAAATGGAGAATTGATTCATCAGAATTCCAAGTAGCTGCTCTCCACAAAAGAAGAGGACTTGGAGAAGAAGAGGGGGCTTTACAAAGTAAGGAGACTCACTGCGACACAGATGACAGAGATGATAGCCGGTGATGGAAGAGGAAGTGCTGGTAGAGCAACGTGGCAGGGAGGTAGGGAATCGTGTGTGTGCATGCATGCATGTTTATGTGCATAGGCACATGTGTACGTGTGGATGCATGTATGTGTGTGGATGCATGTACATGAGTGTACGCGTGCGTGTGGATGCATGTACATGAGTGTACGTGCATGCATGTGGATGCATGTATGTGAGTGTACGTGCATGCATGTGTGTATGTGTGCATTTGTATATGTGTGAACATGTGTATATGCATGTCTGTGTGTGTGTGTGCAAGTGCATTTGTATACGCGTGATATGGTTTGGATATGGTTCCCGCAAATCTCATGTTGAAATGTAATCTCCAGTGTTGGAGGTGGGGCCTGGTGGGAGGTGATTGGATCATGGGGGTGGATTTCTCAGGAATGTCTTAGCACTATCTCCTTGGTGCCGCCTTTGTGATAGTGAGTTGTCATGAGATCTGGTTGTTTAAAAGTGTGTGGCATGCCCCCTGCCCAACCTCTTGCTCTTGGTCCGGTCATGTGAAGTGCCTGCTCCCGTTTCACCTTCCACCATGAGTAAAAGCTCTCTGAGGCCTCCCCAAAAGCTAAGCAGATGCCTGTACCATGCTTGCTGTACAACCTGCAGAACCACGAGCCAATTTAACCTCTTTTCTTTATAAATTACCCAGGCTCCGGTATTTCTGTATAGCAATGCAAGAACAGCCTAATACAATGTGTGTACATGTGCACATGTGTGTGCCTGCGTGCTCGTGCATGTGTGCATATGTGTGAAGACGGAGAAGGGGAGAGACTGACTTTCGGAAGTTGCTGTTACTGAAAAGTAATTGATAAAGAGAGAGTCCAAAGAGGATTCTAGAAAGCCTTTTGTGTGACACAACTTGTAAAATTCATAAGCCGCTCTTTCTTCCTTCAAGAATTTCCAGAAATTCCTTCAAGAATTTGCTGTTGGATTTTGCTTTTTTTTTTTTTTTTTGAGATGGAGTCTCACACTGTCACCAGGCTGGAGTGCAGTGGTGTGATCTCGGTTCACTGCAACCTCTGCCTCCTGGGTTCAAGCAATTCTGCCTCAGCCTCCTGAGTAGCTGGGATTACAGGTGCCCGCCACCATGCCCAACTAATTTTTTTGTATTTTTAGTAGAGACGGGGTTTCATGTTGGCCAGGATGGTCTCGATCTCTTGACCTCGTGATCTGCCTGCCTTGGCCTCCCAAAGTGCTGGGATTACAGGCGTGAGCCACCACGCCCGGCCGGATTTTGCTTTTTCTTGGATGAGTTGCAGAGTCAGATGGCCCAATTGTAGTCTGACTTCCTGTCTAATTTTTAATAGTGTGTCCTGCAAACTTTTCAATTAATTGAGATGTATTTTTATTTCCTTGTTCTATCACCCTGTATCAGTTATCTGTTGCTGGGTCCAAAGCACCCGGAACTCTAGCTAATCAGAACTATTTGATGGCTTATGACTCTATGGGTCAGGCATTTGGGCAGGGCTCAGTGGGTTCAGCTCTCTGCTCCAAGTGTTATCAGCAGGATCAGCTGGCTGGAGGACCTAATATGACCTCCCTCACATAGATGGAGTCTTGGTGCTGGCTGTCTGCTGCGGTGTCATGGGTCTCTTTCCTGTGGCATCTTCCTCCCCATGGTCTCTCATCCTTCAGGTCTCACTCTCCATGTGGCTCCGCCCTCCAGCAGGAGAGCCTGGACCTCTTTACGTGGTAGTTGGGTAAAAAAGGAAGAGGAAATGGAAGCTGCAGGCCTCTTAGTTCTGGAACACACACAATGCTGATTGTACCACATTCAGGAGACCACAGCGAGTATCAAGACCCGCCCAGATTAAAGAGGCAGAGAACTAGATACCTCCTCTTGGCAGGAGATGCTTGAGAATGTTGTGGCCATGATTTCTAATCCACCAAACATCCCAGTGACATTCCCGGGGTTCTTTTTGGTCCCTGGCCTTGCCCTTTCTGGGAAAGTCTCCCTGCCCTAAGACAGCCAGCCTCTCTCTGCTCCATGCCTGTGCCACAGCCAGCCTGAGTCCCCTGTGGATGGGACAGGGCACAGGGTTGGGGCCTTGCATTATCAATCTCCGTGGACCACCTCTCTCTATCTAGGGAAAAATTCAATTTCCCAGAGAATTTAGGTATCCACTGGGGCGTGGTTCAACACTAACTTCTTTCCAGTCTGAGACTGGAAATGAGAAAAGTGCTCCAAGTACAAGAAACACAGTAGGAGGAGAGATTTGAAAGCCAAAACTACAGAGGATCTCCAGGTCTCTAAACATATCAGCAGAAAATCATCCATGACTCTTCTTCTCCTTAAATGGGAAAGATCTTCACGTTTCCATTTGTAATTTGCCAGTATACATTTTTCTCATATATTTTACAAAGTTTATGTTTTCTGATTCTAGAAACAATCTGTTATTGTTTGAAAAGAACTTAGAAAATTAAGAAGCTTATATGGGAGAAGGGAATCATGCCTAAATCTTACTACCTTGAAATGGCCACTGTTACTATTGAAACTATCAGATGGAATATTAGATAATACGAAATGATATTTTTAACTACATATTGGCTATGACACATAATAAAACAAACACTTGTGAGTCTACCACCCAACTTAACAACTAGGACATTGCTACATATTATGTACTCCGTATTAGGGGTCCCCAGCCCTGGGCCACAGATGGGTATTGGTCTGTGGCCTGTTAGTTACCAGGCCACACAGCAAAAGGTGAGCAGCAAGTGTGTGAGCAAAGCTTCATCAGTATTTACAGCCACTCCCCATCGCTTGCATTATTGCCCAAGCTCTGCCTCCTGTCAGATCAGCGGTGGCGTTAGATTCTCAATAAGCACAAACCCTATTGTGAACTGTGCATGCAAGGGATCTAGCTTGCATACTCCTTCTGAGAATCTAACTAATGCCTGATGATCTGTCACTGTCTCTCATCACTCCCAGATGGGACCGTCTAGCTGCAGAAAAACAAGCTCAGGGCTCCCACTGATTCTATATTATGGTGAGTTGTATAATTATTTCATTATATATCACAATGTAATAAGAATAGAAATAAAATGCATAATAAATGTAATGTGCTTGAATCATCTGGAAACCATCACACTCCCCTGTCCATAGAAAAATCGTCTTTCTGCCGGGCATGGTGGCTCACGCCTGTAATCCCAGCACTTTGGGAGATGGAGCAGGCGGATCACCTGAGGTCAGGAGCTCGAGACCAGCCTGGCCAACATGGTGAAACCCTGCCTCTACTAAAAGTGCAAAACATTAGCCAGGCATGGTGGTGGGTGCCTGTAATCTCAGCTACTCAGGAGGCTGAGGCAGGAAAATCACTTGAACTCGGGAGGCAGAGGTTGCAGTGAGCCGAGATTGTGCCACTGCATTCCAGCCTTGGCAACAGGAGCAAAACTCCATCTCAAAAAGAAAAGAAAAGACGAGAAAAATTGTCTTCCATGAAACTGGTCACTAGTGCCAAAAAGCTTGGGGACCACTGCTCTATATTATATGTGTATAAACATATGTGATATGTATTAATAATATAGATGATACACAATATGTATGTATTATCTACAATGGATAAATAGATAATATATATTACTATGTTACCATATTCCTGTATTATATATACTATGTATATATTACATAATACATGGTACATATAGTAGATTGTCTTTTATGCATATACAGGTTTCGAGGTGGGACTAACCCAGGAAGATGCTACCAACGTAAGATGGTCAACTGTGGTGTCTCTCACTTGAGAGTCCAAGGGTATCAGCTGGCAGAAGCACACCCAATGGCATGGAAACTTCCAGCAACTTCTCACAGATTCCACCCCCTGGCCTCCCTGCAAGAGGCAGACGTCATTGTGAATTTTGTGTTTGTTACTCCCTATGTACATGTATCGTAAATACCATTTTGCTTGGTTGATATTTATATTTGCTATTTTAAGCTTCATAAATCACAGGCAGCAAGCCTGCCTGTCCATTCCAGAAGGAGACATGGTCTTCATGATACTGCACAGCATGCGCACCTGACTTGCTCTGGAAGGAGATACTCTGTCTACCACAGGTTTTCACCGTACAGACATCCTTGAAAAGATACCCCGGAAGTAAGGGCTCTTTCTCAAGATGTGCAGGACTTGAGCAGCTCATGGGTAAGTGTCTGTCAACAGGAATTCATCAGCGAGCTACACAGGCCCGACCTCTTCTGCTCTCTGCAAGCTGACATTTTAGTTGGGGAGACCGGACTTTGCATAAACAAACTCAACAGACTGTCTTTAGTGCACTGAAGGAGTTAACAAAAGCATCAATGTGAGACTTTTTCAGGAAAACATGACTAAGATGGGATGGTTGAGTGAGGCCTCTCTCATTGGAGAGGCAAGCAAAAGTTACCAGCTGGTGGAAGCAGGCCGCAGGCAGCGAGAACCGCCTGCACGGCTGTTCAGAGGCACAGGAAGCGTGGTGTGTGTGGGAGCTGAAAGGCTGGTGGGTCTGGAAAGCAGCGAGCTGGGGAAAAAAAGAGGCTTGAGGCCCTGAAGCCATGGTGAGCAGTCTGAGATTTATTGTGAATGGGTATAAAAGGGTTTTACACAGGGGAGTGATAACAATCTGATTTGCATTTTTGCTAGGCACACTTTGTTGCCCACACAGAAGGGATTGGAGGGGCTTTTGAAATCCTTGACAAGTCTCTGCTGTTTCTGATTGAATTTTTAATCTATTCATTCAACCTGACATCAGATGGGCTTTGACTTCCACATTCTCAGAATTAAAACTGACTTCTAAATGTTATCGCAGATTTGTCTGTGGCTTCTAATACAAGCACATCACTTTTACTTATCTCCCTCTGCTCTCTTCTTGGGCGCTTATGTGCACTCCTTCTGGTTGGTTCAGAGAGGTGCAAAGACCCCAGCCAATGTGGGGCTGCAGATTCCTTTAGGATGGAAAGACAAGGGAAGGAAGTGGCAGCTGAGCTATTTGGACTTCCTTATGGTATGCAGGCCTTCATGCAAGGGAATGGAAGATGGCATTCAGCTTGAAAGCTGTATTGAGCAGGTAACCTCTGGGGAAAACAGCCAACGATTTCATGCTTTGAAATCAAGCAGACTGAAGTCCATGTGCTGGATCCTACACATTTGCTTTGGGGGTTTGGTTTGGATCAGACCTCTAGGTTTTGTGGTGGATGAAGGTGAACAGGTCATGATGGGGCCACTCCCAAGCTGGGGATTTCTTGGAGGGCTCCCATTGAACTCAAAATATGTACAGATTTCCACACTTTGAGCCATAGCCCATCCATGTTTTGTTTTAATATCAGCATGCTTGTTTTGGTTTGTCTTTGTTTTTTTGTTTTTTTTGAGATGGAGTTCACTCTTGTTGCCTAGGCTGGAGTGCGATGGCACAATCTCGGCTCACTGCAACCTCCGTCTCCTGGGTTTAAGTGATTCTCCTGCCTCAGCCTCCTGAGTAGCTGTGAGTACAGGCACACACCATCACGCCTGGCTAATTTTGTATTTTTAGTAGAGATGAGGTTTCTCCATGTTGGTCAGGCTGGTCTCGAACTCCCAACCTTAGGTGATCCGCCTGCCTCTGCCTCCCAAAGTGTTGGGATTACAGGCGTGAGCCACCACACCCGGCCTATCAGCATGCTTTAAGCTGGGTGTCTGGAGTACAACTGCTCCTGTTGGCCTTTGGCTTTGTGTACATGGACTCGGAGTCGTGTATGCCCCGGCCTGAACTTCTGTCGGTTCTTGGCTTAACCTCACATCTTCCCTGAAGCCTTTGCTTCATGCCAACCCACTCCTGCCTCTCACGAGTTCCTGGGATCTCCCGCACTTCTCCTTCATAAGACAACACAGTCGTGCTGGTTTATCTTATTCTATTCTATTTTATTATTTTTTTCAGGGATTGACAGTAGATGGAAATTGTGCTGATATAATGTCTGTCTCCCTCTCTAGGAAAAGCTCCAGGGGGGTGGGAAGTTTTGTTCATCTTGATCATTCTCTGAAGGTGCCCTTTCCTAAAACAAAAGTGTTGACCTGTTTACCTTTATCTTTCTTTATTGTCTTAGGGCGTTGTCTGTCTCATTGATCTTCAGACCGCAGCATAGAGTCATCACCTCATGACCTTGTGAAAAAGGGCACAGGTGTCGTGGAAGGGGCAGGTGAGAGACTCACGTGCCTGTGCATGGGTCTCAGCTCCCCCTCTCACGAAATGGGGAACCTTGGCCAAGTCTGTTGGAGACTTAGTTTCTTTATGTGTAAAAAAGAAATATAGTCTAATGATGCTTTGGGGGATCAATGTGGGAATGAAGCAAGTTAGTAATTGTGAAGCGCGTGGTTGTTTTTGTTGTCTTGCAGCAGCCAAGGCTCACCTTCCCCCTTCTTAAGGTTTGTGGGGCTCCTCGTTTGGAGGGCATAATAGCAATATTCCTGTCCTCATCCTGCAGAGAGGCTTCACTTGCCAGAATCCAATTCCTTCTTCATCAGGGACCTCACGATCGGCCACTGTCTCTCAGCCTGTATTTTCCCCTAAGGGGTCTAATTTTCATATCCTTCAAAGATGTGAAAATTACCTCCCTACAATTTGGGGGACCCCTACATGAAGTCCTGTGTTGTCACAACCAGAGAGAACTATTTTCCCTGTGGGAGGTGTCCTAGGAGCTGCCTTGAAGACAGCACTGAGCTGGCTGGGCACGGTGGCTCATGCTTGTAATCCCAGCACTTAGGGAGGCTGAGGCAGGTGGATCCCTTGAGGTCAGGAGTTTGAGACCAGCCTGGGCAAAATGGCGAAACTGTGTCTCTACTAAAAATACAAACATTAGCTGGGCATGGTGGCGCGTGCCTGTAATCCCAGCTACTCGCAAGGCTGAGGCAGGAAAATCGCTTAACCCTGAGGGTGGAGGTTGCAGTGAGCCAAGATCATACCATTGCACTCTAGCCTGGGTGACAGAGCGAGATTCTGTCAAAAAAAAAAAAAAAAAGGAAAATCAGAAAATAGCTCTGAGCTATTAGGAGCAACTGGCTTTAGTATTCTGGCTCAGGAAGCACATGCCGGTCAATCTAGTGCTCACAGTCACCCTGTGAGCCTGGGGTCAAAATTATCTTCATTTTACAAATGAGAACACAGATTGCCCTTGTTCTTTCCAGAGGCCAGAAATCGAGAGAGCCAGGCCCTCCGCCCACAAAGCCCTGGCTCTGCACTAAACACATGGTTGATTGGAGGCGTTGGCCTGAAGCTCCCTGGGGCTCGTAAAGGTGAACTGGCCTCATTCCCAAGTTCATCTGATTGATCCACAAAAAGCATCCATGGTTTCATTCTGGACTTTTGATGCCCTGACTGATTTTTGCTGATAGCTTGCTTGGGCAGTGATTCTGCGTGGATGGCTCCTACTTCTGAAAAGCCTGGTGTTCAGGGCTGTCCCATGAACTCAGAAGGCTCCTATTGCCTTTGGGAAAGTGAGGTATGGATGGAGTGAACTGGAGTTCTCAGCCACAGTTTTCCTCACCTGTTGCAGCTTCTCTGCTGTCCAGGCCACTCTATGCACAATTGTTTCCTTCTTGGCTCAAGATGCTAGAAGATTGTATCAGTCAGGGTTCTCTAAAGAAACAACTAACAAAAGATGTACTTATCTTTCTCTCTTTTCCTCTTGCATCTATCCATCTATCATCCGTCTATTTATTCATCTATCATCTATCTCTCTACCTACCTACCTATCTACCTGCCTACATTTATTTTAAGGAACTGGCTCCCACAGTTGCGGGTGCTGGCAAGTCTGAAGCCGGCAGGGAAGATTGACAGGCTGCAATTCAGGTAAGAGTTGATGTTGCAGTCCTGAGCGTGAATTCTGCAAAACAGGCTGGCTACTCAGGTAAGGTTTCTATGCTGCAATCTTCAGGAGAACTTCTTCTTCTCTGGGAAGCCTTGGTCTTTGCACTTAAGGTCTCCAAGTGATTGAATGAGGCCCACCCACATTATGACAGGTAGTCTGCTTTACTGGAAGTTTACTGATTTAAATGTAATCACATCTAAGAAATAACGTCATGGCAACATCTAGACTGGTGTTTGGCCAAACAACTGGGCACCAGGGCCCAGCCAGGTTGACATGTCACATTAACCATCTCACAGTGAATGTGGGACTCAGCCACCCCAGTATCTGTGGCCATCGCCCATGTTGGTCCTCCTCTCCCCCTGCCGCCTGCCGAAAAATTCACTAATGTTTGGAGGACTGTTTACTTTCTCTTCTCCTTCCAGAATAATTCTGGGCACTGTCTCAGGCTTCCATGCTTTTCTTGCCACCTCTACTTGCCCACCTGTCACCTATGAGGCTCTGAGGCTGTTCTAAGTTGGACCAAGCACTCTAAGATGAATTGCTCTCTTTGCTACATCTGTTCAAACTATCTCTATGGACTTTTTTAGAAAACCTGGACCATGCAAATCATCTTCACAAAACTTGTCCAAATGCCAAGAAGGCAAGGAAAATTAGTATTCATTCAATGTTTACAATTACAGCTAATGTGTTCATAGTAGATAACATTTATGATATAGTAAAATTGTACATTCATGTGTTTATGAGTATATAATGGAACCTCTCTTTTAATTAGCATGTATAGTATACTTATGGTATATTTATGCCAATTCTTGCATATATTTTTCTTGTAAGTAATATAAGAACTGATTTATAGATGGTGATATGGTTTGGATTTGTGTCCCCACCCAAATCTCCTGTTGAATTGGAGGAGGGGCCGGGTTGTGTTACCAGATGGAAGTTCTTGACTGTGAGTTGTCCAGGTTCTTGGCGTGTTGAACAAATAATTGAACAAAATGCACAAGGCAACAAAAGAATGAAGCAAAGAAAGCACAGATTTATGAAGTGCAAGTGCACTCCACAGAGTGGGAACAGGCTGGAGCAAGCAGCTCAAGAGCCCCCGAGTTGCAGTGTTGTTTAGGGTTTGTATTAGGCTAAAAGAATTTGGTAACACTCTGAGGTGCCCTTGAAAGGCCTCCAATTGGTTACACCCTATGAAAGATTGGCCCATGAACAATCAGAGGCTGAAGTGGAAACTCCTGTCTTGTTATCATAGGAGCCAGGATGTGGCCTGTGTGCTGCCCAGTCTTGCCTGGAACTGGCTGCACCTGCTGTTCTTCCAAGTATGACTTAACCCTTGGTTACCCTAATTCTGTATTCTCCTGCCTCAGTGGGAGGTGATTGGATCATGGGAACGGATTTCCTCCTTGCTGTTCTCACGCTAGTGAGTGAGTTCTCACGAGATCCGAGCATTTAATAGTGTGTGGCTCCTCCTGCTTCGCTCTCCTGCTGCCATAGGAAGGTGTGCTTGCTACTCCTTTGCCTTCTGCCATGATTGTGAGTTTCCTGAGACCTCCTAGTCATGCTTCCTGTTCAGCCTGCAGAACTGTGAGTCAATTAAACCTCTTTTCTTTATAAATTAACCAGTCTCAGGTAGTCGTTTACAGCAGTGGGAAAATAGACTAATACAGATGGGATGTCTTTGCTTTCAGTATATTTATGATGCTGAATCAGTTTCCAGTTACAATATTATTTCCATGAGGGAACCAAAGGCTGTTTTATGACCTGCTTTTATGAAATGGTTCTCCAGAGTTCAGCCTGGCCAGTGTGAAGTTGCCTAGTGACCTTTGACCCCTGACCTTTCCCCTCCCCTCCTCCTCTTCCTGCTCAGCCGTGCCCCAGTGTTGCTGGAGGGTGGCACCCAGTTACCTCTGGTGTTAAGAGAGAAGTACAGATGTCTATTCTTAGGTCTATATCCTGAGGATCTAATTAGATCCATTAAAATGGGATGTTTGCCTTGTAAGAAGGAATTTGTGTGTGTGTATGTGTGTCTTGAGCTAATATCCCTGCTTATTTTTGAATGAAAAATAGTCTTCAAACAAATACTGTAATTTGACTTTCCAGCAAAAGCCCCAGGTCCTGGTTTACTGATTTATTTGGAAAGTTTTCCAGTGGGAAGTGCTTGCGGCAGGGTGGGAGCTGCTGAGTCCTGGGGGTGGGGGTGGGGCGGGGGACCACTTGAGGTCAATTGATTAATGAAACAGGGGCCCACAGGGTTCTGAGGCACTGAGAGTTGGGAAATGGAGGAGTTGCTGTTGTCTGGGAGGCTTTGGAGTGGAATAAAATTGGCCTTGCATAGGCAAGGTGGTTATTGAACTGAACTGGGGTCCGCTCGCCCGGTGCAGAAAGCCCAGAAATCCCCACCGAGGTCTCAGGGATAGAAAGGAAGGTGTTTATTTGCGGGGTGCCAAGCAAGGCCGACCGGGTAGCTATTGCTCAAACCCTGACCTCCCCTGGGGCTTAATTTCAGGAAAATTCAGGGTTTAATTTCAGGAAAACAAAAGCTACAGGCAAAATCGCAAATCAATACCTGGAGTTTACACGTTGGATTTGGCCTAAATGGGTGAGATATCTTAAAGTGGGGGCTTTCCGGTCATAGGTAGAGTCAAAGATTTTCTGATATGCAATTGGTTAAGAAAGAGAAGCTTTGTTTAAAAATTTGTGGTCAGATGAAAAAAATGTTAACTGGCTCCAGATGTGACTCCCTCCAAGCCCCTCAGGAAGAAATTAGAGCAAAGAATGATGGTCAGAGTTGAGTCCTCAGTTTCCCTGTATCTGAGGTCTACATGCCAGTGGGTCCATACATACATGGGGTTCCTTGGTCGGGGGATCCAGGGACATTTGTTAAGATATATCTTAGTTTGTCTAGGGAAACCAAACATCTCTGAATTCCAACTTCCCTTGGCTATCATTTTAGGCTACTGTGATCTTCTTATAAAGTTGCATGTTTGCCTCTCTGGGCTAGTGAGCTGCCTGGAGTTTCCCTTGAAGGAACTCAGAATTTTCCTTTATTTCCATGCTTGGGGCAGTGGAGGTCGGGGCATGGGCCCTTAAAAAGGGGGTCCCTGGCTGGGCGCAGTGGCTCACACCTGTAATCCCAGCACTTTGGGAGGCCGAGGCGGGTAGATCACCAGGTCAGGAGTTTGAGACCAGCCTGGCCAAGATGGTGAAACCTCGTCTCTACTAAAAATACAAAAAGTAGCCAGGCGTGGTGGTGCGTGCCTGTAATCCCAGCTACTTGGGAGGCTGAGGCAGGAGAACCATTTGAACCCAGGACTCGGAGGTTGCAGTGAGCCGAGATCGTGTCATTGCACTCCAGCCTGGGCAACAAGAGCGAAAACTCTAAGAAAAAAAAAGGTTGGGGGGTGGGCAGTCCCTGCTGGTCTCCAGCTTAGTTTGCATGGAGAGGAGTTGGGGGAGGGAGGGCTAGAGCAGAGGCTTGAAGGTGGAAATGAGTGTGGCCAAGGGGTGAGCTGGGAAGTGAGCCCTGTGAGGTGGAGGGGGGTTGTGAGAAAGGCGGGACAAGGAGCCAGAGGCTGACCATGTGGGGAGGTGATGGTCAGACGGAAAGAGTTGGACGCAATTTCATTCCAACATCAGGGAAGAGGAGTCAGAGAAGGATCTTAGATAGCAAAGAAATAGAATGAAGTTTGTGTTTGGGAAGAATGAATCTGGATGGATTTGGGGGGCAGGGATACCCTTTATTTAAATTAGAAAAATTACTTCTGTCCCTTTCATACATATTATTGATGAAAATAGTCACACTCTGTAAAATATTTGAAGAGATTTATTCTGAGCCAAATATGAGTGACCATGGCCTGTGACACAGCCTCCAACAAGAGAAATTCTTATCCTGCATGGGGTTAGCCTCGTTCCACACTAGGAGTTTCCATCTTTCCAGTCAAAGAAAAGCCAGGAAGCCTGGATTTTGGACTCTTCTACCGTTTAGCTCTGTATTTTGTCCAAATTGTTTAGGTTTCTCTCTCTGTTTACTTCTTTTTCTTCCCCCAAGACAGGGTCTGGCTCTGTTGCCCAGGCTGGAGTACAGTGGCACAATCAGAGCTCACTGCAGCCTTGACCTCCCAGGCCCAAGCTAAGCTCCCCGAGTAGCTAGGGCCAGAGGCATGTGCCACCATGCCTGGCTAATTTTATTTTTTTTGTAGAGAATGGGTCTCACTCTGTTATCCAAGCTGGTCTTGAGCTCCTGGGCTGAAGGGATCCTCCTGCCTTAGTTTCCCAATGTGCTGGGATTGCAGTTTCCCACTGTGCTGGGATTGCAGGCATGAGCCACAGTGCTCAGCCCACTCTTCCTATCTTAACTGAAGACTGGTTAAGTTGAAAATCATATGAAAATGTGAAGACATGTAAAAGTACTAGGGACTCCATGAGTGAAGATGGTATCAATTTATCTGGGGATACACAATCCTCAAGATAAGGAAGGGAAGCTAATACACACAGTGCCTTGTATGGGTCAGGCCTTCATAAACATCCTGTCATTTAATCCAGTCTCACTGCATCCTTATTTAACCCCGGGAGGAAGGAACCACCTTTAATACGTAATGAACCTAAGGTCCAGAGGCAGAAGTCATTTCCCCAAGTCACACAGCTCACAAGTGGCAGACACAGAATCGTAGCCAAGGGTGATTTGATTCCAAGGCCAGGCTACATCCATGTTAGTACGCTGTGGGACACTTTGTTGGACATAGCTTGCTAACGGTCAAACCTTTAATGGGGGATTCAAGGTTGATGAATTAGTTTGCTTGGCTGCCATCACAAAGTACCACATACTGGATGGCTTCAACAATGGATACTTATCCTTGCACAGCTCTGGAGACCGGAAGTCCAAGGTCATGAGCCATCAGGGTTGGTTTCTCCTGAGGCCTCTCTCCTTGGCTTGGAGATGTCCGTCTCCTCCCTGTGTCCTTACATGGTTGTGCATGTCTATGTCATAATCTTCCTATAAGGACACCAGTCATATTGGATTAGGGCCTACCCTAATAACTTTATTTAACCTCAGTTACCTCTTTAAGAACCCTACGTTCAAGCACAATCCCATGCTGAGGAACTAAAGGTCAGGGCTTAAACATATGAATTTCAGGGAGACACAATTCAGCCCATAACACTAGATAAATGTAATTCCTTGCTTCAGTCAATTTTAGTTGATAAAACTGCACATTGGCTATCTAAAATGGGGGACTACTTTGTAATTGCGTACTACATTGGCTTTACAATGGCTTTTCAGATTGGAAGCACCTTCCATTTTGAGCCTCATTTAACAACGCGGTGAGGCAGATGGAAGAGATGTTATTGATCTTCCAAAGAAACCAAGGCTTAGAGATTTTATATGACTCGTTGATGGACAGATTAAGTCGGGTGCACTTTTTGCTCCCCTGGCAACAAAAATTGAAACCTGGTATTTGTACATGTGGTAAAAAATATTGAAACAGTCGGCACAATGCTGTCCCAAAGACCTTAGACAAATTATAAAAGACACAGTGAAAGAATAATGGTTTTAAATTTTAGGAAACTAAGTTCTCTATAATTATACGCCAAAGAATTTTCAGTTTTGTATGCTCTTTCCCTGCTGTGCCCATATTTTTACATAGTTGCAATTATTGTATATATCCTCTTGTAGTCTATGTTTCCACTGCATTTTTTTTATTTTGAGATAATTGTGATTGACAGGCAGTTGCAAGTAATACAGAAAGATTCCATGTTCCCTTTACTTAGTTCCCCCAATGGTCACATCTTATGAAACTACAATATTACAGTGCAATATTAGAAGTGCAATATTACAACCAGAATATTGACATTGAAATAGTCCAGATACAGAACATTTCCATCACTGCAAGGATCCCTCATGTACCCCTTTTATAACCACCCCCATCCTCATTAATCTTATCTCCATTTCTACAGTTTTTATAATTTCAAGAATATTATATAAATATAACCATACAGTATGTAAACCTTTGAGTTAGCTTTTTCCACTTAGCATCATTCTCTGAAGATTTATCCAGATTGTTATTGATATCTATCAATTGTTATTAATAGTTTGTTCCTTTTCATTGCTGAGTAGAATTCCATTGTGTAGATGTACCATAGTGTGTTTAACCATTCACCTGCTGAAAGACATCTGAGTTGTTTGAAATTTTGTGCTGTTACAAATAAAGCTGCTTATAAACATTGTGTGCAAATTTTTGTGCACACATAAGTTTCATTTCCCTGGGGTAAGTGCCCAGGAATGCAGTTGTTGAGTTGTATGGTGATCGTGTGTTTAGTTTTTGAAGAAACTGCCAAGCTGTCTGCTAGAATAGCTGTTACTTTACATTCCCACCAGTAATATATGAACAATCCTATTTCTCTGCATCCTTGTTAGCATTTGGTATTGTGACTATTATTTTTTAGTGATTCTCTTAGGTATGTAGGGATATCTCATTGTGGTTTTAGTTTGCATTTCCCTAATGACTAATGTTGATGAACATCTTTTCATGTGCTTATTTGCCACATGTACGTCCTCTTCAGTGAAATGTCTTTTTATGTCTCTTACCCATTTTCTAATTGGATTGCTTGGTTTTACTGGTGAGTTTTAAGAATTCTTTATATATTCTAGTTACTAGTCCTTTGTTAGATATATGGTTTGTAAACATTTTCTCCCATCCTCTTAATGGGATCTTTTGCAGAGTGAAAGTTTTACATCTAGGTGAAGTTCAATTTACAATTTTTGTAAATGGATTGTGGTTTTGGTGTCAAGCTTAAAAACTTTGTCTAGATCCTGATGATTTTCCTATATTTTTCTAAAAGTTTAATAATTTTGTGTCTTACACTTAAGTCTTATGTTACATTTAAGTCTGTAAATTTTGTATGAAATGTGAGGCTTTGGTCAAGGTTCATTTTTTTTTTAACCTATGGCTATCCAATTGCTCCAGCGCCATTTGTTGAAAAAACTGTCCTTTCTCCATTAGATTGCTTTTGTACTTTTGTCAAAAAATAGTTGGGCATATGTAGGTTTATTTCTGAGTTCTCTATTCTGTTTCAGTCATCTGTGTGTCTATTCCTCCACCAACACCACACAGTCTTGATTACAGTTGCTAAATAATAAGCTGACTCCTTCAAATTTATTCTTTTTTCAAAATTGTTTTAGCTGTTTTAATGTCTTTGCCTTTTATATAAATTTTAGATTGTTCTCTAAGAAATTCTTACTGGGATTTTAACAGGAAGTACATTAAACCTGTATATTAATTTGGGGATAATTGATAATTTTATTATGTTGAGTCTTCCAATCCATGAACATGGTATTCTTGGATTATTGGTATGTATCTTCATTTATTTAGATCTTTGGTTTCTTTTTTCAGCATTTTGTAATTTTCAGCATGTAAGACCTGAAGGTGTTTTGTTAAATTTATACCTAAGCATTTCCTTTTTTTTTGAGTGATTGCAAATGGTATTGTAATTTAAATTTTTGTGACCTTGTGTTTATTGCTGGCCATGGGCAGAAGGAATAGAAAGAGGTAGACAGGGCAGCCAGCTGGAGAGGGCTAAGCTACAACTGTACATTGAGCATGTGGGCAGAGTGCTGGTGGTACCAATCCTGGAGGCAGGTCAGCATGGGCTCTATAGCCCCAGGACATACTTTTCCCTTGATTTCTTCAGGTGTTCCTCATCCAGGTCTTGCATGAACTCCGTGTCTATGACGTGGGCAAGGATGCTGAAGGAATGTGACTGGCCTGTCCTAGACCATGGTGGCCAGTCCTTGGTGTTCTCCATCAGCCACTGCTTGGTGGCATCTGGGACCAGCAGTTGGAGCAGCTGTCCATTCTGCTATGGTGCATTGCCAGCAGGTGGTGGGGGTGCCCTGAAGGGCCAGGCCATCTTGTTGAAGGTGCTGGGTGCAAGCGTGAACTGCAGGGGGTTTGTGGCAGGAGCCAGAACCTCCTGTGGTTTGCTCTGAACTGGCTGAGACCTGCTGAGACCCAGGCTGAGGCACTTTATGCAGGCTCAGATCATTTGCCTCCAGGAGTGAGCCAGGAAATGGAGAAGGGCACATTGAGGTCCTTGCCCCCTTGCAGCTGGAAGCCTCAAGGTGCTGACCTCTTCAGCAATGCTTTGAAGAAATCCATGATGCCAGCCCCTGCTTAGCCCACTGGGGAGCTGCTTGGCATCAGGCTCCAGGGAGCCGCATCAGGATTGGCTGCCCATGTTCTTAAATTATTTTAAATTTGCTGAAGTTTGTTTTATGGCCCACGATATGATCTATCTTGGTATATGTTCCATATGCACATGAAAAGAATGTGTATTCTATTGTTGAATATAGTGTTCTACAAATGTTAGATCCTGTATTGTCTGATATTTCTATCTCCTTCCTGATTTTCTATGTAGTTCTATCGATTTTTGAGAGAAGAGTGTAATTATGAATTTATCTATTTCAGTTTTCAGTTTTTGCTTCATACATTTTGAAGCTCTGTTTGGTGCATTCACATTCAAGGTGCTATGTCTTCTTGGTAGATTGATACTTATTATGTAATGTTTCTCTCTGTATCTAATAATTTTCTTGCTCTAAAGCCTATTTTATCTGATGTTAATACAGCAACTCCTGCTTTCTTTGATTAATGTTTGTATCATATATTGTTTTTCATCTTTTTACTTTCAACCTGCTTACATTATTATATATATAGATAGATAGATTTTGTTTGTTTGTTTTTGAGACAGAGTCTCGCGCTGTCACCCAGGCTGGAGTGCAGTGGTGCGATCTTGGCTCACTGCAACCTCTGCCTCCCGGGTTCAAGCAATTCTCCCTGCCTCAGCCTCCTGAGTAGCTGGGATTACAGGAGCCTGCCACCATGCCTGACTAATTTTTGTATTTTTAGTAGACCCAGGGTTTCACCATTACATCATTATATTTAATGTGAGTATCCTGTAGACATCATATAATTAGATCTTTTTCTAATTCACTCTGACAATCCCTGTCTTTTGATTGGTGTATCTAGATCATTTATATTTAATGTAATTATTGCACTAATTAGGGTTTACATCTTTCATTTTATTTTCTGTTTTCTGTTCTATTTTTGGTTTCTCTGTTATTTTTTCTTCCTTCATGTGGGTCACTTGAACATTTTTTAGAATTTCATTTTGATTTATCTATATCATTTGGAGTATATTTATATCATTTCTTTAGTGATTGCTTAACTATTATATTGTATATATACAACTTAACAGTCTTTTGCCATCCACATTTTACTAGTTCATGAATCGTAGAAACGATCTCCCTTTATAGTCCTTTACCCTCTCTGTTTACAATACAATTCTTTAATATTTCCTCTACATACATGTAGAACCACAGCAGATGGTGTTATTTTTGCTTCAACCCCATTGAACATAATTTAGAAAACTTAAGTAAAGTCTATTATATTTAACCCTATTTTTGTTTATCATGTTCTTTACTTCCTGATGTTCCAAAGTTTAAGTTGTTTCCTTTCTGTCTAGAGAACTTCATTTAGCTAAGAGAAATCCCTTGTAATTTGAGTTGTTTCTCATTATAAGTAAGGTGTCACATTTTTCTTGATGCTTTCAAGATTTTAAGTTCTTGGAAATTTGACTATGATATGCCTTGGTGAGGATTCTTCTGAGTTTATCCTATTTGGGGCTTTTCTTGAATCTGTAGGCCGTCTTTTGCCAAATTTGGAAAGTTTTCAGCTATTATTTCTTCAAGTAGTTTTTTAATCCAATCCTTTTTCTCTTCTCCTTCTGGGTCCCCAGTGATACAAATGGTTAGATAATTTGTTTTAGTGCCATAGGTTCCTGAGGCTCTGTTCATTTTTATTTTCAGTTGAATTTCTCTTTGTTGTTCAGACTGGGTAGCTTCTATTGCCCTATCTTCAAGTTCACAGATTCTTTCCTCTGTCCTCTCTCTTCCGTTATTGAGCCCATCCATTGAGTTTTAAATTTGGTTATTTCATTTTCAGTTCTAAAAGTTTTGTTTTTATTCTTCTTTATATCTTCTATTTTTTTGCTGAGATTTTCTATATTTTCATTTGTCTAATGTGTATTCATAATCACTGGTTGAATCATTTTCACCATGAGTGTTTCAAAATCTTTGTCAGGTAATTGTAACATCCCTGTCATCTCAGTGTTGTCATCTATTTTCTTTTTAAAGTCAGTTTGAGATCTTCATGGTTCTTGGTATGATGAATGATTTTTTAGCTGAAACCTGGACATTTTGGATATTATGTTATGAGACTCTGAATCTTTGTAAACCTTCTGTTTTAGCTGGCTTTGTCTGACACCCTTCCAGCAGGAGAAGGGAGGATACTGTGTTGCTATTGCCAGGTGAAGGTTAAGGTCCAGGTTCCTCTCTCGCCTCTGTTGATACCTCAGTGGGGAGTGGAAGGGGTTCCTTGTTACTGCTGGATAGATGTAAGAATTACTAAGCTTCCACTAATGCCAACTTAACTGGGAGGGGATTGAGTAGCCTGTTGTTGCTCCTCATGTCCAGTTACACTTTATTTTCACCACTAACACTTTATTTTCTGGGGGAGAGGAAGCTGGTCTTGTTACTGCTGGTTGGTGGTGAAAGTCTTGACTTTTCATCAGGCAACCTCTGACACCACCCCACTGGGGTGAGGAAAGGGTACCTCATGACTACCGCAGGTGGGGGTAGAAGTCCAGGCTCCCACTGTGGTCTCCACTGACACTACAGAGAGGTGGTAGTGATAAAAAATTATTATCATCTGGAAGGTGCTTAAAATCATTATCACCTGGAAGGTACTTAACATCTTGATCCGTCCTCAGCTTTCTCTGACACTGCCTGGTTTTGAGAGCATTGGGGGCACCTTGTGGTAGCTTGGTGAGGGGGGAAGTCTAAGCTCTCCACTTGGCCCTTGCTGGCATGGGTGGGGTTGGGGTCATAGTTTCTTTCTTTGGTGTTTGGCTGGAGTAGAGTGGTTGCTGTCTTCTTGGCTATCCCTTTCCTGTTGTTTGGCTAGAGAGCAGGCTTTGATTCGGGCTTTCTTGGTTGACATCCATTTGTGTTTCTGGGTTGGCAGCTTCTTCAGTCCCAAGTCAGCAACATGTGGAGCAAGAAGAAAACCAGGGAGCTCACCACCAGGTTACTTGGAAACCACATTCCCTCCCTAGTTTGTTTTCTTTTTTCCACCTCTTAGTGTCTTCTGTTTGTTTTACCTTCACTGTCCAGAGTTTAGTAGTACCTAGCAGAGGGATAAGGAGAAGTGTGTCTACTCCATCAGCACAGAAGTAGAGGTGTCTACTGAGCATTATATCACACAACAGTTTATCTTTCTATGTGTCTTCATAACCTGAACTTATCTATTCCCTAATTTTCAGTTCCCATCATACTTATTTCACTGTAATTGTTTCAATATGCTAAACTAATGCATTACATAACGTATTACAGTAGTCCCCCCTTATCTTCAGTTTTGGTCTTTGTGGTTTCAGATTCATAGTCAACTTCAGTCTGAAAGCATAAGTGGAAAATTCTAGAACTAATTCATAAGTTTTAAGTTGCACACTGTTCTGAGTAGCACGATGAAATCCATGCCATCTGCTCTACCCCTTCTTCCTCACAGAAAGAAGGGTGACTACCGTACAATAAGATAGTCTGAGAGGGGGAGAAGAGATAGAGACCACATTCATATAAATTTTATTACACTATATCATTATAATTGTCTTATTTTATTATTGTTTATCTCTTATTGTGCCTAATTTATAAATTAAACGTTATCACAGATGTGTATATATAGGAAAAAAGTAGGATATGTGAGGGTTTGGTGCTATCTGCGGTTTCAGGCACCCGCTAGAAGTCTTAGCTTGTATCACCCATGGATAAGGGGGACTGCTGTAATGAAAACTTAGTTGTAACATCATTAGGGTTCTAAAGAATCCTTTTCAACTTCAGATTTATAACAGTCTGAGGAGCTGAGACGAGTTAATTCTGTTCTGGGGACTGACCCTGGGTGTTACAAAAGCTGAAGTCTGTCCAGTGTGAATTTCCGTATGGATTTCTCTTCAAATAATTCTTTACATTTTATACATTTTTAAAGCATTTTTATATCCTATCTCGCCTCTCTTTGTGTATGCTTTCTTTAGCATGAAAGTTTCTTTCCCACAATTGGGTTAAAGTTTCTCCTGCCACCTGTCCCTGGCAGCCGCCTCTCCCTGCTGGGCTTCCGTGTGGGTCTGCACCTGTGTCCTGTTGTGCACACTGTTCCTGCTTTGTCATTTCTGTAATTCACATTTCTCCTTCTAGACTTCATGCCCCTTCAAGGTAGAGACAACTGTGCCCTATTTGTCTCCCTGTGCCCCATATATATTACTGGTTAAACATAGACATAACCTGAATTTTTTTTTTTTTTTTTGAGATGGATTCTCACTCTGCCACCTAGGCTGGAGTGCAGTGTGTGCTCTCAGCTCACTGCAACCTCTGCTCCCAGGTTCAAGCAATTCTTCTGCCTCAGCCTCCCAAGTAGCTGGGATTACAGGCACCTGCCAGCATGCCTGGCAAATTTTTGTATTTTTAGTAGAGACGGGGTTTCGCCAAGTTGGCCAGGCTGGTCTTGAACTCCTGACCTCCGGTGATCCACCTGCCTCGGCCTCCCAAAGTGCTGGGATTACAAGTGTGACCCACTGCTCCCGGCCTAACCTGACATATGAATAAATCAATTATATTATTTGACCCCCTCATATCTCATGGGTTGTGAGGTATACAGCTTTCTCTCCCAAGGGCGTGTCTACACACCCCTTATTATTTACGTATCTATTTGACTTTGGGGAAATGTGGTAGAGTTCAAGGGGCAGGGCATTAGGAGTCAGGTTTGTGTTCCAGTCCTTGCTTTGTGTCTTACTGTGACCTCGAGTCTTTAACTTCTTGGAACCTCATTTGCCCCATCTGTAAAATGGGAACAATAACACTCAACCCTCAGGATTGTTCAAAAGGTTAAGTGGTATATCATTTATTCCTTCTGCCTGTTCACTTTTAAGCCTTCACACTGAATACTTTGCCATCACTTGGAAGATTTCTCAAAGACTTTAAAAAAACTAATTCTTTATTCATTTCTTCCACTTTCCCCCAAACTCCCCAGAGAGAAGATGGTGAGATTTGGGGCTCCTAAATGGCCCCCGTGAGGTTCCTGAGCCTCCACAGATAAGGCAGTATCTTTCTGTATATTCCCAGAGGGCAGAGATAACAATAGGCTCTATTCACAATGCTACTGTCAAAATGGTATGTTGCGAAATGAATTTCCTTGTTACTCTAAGAGAAAGAACAGTGTTTCTCCTTGACTTTGTAAGTGTCCCCTTCCCTATTCCGACATCCTTGCCAAGTGTATCAACACTTTTTTTTACAGTGGAAAATAGGATTTCTTCTCTTTAGAGGATCTGATTCCCAGCTTGGTGCCAACAAGTTGCACGTCGTCCTGATAAATGGTTTACTTTTTATTTTATTAGCAAAATGCAAGTGAGATCAATTCTTTGCTCTAAGACTGTCTACTGGATTTTAAGTTGTTTGACCTTGAGCATAGCTCTGGCTGAAATAGGCTCAAGATGTAAAAATCCACACACCCGCTGCCTCTGCACTCTCAGGAGAGGAGCTGTAATTCACATCCACAGGCAGATCAATACTCCTGTGTCTATAGCCGCGGGCAATGTTTCCGCAGCATGGTACCCACAGTGCTTACACATTGGGAAGTCTGGTTATTGCCACTGTCTCTTTCGCTAGTTGAGGATTGTAAAGCTGTATGCTTTCAAAACAGCCATGGATGTATTCTGATGCTGAAGGCGTGATGACATATCAGTGTTCCGTGACTGCTGCAACAAATTGTTATAAACTTAGGGGCTTAACACTACAGAAGTTTATCCTTTCACAGTTCTGGAGGCCAGAGGTCTGAGATCCAGCAGCCTACACTCCCTGTGGGGGCTTTAGGGGAGAACCCCTTCCCTGCCTCTTCCAGCATCTCCTCCCGGCATTCCTGGGCCTGAGGCTGCATCGCTCCACTCTCTACCTCTTCTTCACATCGCCTCCTCTCCTGTGTGGCTGTCTTCTCTTCTGTCTCAAATCTCCCTCACCTGTCTCTTGCAAGGACATTTGTCACTGAATTTAGGGCAGACCTGGATAATCCTCTCAAGAACTTTAACTCAATCACATCTGCAAAAAGCCTTTTCCAAATACGGTCACATCCACAGGTTCCAGAGATCTGATGTGGATATCTTTTTTTGGGGAGGGTGCCTTTTGGTCTACTACAGAGGAATAAGAATGACTTCTAATGGGATGACTTACAGATATGTTCTCTCTAGTTCCATGCCTTGATGTTTGGAAACACAGATTTTTGTAGACTGGTACAGTAGATGGTTCTAGGGAACAATATAGAAATGGCTATGTGCCTATATGGGTGCCTATAATTCTGATTATTTAATTCCAATAGTGAAATCTCACTGATTTTAGATATTTTGCAGTGGGTGTAATTTCTAAGACTCAGATATGCAAAAACAAAACACTTAATTGTCCCCTATAATTTCTATCTCAAGCTTCATTTGCCTGAGAGTAAAAAAAAAAAATCACTTTATTTATTTATTTATTTATTTATTTTTGAGACGGAGTCTCACTCTGTTGCCCAGGCTAGAGTGCAGTGGCATGATCTTGGCTCAGTGCAACCTCCGCCTCCTGGGTTCAAGCGATTCTCCTGCCTCAGCCTCCCGAGTAGCTGGGAGTACAGGCATGCGCCACCACCAGCTAATTTTTGTATTTCTAGTAGAGATGGGGTTTGATCATATTGGCCAGGCTAGTCTCGAACTCCAGATGTCAGGTGATCCACCCGCCTCAGCCTTCCAAAATGCTGGGATTACAGGTGTGAGCCACTGTGACTGGCCTCAAATCACTTTTAAGCAGTCTTCAATAATTTGAGTCCTGGGCCAGGCACGGTGGCTCACGCCTGAAATCCCAGCGCTTTGGGAGGCTGAGGCAGGCGGATCACAAGGTCAGGAGATCGAGACCATCCTAGCTAATATGGTGAAACCCCATCTCTACTAAAAATACAAAAAATTAGCCAGGTGTGGTGGCAGGTGACTGTAATCCCAGCTACTCAGGAGGCTGAGGCAGAGGAATTGCTTGAACCTAGGAGGCAGAGATTGCAGTGAGCTGAGATCACGCCACTGCACTCCAGCCTGGGCAACAGAGTGAGACTCTGTCTCAAAAAAAAAAAAAAATGTTTTTTTTCTAAACCCTTTAGTTGTAGAGTCAGTTAGAGATTTCCCCTATGCCTTGACCTTTTCCATGGAGTTCTAAGTTCCTGGTTTAAGTGGACTGCATAGTGCAATGGTTACAAGTGAGCCCTCCACCCTACATGGCTTGCATTGAAAACCACCTCCTCTACTTTTTACTTCCTAATGGGTGATCTTAGCATTGCAGTTTGCCTTCTTGGGAAGCAGAGTATGAAATGTAGCATGTTGGCCAAGGAGTGTCCTTGGGATCAGCTCCTGCAGAAGGAGCAGGAAGGCGTCCAACTGTGATGCAGGCCCAGTGACAGCCTTTGCCCACCCCACGGGAGCTCTGGAGCTAGGATGACCCTTCGGAGTTGTCCCACGTTGGGTTGCCCTGAGAACTGATGTGATCTTGGCAAGGCAGCTCTCTGTCTTGGGGCAATCCCTTAAGGGGCTGACAGCTGGAGGCCATCTGCTAACAGCCCCTGGCAGCAGTGGATCTGGGCGGTACATCCCTGTGTTCACCACACTGTATTGTCATGCTGTTTGGATTTGCTTCTTTATCTTGTGTTCTGGGAGCAGCTACTGCAGGATGCCAGTGCCCCTGTTCTTCCTGGGGGAAATGTGGAAGAGGAGGGTTTGTGGAATGAGCTGCAGTGCTCACCTCTGCAGCTGGTCTCCTGGCTACCCAAGGACTCATCTCCCTCTTCCAATCTCCATTCAGGATCCCTTTCCGCCTCGGCTAGCACCTTTGATGGTCCTGGCGGTTAACATGTGACCTAACACAGGCTGTTACCTCTGAGGCAGTCTGAATCCTGAGCACCACTCTCTGCTCAGGCTGACACTCCTGCCATTCCTGGTCCATTTGCTGTCAAACTGGATAGGGGAGTGCTGAGAGGTGACCAAGTGGACCCGTCCTACCCCCATTTTGTCACAGCAGCCCTACCTCCTCCTGATGACCAGGGTCAATTAGCCCTGCTGGGTTAGTATCTCTCCTTGTTGCCTGCTGGTCCCTTGGCACGAGATGCTGAAGTACCCAGGAGGCAGTCACAGCTTAAACTTCAATGGAAGTTGCTGTGTCCACTGGAAGAAGAGTTCTCCATCTGGGAACTATGAGTTGCAGAGCCCAGAGTTGTGAGAACAGAAAACATAAATTCCTCACTGGCCACTGAGAGGGACGGCACACGGGACACCCCTTGACTCCAGGTCATGAATCCTTCCCTTTGGGTCTAGCACCATATCACAGTTTCCATTCAAAATGGAAATGCACTGGGGTACCCATCATCTGAAAGGATCACTGTCAAGCTTTTATGTCTAAGTTGTTATTGATCCTGGCACTATTCCCGGCCCTGTGTGATCCTGGCCTCTGTTCCCTCTAATCCTCTCAGTGGGTCTTCCCCCCAGCCCTGGATAGTTTCATCACAGGTGTGTATTGACTAGTGCGTGCTGAATACTGAAATCCAGAGTTCTCCTGCTGTACAGTTCTCTCCTTCAAACTCCAGCCTCCTTGGTCCCTCCAGAGTCTGGAATCTATCTCCCCAGCTTAAGGGGTTTACCAGGTTCCTTCTGTTGTCATGCGACTCTCTCCTGGACACCCTCCCCAGGCCTTGCCCGAGGCCATCACAGGCTGGCTCTGTTTGCTTCTCATCTCTCAGGGATCAAGTCCTTCACCACTTTACTGCCAATCTCCTGAAAACCACTTCCCATATATTTTGTCCAGTCGTTGATTCTTTCAGCATAGAGGATAAATCCCCTTGGAAGCAGCATTTGTGCTGGGGCTTTTGATACCTAAAGGTAATTTTTTGTTTTTTTTTTCCCTCCTTCAGTTTCTCCCTGACCTCTTTCCTTTTGGGGCAATGTCAGCCTGGAACTTCCTGGCCTGAAAAGCAAAGGGTCACAGGCTGAAGTAACGATAGGAAAGGCAAAACCAAAAATAAATATTCCTTAACAATGTCCCTTTCGTTCTGCCAACACTGCGAGTCAAACCATTTCTTTCACCTTGATCAAGTTTTATTGTCTTAACTGAGGAAGAGACACAGAAGGTTCTGTTGGTGTCTGAAGTTTATTTATTCTTGATTTTATTTTGTGGGGGAAATTGCCCACCTAAGCACATGAGTCCTCTGAGAAACAAAAGTGTCCCATTTCAGAAACTTTAAAAGCATATTAAGCCAATTCCAGTGTGCCCCGCAGATTTCTCCCCACGGTGGCTAAGATCCAGTTCTGCTCACTTTAATGTTGACAGGCTTTGCTTTCGCTGGTGTGTCTGGGTCTCTAAAGCCGAGCATCCATCTCTGCACTAGCGCAGGTTCTTGGCCAACATGCCTTGCTGGTTGCGGGGGTGGTGGCGGGGAGAGAAACATGGCCTCTCCCTGCAGGGTCCTCATAAATCCTGTTCTCTGTGGGTACCCTGGGGAAAGTGGAGGCGAGAACTCAGGGATTTAGACCCCTTTCAGCATCTAGCTCTGTAGTGCCTGACTTATGAAGGAAGTCTCAGCTGCTCTAAATTAACTTTGGAGGAGTGTGGGGACTTGGGTTAAGTGGCCTCCACTGAGGTATGCTGAATATTCATAGCAGTTGATCTCCAAATGGCTAAATGTTAACATTTAACATCCAGCTGAAGCTGAATTGAAGGCCAATTATCACCATCAAAGAAAAAACAGGTACAAGAATGAATCTGACATTTTATTAAGAATTAAATTTGTTGCTGTTACTTACAGTGGAAAACACACATTTACTATGTATGGCCTCCAACACAGCCATATAAAAAGTCTCGGCATCTTGGTTAGACATGTATATACTTTCTACACAATTACAATTGTGTGTAACATAATTTAGCTTTTGAGAGTACATTTAAAAAAATTCAATAAGTATGAGTAAGACTGTATAGGATTCAGCACTAATTCAGGTAAATCAGTGCCTAATTTAGGTACAATAGTAAAAATTAAAAATGAGTAATCCAGCTTGTAGTGATACTTCTATTTCATCCTTTTATACTATGATCACCCAGGGCTGCTTTTTTTGGTGGTGAAATTTTAAAGCAAGCTCACCTCAATACCCAGGTATCTCCTGATATAAAGACAATCAAATACAAAAACATGCTAAATACTATCAGTGTGATTAATAGCTTAGTTTATTAGCTGTTTTAATAAAAGACAACTTTATAGTGAAAATAATATACTGGAAGTAGCTTTTTTTTTTTTTGGAGATGGAGTCTTGCTCTGTTGCCAGGCTGGAGTGCAGTGGTGTGATCTCAGCTCACTGCAACCTCTGCCTCCTGGGTTCAAGCGATTCTCCTGCCTCAGCCTCCCAAGTAGCTGGGACCACAGGCTCACACCACCATGCCCAGAATTTTTGTATTTTTAGTAGAGACAGGGTTTCACCATGTTAGCCAGGATGGTCTCAATCTCTTGACCTTGTGATCTGCCTGCCTTGGCCTCCCAAAGTGCTGGGATTACAAGCATGAGCCACCATGCCCAGCTGGTAGTAGCTTTTAAAAAGCATTTTTAATGATATGCTTACAAAATGACAGATGTAGGTGAAAAAAAAAATCCTCAGTAATGACAATATAATGAACCAGTCTCCTGGGAGCAAAGCTGAACACTACAGAGATAGACTGGCTGCTTAAAGTCAAATTAGCTTCTTAATACCATGGAGATCCTACTTGGAAATTGTACCAAGGTGGTTTCTAAGTATCACTGGTCTTATTTTAATAATGCAAAAATTTCACCTTATCAGCTATTTTAAAGTTTCTGAGAAAAATTCCTTTGGTTCTAATGGCATTGACTCTAGTACTACCTCCCCTTTCTGATGGACCTTCCTTCTCAAGGAAAGACTTATTGTATCACCCCACGTAAAATCATACAGTTCTTTTATCCAGGAATTGTCATGGAGGAAGTTGTCATCTTCCTCACTAGTAAAAGGCTCCTTCCAGGAATTTTGGGGAAATCTTGATGTTCATTCTGAGAAACCACACTGAGGGTAAGTAAATTCAGGGGCCCACGATACCAGTATGTTTTATGTTGTTGTGGGAATTTTCTTGGTCATTTTGTCAGCTGGGGACCTCTGGCTAGCAACGCCCCTACCTGGGCCTTGCTGGGGCACGCTACCTGCTGTAGGAGACACCCCCGACTCAGCCCACCCAGGCTGGCTCTGGCTTGTGCACTGGCTCAGCCCCTGGCCGGACTGGGTGTGGTGCCCTAGGCTGCCTGTGTTATAGCTTGTATCTGCATTCAGGAGTTCCTGAGCTCTTGTCCCGCATCCAAGAAGGAGGAGAAGATACGCAGACAACTGAAGGGTGAGGAGGGTGGAGAAGAATTTTATTGAACAATGGAACAGCTCTCAGCAGAGAGGGAATGTGGGGGTGGTCCCCTATCCCCACAATCAGGTGGTTTCTTTCTCAGTGTGGCTGAGTCCGGGGCTTTTATGGGCTCAGAATAGGGGAGTGCATGCTGATTGGTTTGTGAGTATGCAAAGAAAGGCTGAAGCAAGGGCACCACTCAAAGGTGGGCACAGCAGTGTGGAAGACCAATTATGAGATGGTAGGGATTAATCAGAGGAAAGCATGCCAAATGTGAAGACTGGTTCTCAATCCGGTCCATGGATTTGACTTGTAGCTTGATTTTCAGGCTTTAAACTGTCTTTAGCTTTGGAGTTGGGGTTTCACTGGGGACCCGCCCCATCTGCCTAGGCATTTGACTACCTCCTGTCACTCCCAATGTCCCTTTAAGAATATGTAAAGTTCAGCTATAAGATGTCCAGAAATCAGATGCAAATCTAGAACAGGTAAGGATACTAGTAATGTGTAAACTAAAGATTGAATTCCCAAACACAGTAAGTTGTGTCAAAAGTGACCTGGGTCACAGTATTGATAATTTTTAGATAAGAAATTGGTTTGGGTTGCATGAACAGAGGTTGAAAGGCATAAAAGAGAGGCTGAAGAATAACTCATATTAACTATCTGAAAATGGTACAAATGGCCAGCCCTTAATCAGTAGGAATATCTACATCAATGCCATCACCTCTGAGCTATCAGTGATTGTTCCATGTGATACCTCTTAATGGAAATCAAATGTAGAACCCCAATAGGAAGACTAGCAAGCATTTTAAACCACGATTCCACATAGCTTTGTAGTTGCCAAAGGTGTTATTTTGGGAAACCTCATGAATAGCCAGAGTCATAGAGTGGTTAATGTAGCTATCAAAGGCATTTGCTCAAAATATGACCCATTTCCAGTCCAACTCTTTTACTAAATAAAACACAACCAACTGGGTTTGAACCATCGTAATTACAGTTCACATCAGGTTGGGATCAGGTTTCATTTAGGATTTTATCTCTGGGTACCTTGCCAGGATCTCCTGGCACCAATTAATATGGGCTGTGGGTATAGACCCTATAGAAGTCTTCTTTGTGACATGGTTCCCTATGAGAGTGGTGGCTCACGGCTTCCGATTAGATGTTGTTTCAATGCATCATGAGTTCTATTAAATATAAGCATGCATTTTCATATCCAATTGTACTCGAGATGTTCAATGTCCCTGTACACAGCTGAGCTGATGATGCCAAGATGGGCTTTAGTAAAAGGTGTTAGAACCGTTGCTGAAGTTCTGGATTTTGTGCAGTGGTTCCATCTTCTACTTTGACACCTACAAAACCCCTAAGGCACGGAAATTTAGGAAGTAAAGGCCAGGTCACATTCCTTTAGCTGCTGAATCAAATGTGTAATGCCATTACAGTACAAAAAACCTGTAAGTGTTCCAAAATGTGCCCCAATACAGAATTTTCCAGCCTTGGGAACAGAAAGGAGAAAGATGCCTGCTGAGTACATTTGTTTTTCTTTGTGAGTTTCATATGGGGAAAATCACTAAATTATTTTGCCTGTTCTCCCTAATGATGATAATTTCAGAAAGCCCTAAAATAAACAGAGCTTCCCATTTACTGGCTCCAGGTGATGTTTGATCCTCATGGGTGCTGGCTCAGGCTAAGTGTGGTGGCAACAGCATGGATCTTTGTGTAAAACACATTTGTGTGCTCTGATCAAGGTCTTTATACAAGCTCTACTGGGCATTTACAAACACATTTTTGGCTACATTTCATTCCAAAAAGAGATTTTGGCCAGGTGCAGGTAGCTCACACCTGTATTCCCAGCAATCTGGGAGACCAAGGTGGAAGGATGGCTTGAACTCAGGAATTCAAGACCAGCCTGAGCAACATAGTGAGACCTTGTCTCTACTAAAAAAAAAAAAAGAAAATTAGTGGGGTGTGGTGCATATTTGTAGTCCCAGCTACTCAGGAAGCTGAGGCAGGAAGATCACTTGAGCCTGAGAGATGGAGGCTGCAGTGAGCTATGGTCTTGCCGCTGCACTCCAGCCTGGGTGACAGAGTGAGACCTTGTCACAAAAACAAAAAGCAAACACCAAAAGTAACCCCAAAGAGATTTTATGTGACTGCAGCTTTAAATTATACTTAGTAGTGAAATGAACTATACTCTTGCAGCTAAATACCTGATTGAAACACCTCTTTCAATTATCTGAGTAAACTATAGAATACAAATGAAAGTTATTCCTATGAAAATACCTGGAGGGCAAAGAAAAGAAAATCAAACTATATTCCCAAATAAATATTTTAAAGGGAAATAAGTTGACCAACCTCTGAAGGTCAGACAACGTTTGCTAGCTGTAATCCTGTTCCTCACGACGCTGCAGTTGGGCCACAACATTGTTTTTGTTTCCTGCGTCAGCACTGTCAGAATGTTCCTCATGGGCTGAGGATTTTATCTTGTTCCGATGACAGAAGGATTCCCACAGAGACCCAAATGACTAGTGTGTTAATCTGCTAGGGTTACCATAACAAAGTACAGAGACTGTAACAAGCACAGAGACTTTAAACAACAGAATGTATTGTTTCACATTCTAAAGGCTAGAAGTCCAAGATCAAGGTGTCAGCAGGTTTGGTTTCTTCTGAGGCCTCTCCTTGGCTTGTAGACAGCCACCTTCTCCCTGGGTCTTCACATGATCTTCCCTCTGTGTGTCTCCCAAAACAATAGAATATACATTCTTCTTATCTGCATATGGCACATATTATAAAATCAACCACACAATTGTCCGTAAAACATTTCTCAACTAATTCAAAGAACCCGAAATCATACCAAACATACTCTCAGACCACAGCATAATAAAAGTAGAAATTAATACTAAGAAAATCATTCAAAATCATACAATTACATGGTAATCAAATAACCTGCTCCTGAATGACTTTTGGGTAAACAATGAAATTAGGGCAGAAATCAAGACGTTCTTTGAAATGAATAAGAACAAGATATAACATAACAGAATCTCTGTGACACAGCTAAAGCAGTGTTAAGAGGAAAGTTTATAGCACTAAATACCCACATCAAAAAGTTAGAAATATATCAAATTAACAACCAAACAATGTGCCTAGAGGAACTATAGAAACAAATGCAAATCAACCCCAAAACTAGATAGAAAACAAGAAATAACCAAAATCAGAGCTGAACTAAAGGAAATTGAAATGCAAAAAACCATGCAAAAGATCAACAAATCCAGGAGTTTGTTCTTTGAGAGAAAAAATAAGATGGATAGACCACTAGCTAGACTAATAAAAAGATCCAAATAAACACAATCAGAAATGACAAAGGGGACATTACCACTGACTCCCCAGAAATACAAAAAACCCTCAGAGACTACTACAAACACCTCTATGCCTGCAAACTAGAAAACCTAGAAGAAATGTACAAATTCCTGGAAACATACAATCTCCCAAGATTGAACCAGGGAGAAATTTAATCCCTGAACAGACCAATAATGACTTCTGAAATGGAATCACTAACCAAAAACCTACCAACCAGAAAAAGTCTAGGACCAGACAATTCACAGCTGAATTCTACCAGTTGTATAACAAAGAGCTGATATCATTCCTACTGAAACTATTCCAAAACATTGAGAAGGAGGGACTCCTCCCTAACTCATTCTATGAGGCCAGAATGATCCTGATACCAAAACCTGGCAGAGACAAAATTTAAAGAAGCCTTAAGGCCAATATCCTTGATGAACATAGATGCAAAAAATCCTCAGTAAAATACTAGGAAATCATATCCAGCAGTGCATCAAAAAGCTAATTCACCACAATCAAGTAGGCTTTATTCCTGGAATGCAAGGTTGGTTCAACATACTCACATCAATAATTGTGATTCACTATATAAACAGAACTAAAACAAAAAACCATATAATCATCTCAATGCAGAAAAGACTTTTGATAAAATTCAATATCTGTTCACGTTAACCCTCAACACACTAGGCATTGAAGGAACATACTTCAAAATAATAGCATCTATGACAAACCCATGGCCAACATCATACTGAATGTACAAAAACTGGAAGCATTCCCCTTGAGAACCAGAATAAGATGAGGATGCCCACTCTCACCACTCCTATTCAACATTGTATTGGAAATCCTAGCCAGACCAATCAGTCAAGAGAAAGAAATAAAAGGCATTCAAGCAGGAAGAGAAATCAAACTATCTCTCTTTGTAGATGATTTTATACCTAGAAAACCCCATAAACTCTGCCCCAAAGCTCCTAGAACTGATAAACAACTTCAGCAAAGTTTCAAGATACAAAATCATTGTACGGAAATTAGTAGCATTTCTACACACCATTAACGTCCAAGCTGAGAGTCAAATCAAGAACACAATCCCATTCACCATAGTCACAGACAAAAAATAAAATACCCAGGAATAGAGCTAACCAAGCAGGTGAAAGATCTCTACAATGACAATTACAAAACACTGCTCAAAGAAATCAAAGATGACACAAACAAATCAATAGGAAGAATCAATAGTGTTAAAATGCCCATACTGCCCAAAGCAGTCTACAGATTCAGTGCTATTACTATCAAACTATCACTGACATTTTTCACAGAATTAGAAAAAAACTATTTTAAAATACATATGGAACCAAAAAGCAGTTCAGATAGCCAAGGCAATCCTAAGCAAAAAGAACAAAGCTGGAGGCATAACGTTTACCTGACTTCAAACTATACAAGGCTACAGTAACAAAAGCAGCATGGGACTGGTACAAAAACAGGCATATAGACCAATGGAACAGAATAGAGAGCCCAGAAATAAAGCCACACACCTACAACCATCTGATCTTTGACAAAGTTGACAAAAACAAGCAATGGGGAAAGAACTTCCTATTCAATAAATGGTGCTGAGATAACTAGCTAGTCATATGCAGAAGACTGAAGCTGGATCCCTTCCTTGTACCATATCCAAAAATCAATGCAAGATGGATTAAAGACTTAAATGTAAAACCTAAAGCTATAAAAACCCTAGAAGATAACCTAGGAAATATCATTCTGGACATATGAACTGGCAAAAATTTCATGATGAAGATGCCAAAAATTGCAACAAAAGCAAAAATTGACAAATGGAACCTAATTAAACTAAAGAGCTTCTGCACAGCAAAAGAAACTATCAACAGAGTAAACAGATGACCTACAGAATGGGAGAAAATTTTTCAAACTGTGCATCTGACAAAGGCCTAATATTCAGAATCTATAAGGAACTTAAATTAACAAGCAAAAAACAACCCCATTAAAAAGTGGGCAAAGGACATGAGCAGACACTTCTCAAAAGAAGACATACACGTGACTAACAAGCATATGAAAAAAAGCTCAGTATCGCTAATCATCAGAGAAATGCAAATCAAAGCCACAATGAGATACCATCTCACACCAGTCAGAATGATTATTACTAAAAAGTCAAGAACAGATGCTGGCGAGGTTGTGGAGAAAAAGGAATGCCTATACACTGTTGGTGGGAGTGTAAATCATTCACCATTGTGGAAGACAGTGTGGCAATTTCTCAAAGACCTAAAAACAGAACTGCCATTTGACCCAGCAATCCCATCACTGGGTATATACCCAAAGGAATAGAAATCATTCTATCGTAAAGTTACATACACATGTCTGTTCATTGCTTAACTATTCACAATAGCAAAGACATGGAATCAACCTAAATGCCATCTATGGTAGACTGGATGAAGAAAATGTGGTACATACACACCATGGAACACTGTGGAGCCATTAAAAAGAATGAAATTCTATCCTTTGCAGGGACATGGGTGGGGCTGGAAGCCATAATCCCAAGCGAACTGACGAAGGAACAGAAAATCAAATACTGCAAGTTCTCACTTATAAGTGGGAGCTAAACATTGAGTACACATGGACACAAAGAAGGGAACAATAGACAACGGGGCTTACTGGAGGATAGGGGTTGGGAGAAGGGAGAGGATCAAAAAACTACACTGGGCAGGGCACGGTGGCTCACGCCTGTAATCCCAGCACTTTGGGAGGCCAAGAGGTTAGGAGTTCGAGATCAGCCTGGCCAATGTGGCGTAACCCTGTCTCTACTAAAAATACAAAAATTAGCCAGGTGTGGCGGCTCATGCCTTTCGTCCCAGCTACTTGGGAGGCTGAGGCAGGAGAATCGCTTGACCCTGGGAGGCGGAGGTTGCAGTGAGCGGAGACTGAGCCATTGCACTCTAGCCTGGGTGACAGAGCAAGACTCTGTCTCAAAAAAAAAAAAAAAAAATTACCTATTGGGTACCATGCTTATTACCTAGGTGACAAAATAATCTGTACACCAAACCCCTCTGACATGCAATTTACCCATATAACAAGCCTGCACATGTACCCCAACCCTAAAATGAAAGAACAAGAAGAAAATTTAGAACATTTTACAAGTATGACACTTTCATAAAGGAATAATATTGCCACATGCTCAGCAATTAGATTGTTCTTGCTATTGCTATATTGCACATCTGCAATATCAAATAATGCTTGCTTTTAATGGTACATTAAAGAAATAAAATTAATTCTCTGTGCAGGGCACAAAATAGTATTTTAACTAGCATGTATTTTAGATGTACCTAGGTACCGAGGCTTCAAAGCCTGGGCAGATCTGCAAGCCCTTTCAGCAGTCTCTAATTGCTGAAAATAGCATTCTACAACAAACATATCTACATGCTCTTTGTTTAAAATTTAAGCTCCTTATAGATTCAAAAGTATAAGGAATTATCTTAAAGTATTCTTAAGTCTATTGTTTTGAATCTGATTAGTAAAAACAAAATGTGTTTTGGGTATCTAATTTTTCTCTATCACATTCCTAATTTCTTATGTTTTACACGCTTTATGTCTGAATCAAAGGTGATTTATCATAAATAATTAGTACAGAATGTGTTGGACTTTTTAAATACATCAGGTCTCGCTCTGTGGCCCAGGCTATAGTGCAGAGGCACGATCATAGCTCACTGTAGCCTGAACTCCTGGGCTCAAGCCATCCTCTTGCCTCAGCCTCCCAAGAAGCTAGGACTACAGGCACACCACTGTGCCCAACGAACTTTTTATTTTTTGTTTTTATAGATGTAGCGTCTCACCATGCTGCCCAGGCTGGTCTCAAACTCCTGGCCTCAAGTGAGCCTCCCATCTCAGCCTCCCACCTCAGCATCCCAAAGTGTTGGGATTACAGGCATGAGCCACCATGCCTGGCCCAAGTATTTGGTTTTGAAGTTTGCCTTCTTAAGAAATTTTGAGAGCCCAGAATCCGAACCACATATTACAGAAATTTCTTGCAGACTCAGGTTTGGGAGTCTAAAGTTTGTTTTTACAGTCATAGGCTTTTAAGGCTAGGCCTGAATTTTTTTTCCCTGGTAGCAATACAATCCAAAATTAACGATGAGCTATTTTACATTCGTTTCATACCAAGTCTTTGAAATCTGGTGTTGATTTTACTCTTAGAGTACGTTGAGATTCAAGCTAGCCACAGTTCTGGTGCTCAATCACCACCTGAATTGGATGGCGTAGTTCTGGACATAATTCTCAAACTTGCCTTCTTTGTTTCCTTCCTCACACTCAAGGGTTTCTTTTTCAACTGAATGAGAGCTACCTTGTGAACAACATTCTAATCAGATCCTTGCTGCAGTGCTGAATCCCTCTGAGTAATTAAGAAACTGATGGATTGTTTAAACTCCTATCCCCAACTTTTATGCTCTATTTCCTTGTCTCTGTTTTCAAACCAGGCGTTTTTGTCTGTGCCCAGTTCTGTGTAATATCTGCTAAATGCTGCAAATCAAAACTGACACACACTAACAGTCTGGCTAGCCACCCATTTTCCTTAGAACTACGGGGTCATGCAGGTCTACCTTCCAAGTTACCACATGTGACAGTTTTACCTAACGATTTGCCACATGTTGGTTTGGCCAACAGAAATCTATTTTCTTGCAGCTTGCCACTGCCAAGCTATGGTCACTTTTGGGGTTTTATTATGGCAGCAACACACTTCAAAATATCAATCTCTGATTAAGGATAATCCTAGCTTCTGTAACAAAATAAACCCTCCAAATTTCCATGGTTTTCCACAATTGGAGTTTATTTTCTGCCCATCAAACAATCCAGTTGGTGGTGATCGGGTTCCTTCTGTCTCATGGATCTTGCAACCCTCTGCATCCAGCCAGTGGACAGGGAAAAAGAGTGTAAGGGAAGTTTGAGGGCTCATTAAAAAAGCATTGGCCTGAACTTGCACACATCACCTGTGCTCACATTTCATTAGTTAGATGCGGTCCTCTGGTCACACAAACCACAAGCAGGGCTGGGAAATATAATTTATATGCCCAGGAAAAAAAGGAGAGTGCGAATTTTGTTGAGCAGCACATATTCCTACCATAGTTTTTTTTTTTTTTTTTTTTTTGAGACGGAGTCTCACTCTGTCGCCCAGGCTGGAGTGCAGTGGTGGTGCGATCTTGGCTCACTGTAAGCTCTGCCTCTTGGATTCACGCCATTCTCCTGCCTCAGCTTCCTGAGTAGCTGGGACTACAGGCACCCGCCACTACGCCCGGCTAATTTTGTATTTTTTTTAGTAGAGACGGGGTTTCACCACATTAACCAGAATGGTCTTGGTCTCCTGACCTTGTGATCCACCCGTCTTGGCCTCCCAAAATGTTGGGATTACAGCTGTGAGCCACCACGCCCAGCCCCTACCATAGTTTTTATTAATATTAATATATGAGTGGGATTGGCCTGTAACTTTCCTTTTTAAAAAACATTCCTTGTCTGATGTTTGATATGAAGGTTAAACTCGGTTACGCTAGTTACAAAAAGATATAAATTTGGGAGTATTTCTCCTTTTACCTTCTTGGAAGTGTTCGGGTAAGACTGAAATTTATTCCTGAAATGATGAGTAGATTTTTCCATTAAAGTTGTATGACTGCTTCTTTGTGGAAAGATTTTTAACTGTCGATTCAGTTTGTTAAGGAGTTATGAGATGATTCAGGTTTTTTATTTCTTTTCATTTTGGTAGACTTCACTTTTTAAGGAAATTGATCCATTTCAACTAAATTTTCAAATTTAGCAAACTTGTTTATAATATAGTCCCCGTATCTTTTTTATTTCTGCATTGGCAGTTATGTTCCCTTTTTTGTTTCTAATATTATCTACCTTTCTTAGGAAGTTACTTGAGGATGTTTTCCAGCAAATCCAGAGGGTAAGTCAGGAAAGAGGAAAACATGGAAATCATAGATTTCAACTCTAGAAGGCAGGGCAGGAAAGTTCTGAGAGACAGTTGTGTGGGAGACTCTGAAAGTCCCAGCTCACAAGGCAGAAGACAACCAGAGGTAGAATGAGAGTATGATTACAAGGTTGGGAAAGAATTGATAATATAAAAACAAATAATTAAAGAAAGAAAGGAAAGGAAATTTAAGGGAAAAAACTACACAAGAAACATATAAGCCAATATAAAATGTGGCATTTTTAAAGGAGCCTTATAAGGTGGCATTTTAAGGAGCTGATGGGATGTCAAAATAGAGAATATGTTTGTCCTTGACACTAGAGATACTCTCTTTAAAGTGGTCTAATGTTGTGAAATTGAATCCATAGAGAAATAAATGTAATTCCAACACATTATGCAGCCCAGCATGGAATAATATTTGCATAGTCACAGTAATAAAATCTTTTCTATTGGTTTTAAATTTCAGAGTGATCATATGAGTGGAAAACATTTAGTTGAAGGACAGAGGCAAAATTTAATAAGCCTTGAAAATATAAAAACATGAACACACAGCCATCATCATAACATAGATCTTTATACATATAGTCAATTATTTCCTTAGAATAAATTCCTGGGGGCCGGATGGCTGCAAGTCTGGGTGCTCATTTATAATTAATATTTGGCTAAATCAGCATCCAGAAGAGTGTAGCAGGTAAAACTCTCCTGGTACGTTTCCCTGCTCCCATCTGCTTCCATTCCTCCAGGAAATCCTCAGTGTTCCTGGCCCACTTATGGTATCCTTCTTCATTTTCCATTCCTGCTACAGGTATTTCCCCCTATATTGATATTTATTGGATCACTTCAAAAGATTTTTGCACTAGAGAGGAGGTAAAACACATGCCCTCAAATGATCTTGAATCCATGACTCCCCTACCAGATTTGAAAAATATTGGCTGGGCATGGTGGCTCATACGTAACCCCAGCACTTTGGGAGGGCGAGGTGGGAAGATTGTTTGAGGCCGGGAGTTCAATACCAGCCTGGGCAACATGGCAAGACCCTGTCTCTACAAAAATAAATTGGCCTGGCGTGGTGGCGCATACCTGTAGTCCCAGCTGCCCTGGAGGCTGAGATGGGAGGATCATTTGAGCCCAGGAGGTCAAGGCTGCAGTAAGCCATGATGATGCCACTGCACTCCAGCCTGGGCAACACAGCAAGACCCTGTCTCAACAAAAAAAAGTATACACACACACACTCACACACACACGATTATTTCAAAAGAGTTTGCACTAGATGAGAAGTAAAGCATGTGATCTCAAATTATCTTGAAGCAAGGAGTCCTCCAACAGATTTAAAAAATATAAATTTTTTTCTTCCTGATGATAAAAGTAATACATGCTCATTGTAGAAACAGTGTGAAGCAAAGAGAAAATAGGTAGTGCCTGTCAGCTTTCAAAAAGGCACAGAGATGAAAATGCCAACCTGAGCAGCTTGCCCTATAGAGAGTAAGTTAGGAGCCTTTTGGAACCTCATCTGCCAGGACTGAGAAACAGAAAAGAAACAACCCCTTTCTCCTTGTTTGCCAAATACATTAAGAGACAAGGATCATCCTTATTTGCTTTGTAATGTTCCCAAATGAAGCAGCAAGGTTTTATTTGGATATTTTTGTGTTGTCATTGATGCTCTTAAATTTCACTTTAACATCTTTCTTTAGCCTCACTTTTGCTGAACAATCAGTCAATAACCCAGAACCCCCACTGGCCGTGCCTGTTCCTTCATGCAGTGAGAGCATTCAGCTGGTTAATTTAGAAGTGTTAATGACTTAAAAATCTATATGAAACGTATGCTCCATCAGTCTGTGCTACCCGATTGACCCCAGCATGGGGAAAAAAAAGGAACTCTGTAAAGCTATTTAGATCCAGGCTTGATACGTCAACACCGGATGTCACCAGGGGCACCGGCACCCCCTGGAAGTCTGGCTGAACTTAACCCAAACTCCTTTCCACCGCCTGGGACGTTAAGCTTCCTCAGTCTGGCTGCCCTGGCTTTTCTGGTCTCTCTCCCACGTTCCTACTTCCACATCAGCAGCTCTGATCCACAGGCCTCTAGTCAATTTGGTGACTAAAGATTCATGGGGAGCAATTGTCTCAGGCACTGGCTCACTTTCTGACCTGGCTGTTGTCTCTTCTACTTTCTGCCACCTTCTCCCACTCACACAAGTGATCCCCCATCTTCAGGGCTTGGAAAGGGCACCTCTTCTAGGCTCTTGCAGGATTTCTTGCCAGGAGCAAACCTTCATTATATCAGCCTGCCTATCCCAGCCTTGCCGAGATCCTGGTGGATTAAAATGTCTCCATCTTGGATTAAAGACTTAAATGTAAAACCCCAAACTATAAAAACCCTGGATGACAACCTAGACAATACCATTCCGGACATAGGAACAGGCAAAGATTTCATGACGAAGATGCCAAAAGCAATTGCAACAAAAGCAGGAATTGACAAATGCAATCTAATTAAACTAAAGAGCTTCTGCACAGCACAAGAAACTACCAACAGGGTAAACAGACAACCTACAGAATGGGAAAAAACTTTTTCAAACTATGTATCTGACAAAGGTCTCATACCCAGCATCTATAAGGAACTTAAACATTTATAAGAAAAAAACCAAACAACGTCATTAAAAAGTAGGCAAAGGACATGAACAGTTTTCAAAAGAAGATATACATGTGGCCAAAAAGGATATGAAAAAAATCTCAATATCACTGATAATTAGAGAAATGCAAATCGAAACCACAATGAGATACCATCTTGCACCAGTCAGAATGGCTATTATTAAAAAGTCGAACAGATGTTGGTGAGGTGGCAGAGAAAAAGGAAAACTTATACATTGTTGGTAGGACTGTAAATTAGTTCAACCGCTGTGGAAAACAGTGTGGCAATTCCTCAAAGACCTAAAACCAGAACTACCATTTGACCCAGCAATCCTATTACTGGGTATATACCCAAAGGAATGCAAATCGTTCTATCATAAAGACACTTGCACACATATGTTCATGGCAGCACTATTCACAATAGCAAAGTCATGGAGTCAACCTAAATGTCCATCAGTGGTAGAACAGATAAAGAAAGTGTGGTACATTTACACTATGGAATACTATGCAGCCATATAAAAGAATGTGAGGATGTCCTTTGCAGCAACATAGATGAAACTGGAGGCCATTATTTTTAGCAAACTAATGCTGGAACAGAAAATAAAATACTGCGTGTTCTCTCTTACAAGTGAGAGCTAAATGCTGAGAATATGGACACATAGAGGGGAACAACACACACTGGGGCCTGTTGGAGGGTGAAGGGTGGGAGGAGGGAGAGGATCAGGAGAGATAACTAATGGGTACTAGGCTTCATACCTGGGTGATGAAATAATCTGTACAACAAAACACACATGACCCAAGTTTACCTATATCACCTGCAAATGTACCCTTGAACTTAAAAGTTAAAGTCTCCATCCTGTTATTGTACCTTATTATTTGATTAGAAATCACCTGAGTGATGGTTTCTTTTGTATTTCAGCTTGGCAAGCTGTAGCACCCAGTTATTTGATCAGCTATGAATTTAGGTGTTGCTGGGAGGGTACTTTATAGATGTGGTTAATGCCTACAGTCAGTTGACTTTATAAGTAAAGGAAATTACTCTAGATAATGGGGGTGGGTGGGTCTTATCCAATCAGTTGAAGGCCTTAAGATCAGAAACAGGTTCCTCTGGGAAGAAGAAATTCTGCCTCAAGACTGCCTGAGCTTCCAGGCTGCTGTCTTGTTATGTGGATTGCAGATTGGCTAGCCCCACAATCAGGTTAGCCAATTCCTTAAAATAAATCTCATTATATATCTGCACATGTATATATATACACACACACACATACACTCACATGTGTATATACACATAATACACATATAAACATACAGGTATGTATCCTGCTGGTTCTGTTTATACATATCTACACAGCCTGAGTATCTCTAATCTGAAAACTGCAGTGCTTCAAAACCTGAAGCTTTCTGAGCATTAACATGCCACAAGTGGGACATTTCACACCTGACCTCACGTGGTGCATCACAGTCAAAATGCAGGGGCACAACCCACAGTCCTCAAGGGAAAAAAGGTCCTTCCAGCCCCCTTCAGCTGCACTCTATCTTTTCCTCAAATGCCCAGGCTCAATGACACAAGCACACCCACAAAGGGCAATACAGTGGCCCATGTGCAGGCTGGATGTGCACAAAATTATTTAAAATATTGTATAAAATTACCTTCAGGCTATGTGTATAAGATGTATATGAAACATAAGTGAATTTCCTGTTTAGACTTGGGTCCCACACCCAACTTATCTACTTGTTATGTATATGCAAATATTCCAAAATTCCCCAAAATATGAAATCCAAAAAACTTCTGGTCCCAAGCATTTCAGGCAAGAGGTATCCAACCTGTATATCCTATTGTCTCTCTGTGTGAGTGTGTGTGTCCGTGTGTGTGTATGTCTCTTACTGGCTCTGTTTCTCTGGAGAACCTTGACTTGCATACCCTATATATTTGTTTGAATTATACAAATAAGGCATGTATATTATAGAAAATTAGAAATTACAAACCAAAAGAAAAATCTTAAGAGCAATTTCACCACCATAAAAGAATCACTATTAACCTTTCAAGAGGTATGTGTAGGTATATATATTTCAAAAACGTACACTTAAACATTTTTGTAAGTAGATGTTCCACTTAAGGTGTTATTAATAGCTATGTCAGTGGGAATAGATCTGCATAATTTTACCCTTTTTTTTTTTTTGAGACAGGGTCTCATTCTGTTGCCCAGCCTGGAGTGCAGTGGCGTCATGATCATGGCTCACTGTAGCCTCGAATTCCTGGGCTCAAGGGATTCTCCTGCCTCAGCCTCCCAAGTAGCTGGGACTGCAGGTGCATGTCATCATGTCGGGCTGATTTTTGTATTTTTTGCAGAGATGAGTTTGGGCTCAAGCAATCCTCCTGCTTTGACCTCCCACAGTGCTGGGATTCCAGGCATGAGCCACTGTGCCTGGCCAGATCTGCATAATTTTAAATGACTACGAAACATTACATCCTTTGATTATGCCATAATTTGTATAATCCTTCCCCTACTGTTGGAAAATCACATTGTTTCTGTATTTCACGATTGTAAGCAATGCTGCAAAGAACATCCTAGCCCACATGTTTGTGCCTGTGTTGATTGTTTCATGGGGATAAGTTCTGCCTCCCTCATACACCCCCCACTCTCCTACACACAAAAGATATTTTCTACAAAATAGTAATTTCCTTGGGCTGTTAGCCTCTGTAAGTGGGGTTCGTGGATTGCTAAAGCTGGAAAGAGTAAGGTTCTAATCAAATCTCATCATTCTACACACAAATGCAGGCAGGAGGGGGGAAGTAATTTTCCCAACTTAGCCAATTGAGAGCAGATCAAGGCTGAGAACCTAGCACCCATGACTGTGCTTTCAGATGAATAGATTCCACTTTGTTCAATTGCTGATTTTATCTCAAGAAAGCATTACACCCTGCCCAGGTAATATCCTTCAGTTTGGTGAAAGTTGACGGAGTAAATGCTGGTAGCATTTTTGCCCCTCTGAATCCAGCCCAGTGATGGATGAAAGAGAACAATTTGAGCCCTCAATTTCTTTGACTTTTTGATGAGGTGAGCTATCCTGCAGGCAAGATGGCTGGTTGCTGCTGAACCAATATTTAGAGAAATTGAACTGAGAAGTTGTAATTATTCATGGCAGTAAAATGTCTCTTTTATTAGAAAAAAGGTTTTACATTATGAAAGTAATATACAGTCTTTAAAGCTGGAACATTCGAACAGTAGGAAGAGAAAGTATTCATAGTTGTATTATGCAAAGATGGCCACTGTCCATTGCTTTATTGAAAGGGAAGGATTTAAGTCACAAAAATAACAATTCTCCTTGCATCAAACTCTATTCAAGACATGATGATGCTTTGACTAGATGTCTGACAGTGGTACCCAGAGTGAATCTCAGTCTTTTTTTTTAAGTGAAGAATGTTTTTAGTTGGCTATTTCTTCATAACAAACCCAGAATCTCAGTGGTATATAACATCAAACATTACTTTTTCTCCCTCCTGGGTCTGTGAATCAGCTTGGGTAGCTGTGCTTCAGGCCTGCAGGTGTTGAACTGGGCTCTGGACTGTCAGTTGGAATCAGTTCTGCTCCATGTGTATTTTCATCTTCCTTGGACCAGTGGCTACCTGGAGTCTGTTCTTTGTTTTTTTCTTAATCTTACTTTTTCAACTTTTATTTTACATTCTGGGGTCCCTGTGCAGGATATGCAGGTTTGTTACATAGGTAAACATGTGCCGTGGTGGTTTGCTGCACAGATCAACCCATCACCTAGGTATTAAGCCCAGCATCCATTAGCTATTCTTTCTGATGCTCGACCTCCCTCTGCCCTCCCCCAGCTGGCCCCAGTGTGTGTTGTTCCCCACCGTGTGTCCGTGTGTTCTCATCATTCAGCTGTCACTTGTGAGAACAGTATTTGATTTTCTGTTCCTGTATAAGTTTGCTGAGGATAACAGCTTCAGCTCCATCCATTGTCCCAGCAAAGGACATGATCTCATTCCTTTTTATGGCTGAATAGTATTCCGTAGTGTATATGTGCCACATTTTCTTTAACCGGTCTATCATTGATGGACATTTGGGTTGATTCCATGTCTTTACTGTTGTGGATAGTGCTGCAATGAACATACATGTGCATCTATAATAGAATGATTTCTATTCCTTTGGGTATATACCCGGTAATGGGATTGCTGGGTCAAATGGTATTTCTGCCTCTAGATCTTTGAGGACTCGCCACACTGCCTTCCACAATGGTTGAACTAATTTACACTCCCACCAACAGTGTAAAAGTGTTCCTTTTTCTCTGCAACCTCTCCAACATCTGTTGTTTCTTGACTTTTTAATAATCACCATTCTGGCCGGGCACACTGGCTCACGCCTGTAATCCCAGCACTTTGGGAGGCTGAGGCGGGTGGATCACCAGGTCAGGAGATTGAGACCATCCTGGCTAACACGGTGAAACCCGGGTGTGGTGGCGGGCACCTGTAGTCCCAGCTACTCGGGAGGCTGAGGCAGGAGAATGGTGTGAACCCGGGAGGTGGAGCTTGCAGTGTGCCGAGATAGTGCCACTGCACTCCAGCCTGGGCAACAGAGCGAGACTCTGTCTCAAAAAAAAAAAATAATAAAATAATAATAATAATCATCACCATTCTGACTGGCGTGAGATGGTATCTCATTGTGGTTTTGATTTGCATTTCTTTAATCAGTGATGTCGAGCTTCTTTTCATACGTTTGTTGGCTGCATGAATGTCATCTTTTCAGAAGTGTCTGTTCATGTGTTCATGTCCTTTGCCTACTTCTTAATTTTTTTTTTCTTGTATATTTAAGTTCCTTCTCGGCTTTGGATATTAGACGTTTGTCAGATGGATAGATTGCAAACATTTTCTGTAGGTTGTTTCTTTTGCTGTGCAGAGGCTCCTAAGTTTAATTAGATCCCATTTGTCAATTTTTGCTTTTGTTGCAATAGCTTCTGGTGTTTTCATCATAAAATGTTTGCACATACCAATGTCCTGAATGGTATTGCCTAGATTTTCTTCTAGGGTTTTTATAGTTTTGGGTTTTACATTTAGGTATTTAATCCATCTTGGATTCGTTTTTGTATAAGCTGTAAGGAAGGGGTCCAGTTTCAGTCTTCTGCATATGACTGGCCAGTTCTTCCTGCACCATTTATTAAATAGGGAGTCCTTTTCCCATTGCTTATTTTTGTTAGATTTCTCAAAGATCAGATGGTTGTAGGTGTGTAGTCTTATTTCTGAGTTCTCGATTCTGTTCCATTGGTCTGTGTGTCTGCTTTTGTACCAGTACCATGCTGTTTTGGTTACTGCAGCCCTGTAGTATAGGATAGTTTGAAGTCGGATAGCATGATGCCTCCAGCTTTGTTCTTTTTGCTTAGGATCATCTTGGCTATTCAGGTTCTTTTTTGGTTCCATATGAATTTTAAAATAGTTTTTTCCAGTTCTATGAAGAATGTCAATGGTAGTTTAATGGAGATAGCATTAAATCTATAAATTACTTTGGGCAGTATGGCCATTTTCCTATTCATGAGCATGAAATGTTTTTCCATTTGTTTGTGTCCTCTCTGATTTTCCTGAGAAGTGGTTTGTAGTTCTCCTTAAAGAGGTCCTTCACTTCCCTTTTTAGCTGTATTCCTAGGTATTTTATTCTCTTTGTAGCGATTGTGAATGGGAGTTCATTCATAATTTGGCTCTCTGCTTGCCTGTTGTTTGTTTATAGGAATGCTGGCGATTTTTGCACATTGATTTTGTATCCTGAGACTGCTGAAGTTGCTTACCAGCTTAAGAAGCTTTTGAACTGAGACAGTGGGGTTTTCTAGTTACAGGATCATGTCATCTGCAAACAAAGATAATTTGACTTCCTCTCTTCCTATTTGAATATCCTTTATTTCTTTCTCTTGCCTGATTGCTCTGGCCGGAACTTCCAACACTATGTTAGGGTGTTGATTTGAGATCTTTCTAGCTTTTTCATTTGGGCACTTAGTGCTATAAATTTCCCTCTTAACACTGCTTTAGCTGCATCCCAGAGATTCTGGTACATTGTCTCTTTGTTCTCATTAGTTTCAAAGAACTTCTTGATTTCTGTGTTAATTTCATTATTTACCCAGGAGTCATTCAGGAGCAGGTTGTTCAATTTCCACGTAGTTGTGTAGCTTTGAGTGAGTTTCTTAATCTTGAGTTCTAATTTGATTATGCTGTGGTCTGAAAGACTGTTATGATTTCAGTTCTTTTGCATTTGCTGAGTGTTTTACTTCCAATTATGTGATTCAGTATTACAGTAAGTGCCATGTGGTAATGAGAAGAATGTATATTCTGTTGTTTTGGGGTGGAGTGTTCTATAGATGTCTATCAGGTCTGTTTGATCCAGAGCTGAGTTCAGGTCCTGGAATCTCAGTCTTTACTGTGAGTCTTCAAATGACATAAGAATGACAGAACTTGTAGTTAAGGACAACAGAGCAATGCAAGGCAGCAGCATAGTCCAAAATAGACGTGTCTTCTTCCCGAAGTCACTGTAGTGGGGGACATAAAATTTAAGGAACCTCTGGGTCTTACTACCTGATGTGGCCAATTGGACTAAAACCAATAACCATTAAGAAAAAATGGACTAAACCACAAGCAACTCAATTAAAAAATAGGCAAAGAACTTGAAGAGGCATTTTCCCAAAGAAGCCAACAAGCATGTGAAAAGATGCTCAACATCATTAGACATCAGGGAAATACAGATCAAAATCAAAATGAGATACCAGTTTATACTAAGGTGGCTATAATAAACATCATAATAATGAAGGACATTAACATGTATTAGTGAGGATGTGGAGAAATGGAACCCATTTCTGGTAGGAATGTAAAATAGTGCAGCCACTGTGGAAAACAGTTTGGTGGTTCCCCAGAAAGCTAAGCATAGAGTTACCAGAGAACCTAGCAATTTAACTTATAGGTACATACTTCAAAGAATTGAAAACATAGATTCTAACAGATACTTGTACAGCAATATTCATTGTGGCATTATTCACGATAGCCAAAAGGTAAAACAACTCAAGTGTCCATCAAAATATAAATGTGTAAACAATGTGGTATATTCCTAGAGGGGAATATTATTCAGCTTTAAAAAGGAATGAAGTACTGGTACATGCTACAAAGGTGGATGAGCCTCAGAAACATGCTGAGTGAAAGAAGCCAATGATAAAAGACCATATATTGTATGATTCCATTATATGAAATGTCCAGGACATTCAAGTCTATAGAGACAGAAAGTAGATTAGTGACTGCTTAGGGCTGGCAGGGATAAGGGGGTCATGGCTAAAGGGTATGGGGTTTTTGTTTGTGGAGGTGAAAAATTTTAAAACTTGTGGTGATGGTTGCACAAGCCTGTGAAGATACTGAAAACCATTGAATTGTGTGCTTTAAATGGATGAATTGTATGGTGTTTGAACTATATCCCAATAAAGCTGTTTTTTAAAAAAGACAAAATTAGTATAAATATATTTATAGCTTACATTCCAGATTCAGATGTCTAGAACAAATCCAGGATAATTATTAGTGTGGAACTCTGTATAATTTTACAAGAGTAAGTAACAACAATAAGGAAACAGAACAAAAAGTTATGTTCACAACTTGTCATCCAAAAAAAATACCACCTGGCATTACATTGCAATCATTTTGCTTATTAATATTAATATGATAATGATGAAAACTGAAAATATTTTGTTTTGCATTTTGGCTAAAGGTACATACCCTGGAGGCCTTTTTCTGATCTCTTCCTGTATACATGTGTGTCCATGAGTATGTATCTATGCGTATTATTCATATACTTTATGCCTAATAAATACCTAAGATGCATGCAAATTTGTACACACGTTTGACTGCATATTTTAGCTATTCACATGCAGAGATCTGTGCAATTTGCTGGCTAGGTCCCTGTTCATTCTCTAATGGCTGCACTTGCTCTCTTCACTTAGCCTTGGATGTGTGAGTAATCCATGCCTGACTCTGTCAAGATGTGTGGCTGCTCAGGTGATTCAAATGTGCAGCTGGAGTTGGGAGCCTCTGGTCCCGGGTGCCATCAAGACACGAGCAACCAAAGGGCCTGGCGCGGGGCCTTCTTCGGCTCAGCATCTAACTGCTTCTGGGTTTCATCTTCTGTCTCCCTGATGTCTTTTACAGTCTGGCCAATCCACTTGTTAATTCAAGCAAAAAAAACTCGTGATAAAAGTTTACATCCTGAGACTAAGCATGGAGCCTATTAGAATGGGGAAAGAACAAGGGAAAAATACAAGGAGATGACCCATTTTTTAAAAAGCACTGACTGTGCTGCATGTTGATGATTTGGTCTCAAAGGCTGAGACAGAACACATGCACATTCCAACAGGGGCAAGGACAGAGTCCAGACAGGGCCTGGTCTGCATGGGGGATGGCTTCACTGGGCCTGGGCCTGGGCCTGGGCCTGAGGGAGCCCTGTAGTCATCTATTGCTGGGATGTGCATTTGGGGTTTTGTTGGAAATACCAAGGACTGCTCAGGAACATTCATTCTTATAAACCTGGCAATTTTGCTGTTAAATTAATTGAACATGGTAAAGCAAACAGGAATCTTGATCAGCAACTCCTGCACCTGTATCAGCCCCCTCCCCTTCCCAACTCCTTTATCCACTGGGCATCTTTTTTTTTTCCCTACATGACTGTGAGTATTATCTTATTTTATTTACTTTTTTGAGACGGAGTTTTGCTCTTGTTGCCCAGGCTGGAGTGCAATGGCGTGATTTCGGCTCACCGCAATCTCTGCCTCCCAGGTTCAAGCGATTCTTCCGCCTCAGCCTTCCCGAGTAGCTGGGATTACAGGCATGCACCACCACACCTGGCTAATTTTGTATTTTTAGTAGAGACGGGGTTTCTCCATGTTGGTCCAGCTGGTCTCGAACTCCTGACCTCAGGTCATCTGCCTGCCTCGGCCTCCCAAAGTGCTGGGATTACAGGTGTAAGCCACCATGCCCAGCCTTTATTCTTTTTTTTTTCTTTTGCCTTTTCTTTTCTTTTTTTTTTTTTTTGAGACAGGATCTTGCTCTGTCAGTCAGGCTGGATTGCAGTGATGCACAGATAGGGGGGCTGGCAAGCATAAGCGGGTGATGAAAGAGAATGGGATTTCTAGCTCACCACAGCATCTGTCTACTATGCTCAAGCCATCCTCACACCTCAGCCTCCCGAGTAGCTGGGACTACAGGCACCCGCCACCACGCTCAGCTAATTTTTTGTATTTTTAGTAAAGACGGGGTTTCACCATGTTAGCCAGGATGGTCTCAATCTCTTGACCTTGTGATCCGCCTGCCTCGGCCTCCCAAAGTGCTGGGATTACAGGTGTGAGCCACTGCGCCTGGCCAATTTTTTTGATTTTTAGTAGAGATGAGGTCTCATTATGTTGCCCAGGCTGGTCCCAAACTCCTGAGCTCAAAGTGCTGGGATTACATGTGTAAAACACTGTACCCACCCTAATTTATTCCTAAAATATTTTCCCTTAAGATATTTAAAATAGATTTCATTTTTTAGAGCAGCTTTAGGTTCAAAGGCAAATTGAGCAGAAAGTACAGTGAGTTTCCATGTTTCTCCGGCCCCTACACCCCGACAGCCTTCCGCGTTATCAGCATCCCGCACCAGAGTGGTGCTTTGCTGTAATTGATGAATCTACACTGACACATTATCACCAGAGTCCATGGTTTACATTAGGGATCACACGTGGTGTTGCAGATTCTATGAGTTTAGACAAATATATAATGACCTGTGTACACCACTGCAGTATCATACAGAGGAGTTTCACTACCTTAAAAAGCCTCTGGGCCGGGTGCGGTGGCTCACGCCTGTAATCCCAGCACTTTGGGAGGCGGAGGCGGGCGGATCATGAGGTCAGGAGATAGAGACCATCCTGGCTATCACGGTGAAACCCCGTCACTACTAAAAATACAAAAAATAAGCCGGGCGTGGTGGTGGGCGCCTGTAGTCCCAGCTACTCAGGAGGCTGAGGCAGAAGAATGGCATGAACCCGGGAGGCAGAGCTTGCAGTGAGCGGAGATCGTGCCACTGCACTCCAGCCTGGGAGAAAGAGCAAGACTCCGTCTCAAAAAAAAAAAAAAAGAAAAAAGAAAAAGCCTCTGTGCTCCACCTGTTCATCCCTCTCTTCCTGATAACTTTTGGCAACCACTGATCTTTTCACTGTCTCCATACTTTTGCCTTCTCCAGAATGTCATATTGTTGGAATCATACTATGTAGCCTTTTCAGATTGGCTTCTTCTACTCAGCAATATGCATTGAAGTTTCCTCCACGTCTTCTCATGGCTTGATAGCTCATTTCTTTTTAGCACTGAATAATATTCCACTGTCAGATATACTGCAGTTTATCCATTCACCTACTGAAGGACATTTTGGTAGCTTCCAGTTTTTGGCAACAATAAAGAAAGGTGCTGTAAGTATTCATGAGCAGACTTTTGTATGGACATAAGTTTTCATCTCATTTGGGTAAATACCAAGGGTACGACTGCGGGGGAGGTATGGTCAGAGTGATGTTTGGTTTTGCATTCCCACCAGCAATGAATGGGAGTTCCTGCTGCTCCACATCCTCATCAGCATTTGGTGTTGTCAGTGTCCTGGACTTTAGCCACTCTAATAGGTAGATATCTTATGGTTGTAAATTTCCCTAAAGACATAATGTGGAGCATCTTTCCACATGCTTGCTTACCATCTATATCTCTTCTTTAATGACGTGTCTGTTTAGGTTTTTGGCCCCCTTTTATTTGAGACAGGGTCTCACTGTCACTCATGCTGGAGTGCAGTGGTGCAATCATGGCTCATTATAACCTTGACCTTCCAGGCTCAGGTGATCTTCCCACCTCAGCCTCCTGAGTAGCTGAGACTACAGGCATGTGCCATTACACCTGGCTAGATTTTTATATTTTTCTTGTAGAGATGGGGTTTCACCATATTGCCCAGGCTGGTCTCAAACTCCTGGGCTCAAATGATGCACCCACCTTGGCCTACCAAAGTACTGGGATTACAGGTGTAAGCCACCATGTGCAGCCCGGACTGGCCCATTTTTAAAATCAGGTTGTTTATTTTCTTATTGTTGAGTGTTAAGAGCTCTTCCTGTGTTTTGATTATGCATCCTTTATCAGATATGTCTTTTGCAATATTTTCTTCCAGTCTGTGACTTTTCTTCTTACTCTCTTGATAGTGTCTTTCACAGAGCTCAAGTTTATTTTTAATCAAGTTCAGTTAATCAGTGGGTTCTTTCATGGATCTTTGTCTTTGGTGTTGTATCTAAAAAGTTATTGCCATACTCAGTCATCGAAATGTTCTCCTGTGTTATCTTCTAGGAGATTTACAGTTATGTTTTACATTTAAGTCTGTGATCTATTTTGAGTTAATTTTTGTGACGGGTGTAAGGTCTGTCTCTAGTTTCAATTTCTTTTTTTTTTTATGTCAATTGCTGGACATTTTTTTTTTAGACAAAAACATTCATATGTCTTAAAGGAGTGTTGCATTTTCCCTTTGTGGGAGCCTTTTGAAGGTCACACCGTTCAAAATTATTCTTAAACAATTTTCAAAACCCATTAGAGAAAGGTTTCCTCACAGCCTCAGTCAGGGGCATGAACTTCTTATCATTTGGAAACAGTGTGGGCTTCAGCCAAGCACAGATCTGTTCTCTTGTTAATCTGATTTTCTTTTCTTTTTCACCGTGGTTAGTAGCCAGGCGAGGCAAGGCATTTATCAGTGACAGCCAGTCTCAGGTAAACAACGAGTTGGGGAAAAGGTTACTGCCAACTTCGGTTCAGCCAGCAGCCATCCTATGGGGCCATGGCCAGAGAAACAGATCCGAAATTGTCTGGAAAGGAAAACACAAAGCAGAAACTACTGAGCTGGGTAGGAGAGGGCATCGGTGATTCAGTGCTTTATGGCTCCTTCCCTGTGAGTCATCAGAGAAGCAATTTTCTCTCAGGGATGGTAAGGACGGTTAGAGATGGGGGCCTGGTAAGTCGAGCTGAGTCTAATTCTGTAAAGTGAATAAACCACGGGAAAGGTGGGCTAAGCTGCAGTCTCCTGGCCTCGGGTGGTCGGGCTTGGATGAATGGGTCCCCCAGCAGCAGGTGGCTTGGGGACTTTCCCACAGTGGGCTGTCGAGGGCTGATCAGTGCCTTGGTGGATAGGGGAGGAGAGTGCCAGGTAAGCATTGCCATTCCCTCTTCCCCATCGCTTCCACTTTTCCCTCCTGGGCTCACTCCATCTCTCCCCTCTCTACTCTCATCTCTTCCCTCTCCACCACTCACTTGGTTCCTGCCCTCGCTCTAGACCAGGGTTTTGTCTGAGCTTCCTTCAAATCGTATCATTGAGTGTCTGCTCTGAGCCCAGACCCTGGACCAGCACTGGGCCCGGGGGGGCATGAAGGGATTGGAGAGCAGAGGCACGGGGTGTGTAAGACCTTGTCCCTTTTACAAAGAGCTGGTGGGGAGGTGCAGGACACGTCAATGCTGCCATGTTGACATCAGGATAATTTTTAATATTTGTGTCTTGATCATCATAATGTCAGAAAACCCATGAGTGTACTTTCATCTTTAAAAGTATCAGGCATCTGTATTGATATGCTTGACATTCACTGGATATGTACTCTCCGAAAAGATGAGTGGCTGTCTTTGGGAGGGGCAGGGTGGCAGGGGATGGGGTATAAAGGCGACTTATTTTTCATGATATATCCTTTGTCCCTTCAGAATTTTGTCCCACGTGGATGCATATCCTAGTGAAAAATCAGAATAGATAAAAGATCAAGTGATGTGCAACACAGACCCCTCATCTATCCCCTGAGTATTTGCGGGGCTGAGGGCAGTTGAGGGATAGGGTGAGGGTTAAGGAAGTCTTTTATGGATATTTTGTGCCAATTAAACATAAAATAAAACCTAAAAGGCAATAGTGCATTTACATTTTGATATGACTGTTTGGATCCTGCCACCTTAAAACGTCTTCCATTCCAAAATAGTCCCATCAAGTCCATGTCCTATGTCAGCACATACACCCCCCCCAAAAAAAGGTACCACTCTGCCCCACTGCAGCACTAAGGAGTAGCGTTGGCAATGCTCGCAGGACCATGGTGAGCTCAGATGGCCCCGGAAGGGAGGTGGGAAGGGGGTAACTGAGTTGTGTTTTGGGGCACAGAAGAGGCATGCACTGGGCATCTTGCTGACGTCAGTGTAGCTGAGCAGAGAGAGGGAGGTGGGGACATGGGAGGATGCAGTTCATTTTGTAGGCAATGGGGACCTCCTGGGTCATCCTCTGATGCCACATCCTAGCTGTGTGTTGTTGAGCAAGCTACTTAACCTCTCTGTACCTCACGTTTTCTCATCTATAAAATAAGAGGAGGCCAGGCGTGGTGGCTCACGCTTGTAATCCCAGCACTTTGGGAGGCCAAGGCAGGTGGATCACGTGAGGTCAGGAGTTCGAGACTGGCCTGGCCAACATGGGGAAACCCCGTCTCTACAAAAAATATAAAAATTAGCCAGGCGTGGTGGCATGCTCCTATAATCCCAGCTGCTCATTAGGCTGAGGCAGGAGAATCGCTTGAACCTGGGAGGTGGAGGTTGCAGTGAGCTGAGATTGCACCACTGCACCCTAGCCTAGGCGACAGAGGAAGACTTCGTCTCAAAAAATAAAAAATAAAAAAAATAAAAGTAACACGATGAGATTGATGGGAGTTTTGAATGTATGTCTACAGGTAGAGATCTTAGAACAGTGCCTGGCTCGTACTAAGTGTTTGATAAATGCTAGCTGTTGTTGCTTTTATGATTGTTACAGGAAGATTAATCTGACAAGTCGGATTAAAGGAGGGAGAAAATAGAGGCAGACAGATCAGTTAGGAGGAGCAGGGAGAGATTTGTTAAAGCATACAGAATCCAGCTAGATAGGAGGAGTGTCATAGTGTTCTGTAGCACTGTGGGATGACTTAGTTAACTATAATATATAGTTTCAAGTAGCTAGATAGTCAATGCTCCCAACACAAAGAAATGATAGATGTTTGGGATGATGGATATGCTAATTACCCTAATCTGATCACTTACATTGTACGTAAGGAAACATCACTATGTACCTCTAAATATTAGGACTATTGTGCGTCACAGTGATCAAGGCAGTGAAAACTCAGATGAATATTAGAGAAAAATTGAGGAAAGAGTTTAGTAATTAGCTACATATGCAGGGTGAGGAAGGGAGCAAAGTCCAGAGTGACTAAAAGCTTGGAGTTTGGGTGGTTGGGAGGATGCTGAAGCCATTAACAGAGGTCCAAGTCAAGAAGGGCAGTGGTTTTGTGGGGATGGAGGGAGCGGAGTTTAATTTTAGATGACTTTGAGGCAACAGTGGGACATGACAGCAGAAATGTCAACAGCGCAAGTGGAAATGGGTGACTGGTGCCCATGCAGAGGGGATACGGTTGTCACGAATAGATTCACAACTCAGAGTGGATTGTGTCCATGTGGGAAGCGGGGAGGAGGAGGGAGGCTGGACTGCGTAATGTTATACAAGCGGAAGGGAGGGAGGCGCCGTCACAGCCCTGGGCAAAGGGGCCCAGGAGAATTAGCACTGGGAACAAGACCTGGAGGGTGAAGCAGGAGGTCGATGTTGACATTTTAAAGCACAGAAAACTTTCTAGTTATGACATTTCAAGTAAAATATTAAAAGCAAGTTAGACAATATGAAGCTGCTTTGCTTACTTTTGTGTTGGGCAGGATAAATCATAAAGAGAAACAACACACAAGAAAACAACAGGCCAGGCGTGGCGGCTCACGCCTGTAATCCCGGCACTTTGGGAGGCCGAGGCGGGCGGATCACGAGGTCAGAAGTTCAAGACCAGTCTGGCCAACATAGTGAAACCCCATCTCTACTAAAAATACAAAAAATTAGCCAGGTGTGGTGGTGTGCGCCTGTAATCCCAGCTACTCAGGAGGCTGAGGCAGGAGAATCACATGAACCCAGGAGGCAGAAGTGGAGGTTGCAGTGAGCCGAGATTGCGCCATTGCACTCCAGCCCAGGTGACAGTGCAAGACTCTGTCTCAAAAAAAAGAAAAAGAAAAAGAAAAAGAAAAAGAAAACAACATCAGCTGGACCACAGTATGTGCTGAGTCAATGTCTCTCAGCTTCATTCCAATAGTTCCCCCATCTTAGACATTTTCTTCCCATCCTTCCCGTCTTGTCATTCTTCCAGCAAAGATTTATGGAACACCTTCTGGGTGCCAGGCTCTGGGAACACAAGAACAGCTGAGGTCCCCAGGCCTGGGGCAGTTCACAGGAGGAGAGTCCCAGGACCCTACCACTTTATGCCACTGTGTCACTGTGGGATACTATCTTTGTTTAAAGGATGCTGCGTTTGTTGCTGTTCCCCACTCCCCCACCCTTCCAGTCCACTTGCTGCTATAGTTTGAATCCCAGTACTGAGTTCTCAGATGTTCTCTTGCCTTCACTCTTTTTTTTTTTCCGAGATAGGGTCTTGCTCTGTTGCCCAGGCTGGGGTGCAGTGGTGCAATCACAGCTCACTGCTGCCTCAACCTCCAGGGCTCAAATGATCCTCCTGCCTCAGCCTCCCAAGTAGCTGGGACTGAAGGCATGCACCACCACACCCAGCTAATTTAAAAAATTTTTGTAGACACAGGGTCTTGCTATGTTGGCCAGGCTGATCTGGAATTCCTGGGCTCAAGCAATCCTCCTGTGTCAGCCTGCTAAAGTTCTGCGATTACAGGCATGAGTCACCGTGCCTGGCCTGCCTTCACTCTTATTTAGCCTATTTCTTTCTAGAACTGGTCTTTCCAACCTCATGTTGAGACAACTTCCCAGGCTGGGTCCTCCCCGCTACTCAGCCTGGAATTCTCTTTCCATGTCTGCTCCCCTGCTCCACTCCCACTCATCCCTCACAGCCCTTCCCCTAGGAGGCTTCCTGGATTCTCCTGACTGAGTGGGCTCCACTAGTGTTCTGTAGATTTCCCTGCTATTGTGGATTCTTGGTGATAAATGAATAGAGTCAATGAACCAGCTCACACAGTTATAGAATGTGGCTGAACTTGCTGTGCAACTTTTAGAGCCCATGAGTGACAAGAGGATTAAGTGAGATTTCAGGATGTGCCATGTGTGATTCGCTGCCCTTCTCCATGCCTGGTGTGAGTGAAGCATGCATCTTCCAAATCAGTCCTATTTTCACCTCGGTTAAGATTTTTTTGAGGTTGGTTGCGGTGGTTCACGCCTGTAATCCCAGCACTTTGGAAGGCTGAGGTGGGAGGATCATTTGAGGCCAACAGTTTGAGACCAGCCTGGGCAACATAGTGAGACCCTGTCTCTATAATATATTATATATATATAAAAAATATATATAATATATTATATATATATAAATATATATATTATATATATTAAAAATATATAATATATTATATATAAAAATATATATAATATATTATATATATAAAAATATATGTTATATATAAAAAATATATATTATATATATAAAAATATATGTTATATATAAAAATATATAATATATATAAAAGCTTTTAAAAATAAAATTTTCTTAAATGATTTAAAACCACATTAATAAATTTATATAAATTCAATATCTTTATTTTCTTTTTATGTACTTTAAGTGCCTGACTGGGCAATTTATGACTTCAGCAAGCAAAAACCCTTCCAAGTAATATATATATATTTTTTTTTCCTGAGACAGGGTCTCATTCTGTCATCTAGGCTGGAGTGCAGTGGTGTGATCATGGCTCACAGCAGCCTCAACCTCCTGCTGGGCTCAAGCGACCCTCCCGCCTCAGCTTCCTGAGTAGCTGGGACCACAGGTGCATGCCACCACACCCAGCTAAATTTTGTATTTTTTGTAGAGATAGGGTTTCACCATGTTGCCCAGGCTGGTCTTGAACTCCTAAACTCAAGTGATCTGCCCTCCTTGATCTCCTAAAGTGCTGGGATTACAGGTGTCAGCTACGGTGCCCAGCCCCAAGTAACTTTTCAAAAGTCTTATAAATCTAATAACACATTAAAAATTTAAATATAGCAAATCTCAAGATTTCTTACATATTCCAGCATTGTTTACAAATTTATTCAAATTCTGGCACATCTTTCCATTTAAAATCCTAAGTCTAAAAATCAATGCCTGTTTTAAATTGGAATCACAGCTGATCTGTCAAATAATCTGAAATGTCAAATTCTCTGAAAAGTGACACTTTAAACTCCAAATACAGAAAGGATCTCTAATCTTAACCCCAAAGTACTGACACTATGGGTTTCATTTCACTATAAACTCTCCTGTGGCTGAAAGTGGCCTCACCCTGTAAAAAATCCCAGGCAAAAAATTCAAGGCTAAATCCTCTAGTTCCAGAGAAAGGTCAAACTCCACCTGTGGCGCCGACATCTTGGTACAGAAGAAAAAGTGTCTCTTTTCAAAGGGGGTAATAACTTATTAAAACAAAAGTGATAGTTAATTTTTTTTTTCAATTTAAAATGGAAATCCAGTGTTGTCCATGTGCCTGCTAGTTGAACAGACTGAGCTGGGAACACAATCAGAATGTTGCTGTTATTTGAACAAGCCCAGCTGATGGGAGGTTCTCAAAGGTCAACTATTATTTTGTTTCCCCAGCCCTGGGATGAAAACCTCAGCCTCCCCTGACCTTTATGATTTGTCTTAGGTAACAGGTGTCCTTCCTTCTCTCTGAGCCTCTCAACACGATCTCAGTTCAACAATGAGAACGGCCTATGCCATATGACATCCACGTTTCCAGGGTGGGACTTCCATTCTTCCAGGGAGGACCTGCCACAGGGGCGCCAGCACTTCCTCCCCATTTCCTGGAGGAGGAAGGGCTGGGGTGCTGGGGACAGAGGTGAAATAAGGGAGGCAGGGGCCTTATAAGCCTACACTGGCTCTGTGTCCTCTGGGTCCCCACAGGGTTGAGTGCGGAAAGAGGCTGCTCCCATCTGTAGTCTTGGCCACTTACTCCTCTGCGGCCCTAGGGATGTGGGGTGAGAGGGGACTTTCAGTTTCTCTGTACTGGGACCTCTTGGCTGGGACCTCTCTGCCCCTCTATGAAGCCCTTTTGGACAAACCCTAGACAGCCCATTCTGGCTTCCTCTCCTGCGTGGCTCACTTGTCTCTTTTTCCATATCTGTAAGCATCAGGCAAACTTAGTCTTTTTTTTTTTTTTTTTTTTTGTGACAGGTCTCACTTTATCACCCAGGTTGGAATGCAGCAGCTCAGTCATAGCTCACTGTAGCCTCAAACTTCTGGGCTCCAGTGGTCCCCCTGCCTCAACCTCTCCCAAATCACTGGGACTACAGGTGTGTGCCATCAGGGTTCACACCTGGCTGATTTTTAAAAATTTTTTGTAGAGATAGGGTCTTGCTATGTTGCCCAGGCTGGTCTCAAACTCCTGGGCTCAAGCAATTCTCCCACTCTGGCTTCCCCAAGTGTGGGGAGTCACCGTGAGTCACTGTGCTAGGCCCTCATCTCTCTTTAACATTAGTTAAAAGGGAGGATGGAATGCACACATCTAGCTCCAGGTGGAAGCAATACTAGATGTGCGTGTTCCATCCTCCATTTTAACCCAGAAACTTCCATTTTTTTCTGTAACAGTCACTCCCAGAGTTACTTAGTTCCAGTTTTCTATTTAAGCAGATTGATTTCTTGCTACTAGTTCATTCTTTCCATATTGTCCCTATTCACCAGTTTTTTATTTGGATGTATCTGTTGTCTGTGTATTTTAATTAAGAGGTCTTTCAAGAGCCCATTGGCAGTTGTTGTGCCAAGAAGTGGCTTGGAGCAGGTGATGGGGGCAAACAATGTCTGCCAGGCCACGTAGCTTCAAGATAAACCCTTCTCCAACCCAACTGCCAGCCAGAAACTTTGTTTTAGAAATTCTAGAGGAACCACTGCTCGTAAGTATGAATCTTTGCAAGTTTGCAAATGTCAATTTGTTTTGTGTGTGTGTGTTTTGAGACAGGGTCTTCCTCTCACCCAGGCTGGAGTACAGTGGCACAATCATGGCTCACTGCAGCCTCCAACTCCTGGGCTCAAGCGATCCTCCTGCCTCAGCCTCTGTAGTAGGTAGAAATGTAGGTGTGTACGACTACACCTGGCTAATTTTTTATAGAGAATGGGTATCATTATGTTGCCCAGGCTGGTCTCGAACTCTTGAGCTCCAGGGATTTTCCCACCTCAGCCTCTCAAAGTTCTGGGATTACAGGCGTGGGCCACTGTATTGGGCCAGTTTGTTGTCTTCACACTCATTTCTCTGACTAGCTCTGTGGCCTTGGTTAATTTACTGAGCTGTTTTCAGCCCGAGTTTCTCATTTGTAAAATGAGGACCTTAATTCCTCCCTCCGAGGACCATCATGGGGCAATACCAGGCATGACTGCTCAGCGCATTACTTCCCTTTCTTCCTCTTGCCAAAATGTTCCTGTACTTTCCTTCCTTCAGTAGATGCAGGTGATCCTTTGCTTGCTGCCTCAGCACCCTAGACATGTGGTGACCCATTCCCTGTCCCTGCAGAGCTGGACAGAGGCAGAAGCAAGACTGGTCCCCAGGCATCTGGACGATCCGCCATTCTTTCTTGGGCAGTCCAAGCACTGAGAGCCCCTCTGCTGCCTGCCCTGATGTTGACAGCAGGTACCATCAAGTCTCCCTGGTGGTCACATTTTCTAGCCTTGCAGACAAGATGACGAGTGTCTGCAGCTGGTGCAGGGATCTGACTTGGCGCAGTCCCTTACATCAGGGGAAAAAAGATAAGGTACAGTCACCTCTCACCTCAGTAAAGGGTGTCATGCACCAGTGCCTTCCAGTGAGCAGGCATCTTGACATTTTGTGTGATGGGACTTGTTCATGATTTGAATGTGCTGCTGCCCTCTGGATAAGAAAGGGCATGCACTAGCCAGGGAGGCCTTCCCCAGTATGAGTGAAGGACTGAAAGGCTTGGTGGCGGGACAACCAAAGAGGCGGGGGGCGGGGGGAACAAAGGGGACCGGCCATGAATGAGTGATTGTAGAAAAGAAATTAAAGAAGTACATCTTGGTATTGAGCCAACAGATTTGTGCTTCACATCTGATTCTAGGTATTGTGATGATGAGAGTGTGAGATTAGAAAGGCCTGCTGAAATCCCCCCGTGCACTTACAGACAGGGGACCACTAGGTAGTCACTGCAAAGGATGGAGTAGCTTGAGCCAGGGGTTCGAGACCAGCATGGGCAACACAGGGAGACCTCAGCTCTACAAAAAAATAAATTAGCTGGGCGTGATGGTGCGTACCTCTAGTTCCAGCTACTTGGGAGGCTGAGGCAGGAGGATCATATGAGCCCAAAAGTTGGAGGCTGCAGTGAGCCAAGATAGTACCACTGCACGCCAGCCTGGGAGACAGTGAGACTGTGTCTCAAAAGCAAAAAAAAACAAAAACAAAAACAAAAAACAAACAAAAAAACCATCAAGTAAATCCATATTGAAATGGAAAGATGCTTACTTTACATCTTGTAGAGTAAAAAAGAAGCAACGTGTACAATATGACTCTTCTATGTAAAGCTGATTGTGTGTCTGTGTGTGTGTGTGTGTGTGTGTGTGTGTGTATAGAGAGAGGTGGCTGGAAGGACATTCATCACAATGTTAACCACGGCTGGCACTGACGGTGGGATTTCAGGTTATTTTGTGCTTTTCTGTCTCATTTCCATTTGTTATAATGAGCATATATAATTTTCAGAGCCCCCAAGCGCTATTTTCATTTAAATGAAAAGAGCAGGCTCTTTCTGTACTTTGCATTCTCTCTTGAGGAAATCATCCACTTCCTCTCCCACCACTTGTAACTGCTGGGATGCTGATAATAGGGCTTCTCTCACAGGCTGCCATGAGGGTGAAATCCACATCTGAAGGCACAGGCCCGGTCTGTTAGCATCTAACATAAGCTGACTGGAAACGCTTTCCTCTAGAAGAGGAAGAGTGGGGCCGGGTGGGGTGGGAAGGGCTGAATCACTGACTCGGTCTCGAAGCTTGCGTCTTAGCATTTAATGACTGAGACCAGGGCCACTGCACTGGGCCACTCCGGGGTCCTATTCAGACTATAGTATACGCAATCCCCAGACATTTGGGGAATGGCACTGTGACTGCACCTGGGTGCCGCAGTGGCTTCCTGTGATGCCAGGCTCAGAGGTGAAGACACCAGCCTGCCTTCTTCACTTAAGTAATGGAGGCAAGGTCAGACGCGGTGGCTCACGCCTGTAATCCCAGCACTTTGGGAGGCTGAGGCGGCAGGATCGCTTGAGTCCAGGAGTTCAAGACCAGCCTGGGCAACACAACGAGACCCCTCCCGCCTCTATAAAAAAGTCAAAAAATTAGCTGAGTGTAGCGGTGCATGCCTGTAGTCCCAGCTACTCGGGAGACTGAGGTGGGAGGAGTGCTTGAGCCTGGGAGTTTGCACGGCTACAGTGGGCCATGACTGCGCCACTGCACTCCAGCCTGGACAACAGAGTGAGATCCTGTTTCAAAAAAAAAAAAAAAGAGTAGTGGAGACTATTCACCTTACCTTATTGACCTTGAGGACGGCGGGGGCTGCGGGGATATCCCAAGATGAGGAAGGTGAAGGACCTGAGGCAGAGTCCAGGGCCTGGTGGAGGCTCAACAAATAGTCGTTTGTTCCCCTGAATGATGAGACATTTTCCAGGTGGACAAGAGGGGAATTAGGTGTGTAGAGACAAAGGAGATAAAGCTGCACATCTGGGTGACGGTAGTGAAGGCAGGATAGAGAAAAGCAGCCTAGTGGCAACTTTTTCACAGGCATGGATTTGTCTACATTAAAATCAGTTTCTTGAAACATCATTTTTGGAAATGCCTTCACAGAATGAAACACAAGTGTATTACTGGTGTACACAACTCCAACATATAGAAAGGTGTCCCCTCCCCATGCCAACCCCTGCCACAAATGGCTGCCAGACTCCCTAGGCGGACACAGCCACCAGCTCACACTGGGATCGGCAATGCGTGCTGCTGCTGGACAACTTTCCAGGAAGCCACTCCAGTGACAGCGGTATTTCAAAATGCTTTTTGCTGTTGCAGTCTCAGCTAGGATCTTGGCCCTCAAGGAATGGATTTGACAATGTGCAACCCTAGACTTGTGGAATAAAATAGACCAGAGGAGGAGGAGAATAGGGTCTTGGAGCATCAGAGATACTATTCTTCTGACATGGGCTTCTAGAAAAACTTAAGATTGTAGCAAAGAATCAGAAATTCTATTGTCAGCAGAGAAGCTCCCTCATTGAAAAAAAAAAATGGGCTGACGATTGCACTTGCTAGATATTAGTAATCAAAGCTAGTGCGTCTATAATATGCTTCCTGTTCTAAGAACCCTGCATACATGGGCTTCTGTAGTCCTCACTCCCATCTTACAGATGAAGAAACTTTGCAGGGTTGACTTGCCCAAGGTCACACATCAGCAGTGAAGCCACTTCAGTGGGGGCAGCAACAACTATTGGTATATGTCCTGGTTTATGCAATGTCTCTCAAATGCCACATCTGATTCCTATGCTTGCCCCGAGAGACACGTGTTTACAAATAGGGAAATGGTAGCTCAAAACGGGGAGGGGCCTTGCTCAAAGCTTCATGGTTAATGAGGAAACCAGGTTTTCAGATTCCAGATCTTGTGCTTTTTTTTTTTTTGGTAAACTCAGGGGTCTGTGAGTTCTTTAGGAGCAGGATTTTCTGTTTTCAATGTGATAATCTTGAAAACAAAAAAGCCAAAACCCCATTGGCAATGAAAATTTGCAATCTGAAAGACGTTTTAGGGGAACAGGCGTTGGTTTTTGAGTTGTCTTTGCAGTACTTTAGGGCCTGCAGAGATGGAAAATGGATAAGCGGTTTGCTTGTTCCCAAATGGGAGGAACAATGAGTTTTACCAGGCCCTTTCATTCGGTGATAATGTATTTTAAAAATCTCATTTTCTCTTCAAATTTATTTCAGTCTGTTTTTGATATGACTTGAATTAAAAAAAGAAAAAAAAAAAAAAACTTCAGGTGATGTAGCCAGAAGTTGAGCTAAAAGCAGAGCTTTCTAGATTGGAGGTGGTTGCTAAGGAGTCCTTCCATTCAGATGGGATCAGCCTGCAGCTGTGATGGTTTCACACTGAGGCCAGCAGAATTGTGCCCAACTGAGCTTTCTTATGAGGTGGCCCCACAGGCCTCGGAGCAGACAGACCAGCCGGACAGTGGAGGTGCCAAGCACCATCCGTGCCGGAACGAGCCCTGGCAGTCACAAGAGAAGCGGAAGCTTCTGGTGGCAGAGGGAGGCGGGAGCTCTGCCACCCGGGGGAAGCTCCCCAACTGCTGCCGTTTTGCACAGGCCACAAGATACGGCAAGGAAGGCCAGGGATGAGCTAGAAAGAGGGATTCTCGTGAATCCTGAGATAAAACCAGGATTCAATAATAGCTGACAGCCATCAGAAAGGTGCAAGTTCCTGTCATTTTGTTTCAAATTCCCTAAATTGTCATCTTTTGAAGTGAACTTTCCACGTGCAGGCCTTTTTACCATTTCACAAAAGCCCTTTTATGTGTGTGGATCCATTTGGGCACCTAGGACAGATGAGAAGGTCGAGGCCCAGAGACTTTGTGCTCCAGGGCTGCGCAGCTGGTTCTGTCTCCAGCAACACAGCTCTGACAACCAGCGGGAGTAGGCTTTATTGTTTTATTTTTATAGGGTAAAAAAGCATAATTGAGAAGTAGCTAAGTCCCTAAACGACACTCATGGAAAGCTGTGGTGGTTCCACAGCCAGCCCATAACAAAGCCACTGCCATTTGCCTCATAGCAGTTTAATGAAATGGCAAACAGCACCCGGGAGGAAATGAACAGTGCCATAGGTTGGAAACTGAAACCTGCACATTTGTGGCAAATGTCACTGCATTTACAGGGAGAGAAAGAAAACCACATGACTCTTCTTTGTATGTTAAAGACTTTTTATTTTCAGGCCCTTTCAGAGGAATCAATTCCTTTAAACCTTTGTAAAATGCCACAGGAGCCAAGGTTAAGCGATGCTTTTAACTTAGGAACTGACCCTCTCCAGGCAGAGTCTCCAAAGTAGATTACCTCGAAATTTCAAAGAGGCAGTTCTACAAGAGGAGCCTTTGAAGAAGCCAATCCTGTTTTCCATTGTTTTGCTTTCACACACGGGTTGAACTTGAACTCTTACCTTTCTCCATTTATAACAACCAAAATCCACCTTAAAAAATCAAAGGCTGGGAGCGGTGGCTCATGCCTGTAATCCCGGCATTTAGGGAGGCCAAGGTGGGTTGATCACCTGAGGTCAGGAGTTCGAGACCAGCCTGACCAATATGGTGAAACCCCCATCTCTACTAAAAATACAAAAATTAGCAGCGGCGGGTGCCTGTAATCCCAGCTACTCAGGAGGCTGAGGCGGGAGAATCGCTTGAACCCGGGAGGCGGAGGATGCAGTGAGATTGCGCCACTGCACTCCAGCCTGGGTGACACAGCGAGACTTTCTCAGAAAAAAAAAAAAAATTGCAAGTAATGGCTTCTGTGGAAGCAAATCTTGATTTAGGGGCACACAACCTGAGACTCCACCCGCTCAGGATAGACAGACAGGAAAGCCAAACGCTCTCTGGGGACCACACTTGGGGCTGCCCACACTGCTCTGTAGTTGCCAAGAGGGTGGGAAGTAGAGATAACAAAGAATGTGGAATGAAGCTCTTTGTCATCGCCGTCTCGGATGGTAGACTCCCGCCTGGGAGAGGCTGCTGGCTGGCTGCTGCCAGGCTCACACCCCCACAACTGCAATTCCTCTTTCCCAGTCACACTGCTATTTATTTCTAAACATCAGCACTGTAATCAGAATGATTTCCATGAAAACAAAAGCTCATTTTCCTAACTTGCGCTCCAATGCGTATGTCGTTAAAGGGCTGAGATTAGAGTCTGGTGGTTTTCCTGTTTCAACCTGACTTTCTGTCCCCAGGGTATATAAATAAACTACTCTTAAGTTTGCTCCTCGAATGACAATCAGTTTTATTGCATGAGTTATGGTGTCCAAATGAGTTAATTTGCTTTTTTCACCGTCTGAGTCAAAATAGGCCACCTGCAGGCCTCATGCAAAATGTAGAAACTGGATAGATGATTTAAGCCTCAAAAACGCAAGTGATTTTTTGGGGTGCACGCAGGAGAGGGCGGATCTGGGGTGTGGTCAGCAGATGACCAGCCGTGGCCTTGAAGGCAGTTTCCAGTCTCTGCAGCTGCGGGATGAGGGTGAAGCCCCCCATTTGCTCTGCTCAGCCTCTCTGTTGAGTATTTAAGAAATCCTGATTCTCCGTGTTCTGCCAGGGAGGATACTGCAGAAGAGTGGACTGGTGTGGCCATTATTTCAGCATCTTCACCATGTACGGGCCTTGTAATCTGTAGCCGATCTTTCTATAATAATTCCTGGTGCCGACCCCTGCAGAAAAATCGAAGTTAAAAAAGGAGCATTCACTTTAGCAATTCTCAAAAGTCGGCATGTGCTTCCCTCAGCCTTACACTCTCTCCCACCCAGAGACCAAATTCTCTCCCACATAAAATCTCAGCTTAATAAGTTTGGAACATTATTACTTTGAATTCAGGCTGCATTAAAATATAGAAACTGCTAAGTGGAGAGAAGAAGACTCTTTCCCTGATTTTTAACTCAAGCTCAGGGTATGTGACACACACACTCACAGGCAACAGCAAACGTGTGCACCCGTGTGTTGGAGCCTGCGTATTCACTACCCTACTGGCAACACCAGGCACCACCTTAGGTGCTACAGGTGAAGGAGAAGAGGTGGATTTACTGTCTGAGCTGCCTATGCTCCAGATGAGGCCAAACGATAGACGGTTTCCCAGAAGTTTTAAAGAGAGAAGAGTGGGGGAAAAAATGGGATCTCCACTCAGCCCCAGTAGCGAAGGTACACTTGTGGCTACTGTCAGAAGTGTTGGAAGTATACAAGGCTTAACAGGAAAAAGTGTTTTCCTCATCAGTTGGTGTCAAAGAAGCAGCTTTGCTGGGATGGCCCTGGCTCATGAAGTGTGGTTTGTGAAGAGAAGTGTAGGTTTTCCATACCAAGCAACTGTCCAGTTCTCTGTTGACACCAACTGGGTGTTCTATAATTTAACTCAATTTGGACCCTACCTACTCTGATGAGCGCAAGGCCCCCCAGTTCTGAGCTCAGTCCAGAGACTGCCCCCAACTTCAGACACCAATTGCAAGCAGAGGGGCTGCAGGTTGCCTACAACTGCTGTCCAAGTTGGCTACAAATGGAGGGTTCCTACAAGCCCCTCCTCAGATTTGATAATTTGTCATAATGGCTCACAGAGCTCAGGGAAACATTTACTTACGTTTACCAGTTTATTACAGGATATGATAAAAGATACAAGTGAACAGCCAGGTGAAAAGGCACACTGGGTGAGGTCTGGGAGGGTCCCGAGCACAGAAGTGTTTGTCCCCACCGCGTTGGGGTGCACCATGCTCCCAGCAAGTGGATGTGTTTGCCAAAATGAAAAGTTCTCTGAACCCCATCTTTTAGGGATTTTTATGGAGTTTCATTGTGTAGGTATGATCAATTACTAACTCCATTTCCAGCCCCCTTCCCTCCCCGGAGGAGGGAGGGTGGGGCTGAAGGTTCAACCCTCTCCTCATGGCTTCATTTTTCTGGTGACAGGTCCCCACCCAGGAGCCCACCAAGAGTCACCAGATTAGAACAAAAGATGCCCCTTGAACCCCTGCAGCTCAGAAAATTACAAGGGTTTTAGGAGCTCTATGTCAGGAACCAGGAACAGAGACCAAATTATATTTTTTATGATGTCTCAACATTCAAGGAACATGAACTAGTTGAAGTTGGTACTAAAGGTCCATTACCCCTGCATATTGGACGCATTCCTCAAACAGCCCGGCTGTCTGTGCCTGGGAGTGAGACAGCTGAGGCTGGGCGGGGAGAGCGATCAGCAGCACCTGCCACAGGCACTCCCTCCGTCCTTCCCTCCCTCTCTGCACGTCCCTGCACTGGGCTTTGGAGAAGTGCATCTCCTGATTCTCCTCTAGCTCGCTGGCTGCCCTTCCTTAGTCTCCTTTGCTGCTTCCTCCTCGTATCCCTAACTGAAATCACTGCAATATGCAGCTCTTCTGTGCACGCGCTTCCTGTGACACTGAGCGTAAACCTATGTATACACTGGCAACCCCTAAATCTGTCACTCAGAGCTCTCCTTGAGCCTCAGATTCGTCCACAGGTGCTGCATGACCCACCTGAATGTCTAAATTGCATGGAAGGTGTAGCAGGTCAAAAACCCAACTCCTGGTAACCTGCCCCGCAAGCTCCCTCCGCAGGAAGCTCCCTCTCTGTAAATGGCCACTCCACTGCCAGTTGTTCAGGGCAACTCATTCCCATCTTTCTGTCAAATTCCAAATCAAGAGACTTGAATAAAATGAAAGAGAAAGGCCTGAGGCTACATGGGGGGGACAGGATTCTAGGGAGCAGGAAAAACAAATGTGAAAGTCCTGAGACGGGCGTGCACTCAACTTACTCAAGGAACAAGGAGGCACCATCATGCAGGTCTCCTAAGGAATCTGGCTTTTATTCTGAGTGAGATGGAAGAATGAGAGGATGCTGGTCAAAGGAGGGACATGATCTGACTGCTGTTTTGAGAACAGAATGAAGGCTCCAGGAGGGCAGGGATTTTGTTTTATTCACTGTAGAGCTGCCAGTACCCAGAGTGATGCCTGTCACATGTGAGGTACACGGTAAATATTTGCTCACTGAATGGATATGTGACCAAGGGCAGAAATAGGGAGATCAGGTAGGAAGCGATGACAATAATCCAGGTGGGAGATGGTGGTGGCTCGGGCTGAGTCACAGTGGTGAAAAGTACCCAGAGCCTGGGCATATGTGGAAGGCAGAGTGAAAAGAATCTGCCAACGGATGTGGGGTGTGACGGGAGCCAAGGCGACTCCAGGGTATTTAGCCTGAGTAAAGGAAGAGTCTGGAGAAACAGGAGCCACCACTGCCTGGGAGTGAGGAGATGGTGGGAAGAGCTTGCAAGAGGAATCAGGAGTGGGGCTCCAGTCAGGCTGCATGTGGAATGGCTGCTAGACATTCATGCCAAGATGCTGAAGACTCTGATTTTGGAAGCTTTTGTTGTTCTTAAAGAGACACAGGGAGTGCTATGGGTTAGGTATTTGTCTCCTCTGAAACTCATGTTGAAACTTAATCCCTATTACTGAGAGGTGGGGCTATGAAGAGGTGACTAGAGTGTGAGGGCTCTGCCCTCATGAAAGGATTAATCTATTCATGGACTAACAGGATAATGAGTTCTAGTGGTTTTACAAGAAGAGGAACAGGGTCCTGAGCTGGCACATGCAGCCCTACCACTGTGTGATGCCATGTGCTATCCTGTGCCACCGCAGGACTCCACAGAAAGTCCCCACCTGCAAGAAGGCCCTCACTAGATCCAGCCCTTTGACCTTGGACTTTTCAGCCTCCAAAACTGTAATAAATAAATTCCCTTTCAGGTATCCTGTTATAAGCAATCGAAAATGGACTTAGGGACGGTCTCTTTTCTTGGATGTTGCTTTGCAAGGTAATTTCGGACGGGGGCAGTTGTCTTCCAAGGGGCTGAAGTGGTGATGAAGAGTGAGAAGGCAGAGCCACCTGGCTCCTTTTTGAAATTGCCGAACCCTGAATTAATCAGTCCCAAAGCTTCTCTATATATTTCTTATGAAATATTTTCCATTTGGTTTAAGCCATTTTGAGGATATTTTTGCTTTTAAGTATACAGCTCGGTGTTGCTAAATACATTCACACTGTGGTACAACTATCACCACCATCCATCTCCAGAACTCTTTATCTTGTAAAGCTGAAACTCTGTACCCACTAAACACCAACCCTACTTGCTCCCCCTCTCCCAGCCCCTGACAACCCCCGTTCTACTTTCTGTCTCCATGAATTTGACTCCTGTAGATACCACATGTAAGTGGAATCATGTAATATTTGTCCTTTTATAACTGGCTTATTTCACTTAGCACAATGTCTTCAAGGTTCATCCATGTTGGGTATAAGTCACTGAGCTGAGTTTTCTGTTACTTGTTAACTAAAAGTATCATAACTGACAAGGAAGCTTGAGGACAGGAAGAGAAAAACAAATGAGGTCAAGCCACTATTTAAAATCAGAATTCGGAGTAATTCTGAACACACTGCTCTCCTGCTTAGAATCACTAATGATGTGTCCCAAGATAAAGTTCAAATTCCTTAGCCTGATCCACAAAGTCTTTCCTGCCCAGACCCTTCAACTTTAGTTCCTGGCACAGTTGACTAGGTCCAGGATCAGCAAACCAGCCCAGCATCACCACGCGGGCTCAGCCACTGCCTCTGGGCGCTTCCCTCAGCAGCCGCCCATTCTGTCTGCTAAGGCCCTCCCAGCCACCCTCCCACTCATCCCCCACCAGGAGACCTGTGCAGATACTTCCCCTATCTACAAAGAAGCCAGAATTCACAGCACTCTCTCTCCAGGCTGGCTGTGTGCCTTAATTAGAGTTCCACTGTTTTAGTAATCACACTGCGCAGGTCTGTCTCCCTCCCTAGGATGTCAGCTCTTTAAAGTCAATGGCTTCTATCATCAGTGTCTGGCATATAATCAAGATGCAATAAATGTTTGCAGATCTCTCATATGCTGTTCAGCTATTCTTATGTTGTGTATATACAAAGAAATGTGTTCCTGGAGGATGTATTTGAAAAAAAAATTGGCTCTATGTTGGGTGTTGGGTAATGGAATGATTCAATGTACAAGAGCTGAAGGGCAGGATGACTTCTTAACCTAGGTACAAATTTCCTACCTTGTTAGCTGAGAGATTAAGAGGCAGCTTCCTGACTTATATTATTATCTCTATCTAACAAAAACTGCCCCAAATCTTTCAGAAATACTTCTGGCTTTTTATGTTTCTATTTTACTTTTACAAAACAGATACTGTTTTCCATGGACTTAAAACAATGTATCTTGGAGAATGTCAAACACACAAAAGTGCAGAAGACAGTGCACTGAACCTCCCTGCACCCATCACTCAGCTTTAGCAGGGACAATTCACCCAGGAGATCTCTCTCTTTTTTTTTTTTTTGAGATGGAGTTTTGCTCTTGTCACCCAGGCTGGAGTGCAATGGCATGGTCTTGGCTCACTGCAACCTCCGCCTTCCACCCAGGAGACTTCTGAGTTTCGAGCTTTCTACTCACGTGAACTTAGAAAACATCTCTAACATTTCCTTTTGGTTCTGCTCAGCTCAGTTCCTGGAGACATGTTTAGTTTTGCTCTTTTATATGTCCTCTGTCAAATGAAAATGATGGCCTAATTTTAAGATGGAAGATGTGTAATTGTTGGTCAAAGTGCTTTACTTCCAAAAATATGCATCAACCTATATTTGTCTACCATAAATGGCTGCAGAGGTGAGAGAGAAGAGTTCCTTACATCTAACACAGGACTGGACAGTCCTTGGATAACCAGAAAGTTCAACAATCAAGAGTGCCCTGATTTCTTAAGCATGCTGGTTAAAAGAGCTGCTTTACTGGGGTACATCTAAGCATTTCTCATCATGATTCCCACGGAGCTACAGGCTCCTTGGGCCTTCTACTTTTTCCTTTCTACAGGGGGTGTGCCCTAGAAACGATTACCACCTTGGGCAGGGGCACTCAGGCCTCACGATGGGCCTTTTGGAGGAAAGCTGTATATTGAAGTTCTTGTCCTTATTTTCAATAAGACGCAGCAGGCCTGAGATGGCGAGCTCAGCCCTGAGATGGAACACTGTCTCCAGGTCCTCTGAGAAGTGCTGGCATCCAGGGAAGGGAACTTCACCTCTAGTCAGTCTGGACTCTAACCTCTGCTCACCTAAAGAGCTAAATTTCTTTCTGCCTCTTGTTTTTTGAAAGAAAAATTTCCTCCTGTTTCTACAACCTGCAGAACAGGTTGGGAAAGGCATTACCCCTGCACTTAGCCACCAAGGCTGGGTGAGGGCCTTGCTCTGCTCTGATCCCCTCTCCATGCTCAGCAGGGCTCCCAGAAAGTCCTCTGTCATAGTAACTTTCCTTTTGTTAGCCAGCCAAGAAAAAGCAATCATCCTTCAGAGCTGACGTCAGCCACCCTCCTGGACTGACATGCAGGCTGCCTGGACCGTCTCCGAGCCCTCAGCCTAACTGCTCTGCCTCCGCCAGAGGAGAGGCGCCCACAGGCTGTACAAGGAACCAAGTGCTCCACCCGATGGCCTGCGTGGGGTTCTGCCAAATCCCTGGGATGGGGAATGTGCAGGAACTCACTCCATGCAGCGGCCTCAGGGTGCCCTGCTACAGAGCCAGCATTAAGAACGGCAGGAGTGGGGAGAGTCCAAACGCAGGCTTTGTTTTGTAGCACTTTGGGAGGCTGAGGAGGGTAGATCACCTGAGCTCAGGAGTTCGAGACCAGCCTGGGCAACATGGCAAAACCCTGTCTCTACTAAAAATGCAAAAAGTTAGCTGGGTGTGGTGGTGAGTGCCTGTAATCCCAGCTACTCGTGAGGCTGAGGGGTGAGAATTGCTTGAACCCAGGAGGCAGAGGTTGCAGTGAGCTGAGATCGTGCCACTGCACTCCAGCCTGGGGGACACAGCGAGACTCTCTCAAGAAAGAATGGCAGGAGTTGGGGGAGTCCAAACACTGGCTTTGTTTTATCCTCCCAAGTTCACTCATCTACACCCTGAGCTTTCCTACATGACCTTTTCCCTACTCTGTAGGCAGGATAAATATTTTATCTTCCCCATTCAACCAGCAATGATGATGAGTTAGGTGAAAAAAGAATACCTTGCAAAGTGCCTAGAGTGAACAGCTTCTGTGGTGGCCTCCCCTCTGCCTCTGCCCCAGGACATCCACCCCTTTGGGGAGAAGAAAACAAGCCTGTTTATTTGTACACGAGCTTTACTATATGTAAGTTATTAAAATGACTTCCACTGCACACACTTTAGATCAATTATAGATAGACCCATGGAAAGGGGTTACATTAAAGGCAGAGGACACTGCTTGCTCTGGGATGGGCCGAGAGGAGTAGAGTTATTCAGCACTCAGTGGGAAAGCCCCCTTCCCAAGGATGACCTCTGGCTACTGCTCCAAGGCTGGCTGCCAAGAGCCCCTGGCCTCCCTGTGAATCTCCAACCCGGAGGAGACCCAGGGGTACAGCATCTCTCTGATCCTTTTCTGAACCAAATGTCCTCAAGCCCCTCATGATGAGAAAGAAATCCTCTGCTTTGATTCCATGTCCCTCTCCAAAAGATACGCACCACGTGGCTTAATCTGCTAACTCAAAGGATTCGGGAAAGGGGGAAAATCACAGGCAATGCATATGCCGGAGCCTGGGCCTCTGGCTGCAGGAGCACGCTCATCCTGGGCTGCTCAATGCTCTTTAGTAAAAATGGGAAATCAAATCACACAACCTTAGACTAACCAAAGGCCAAAAAAAAGGGGGGGTGGGTGGAGAACAAACCCAGATGTGGTTTTTTTGTTTGTTTTTGAGACGAAGTCTCTCTCTTGTCACCCAGGCTGGAGTGCAATGGCGTGATCTCGGCTCACTGCAACCTCTGCCGCCCAGCTTCAAACGATTCTCCTGCCTCAGCCTCCAGAGTACCTGGGATTACAGGTGCATGCCACCACACCCAGCTAATTTTTTGTATTTTTAGTGGAGACAGGGTTTCAACATGTTGGCCAGGCTGGTCTCGAACTCCTGACCTCAGGCAATCCATGTGCCTCAGCCTCCCAACGTGCTGGGATTACAGGTGTAGCCACTGTGCCCGGCCGCAAACCTAGATGTTTACTTAAATTCTGCTGTGATTCTATTTTAGAGAGAAATTGTAGGGGAAAGAGTGGGGAGATAGAGTAAGCCAGTCTGTGTGGTACCTGAGTTCACTGAAAACCAACTCTTTGTTCCTCCAAGTTACTGCAGCCTTCTGTTCTAAGGGGATAAATGCAATACCAGAGTAAAGCCTTTGGACACTAAAAATAAGTATACCTTTCCTCTAAAAGGGAAAATAAATCACAAATCAAGAGCAGGAAATGAACCTAAGTGCTACCTAGCTTGTGATTCTAACTCCATCTCAAAACAAACAAACAAACAAAGAAAACCACTTGATAGCTAAGTGACTATAAAGTTAGAGGGAGATTTAAATACCTGCCAGGCACTGGATTGCTAAAGCCTCTCCATGCACTAATTTATTTAAAATGTAACAAGATTGCAATTATTGTCCTAGGAGAAAGATGAGTTTCAGAATGGGTCATAACTCAAGGCCACACTATAGGGAAGCAGAACAGTAACTGAGACCCAGCCTGCCTGACCCCATGGCCCAGAGCGTTTCTAATGCGCCTGGCACCTATGTGATGGGGTAGGCCCACTCAACTCCCCTGACTCTGGTCTTGCACCTCTAGTCTTCGTGGGAAAGCACATCCCTTCTTTTCTGGTAAAGAAAGAACTTGCCATTTGTCTTGATCACCTCACCTCCTGTATCTGTGTCCAGTTTTTCAATGTCCTTTGATAACTCATTAGATGAAACAAACATGGTGGCTATTTCCATTGTTAACAATATGGCTTAGTAAGAAACTGAAGAATAAATCACAGAAAAGGGTCTGATAACAGGCAATAATAAACTTTGTAAACAGATTCAGCTTACAAATGTGAGAATGGGAAGGGGGATACTTTTCAGTAACAACTTGATAAATTGCAGTCACCATTTCTAAAATGACAAGCACTACAATACAGAGTTTGGAGGAAAACAACAAAGAAGGTTCAATGATGGAAGCTAGAGGCAGGGCAGAAGAGTCGTGAGTATTTAAGCTTAGTGAACAGATGACTTCAGGCTTGATTATGGCAGACAAAATTAAGAATAACGCTCCAGCCAAAGACAATGAAAATATTAGACAAAATTGAAAATGTTTCTGCTAGGAAAGTATCAGAGACTGTTAAGAGCTCTTAGTTGTCAGGCCAATAATAAGGAGAAAATGTGAGCTTCCAGAGGGGAGTAGAAGTGTTTGATCTAGGAAGGGCACGTGAGATACTGGGGGCGTGGGGGCAGTGTCTTGCGGCCACCAGAAGCAGAGAAGCAGTCATAACACTCCCCCAGTGCCCTGCTGTTTAGGAGGTGTGGAAGCAACTGAGAGGCAGAGTTGCTTCCGTACCTTGAGGAGGCTCAAGGAGATGCAACATGGGTCTGAATTCAGAGCCTGGCACAGACAGGGACCCAAGCATAGCACCCCCTCTTCTGGATTGTATTCTGAAAGGCTCTGAATTGGGAGGAGGGATTGGTGTGGTGGGGATAGGAATCTTCTAGATAAACCACAGCCTTGGTCCTAGACAACTACGACTCTGAGATGCCTGGCTAAAGGAAACAGGTCTTCCTTGGAGGAAGCTAGCATCACCTAGGTCTTGAAGTATTCCTGAAAGCAAATTCTCATATAAAATGCTCAGCAAATGATAAAAAATGATGAGGTACACTTTAAGACAGGACATGACAAGAAACAGCAGAGACTCCAGATGTGACATCACGTGACACAGACTGCAAACAGGTATGCTTACTATGTTCAATGTCTGAAAACAACTGGAAACATTAAAAGATGACATTACAGAATGGAAAAAGATACCAGAAATTTAGGAAATGTTAAAGTGTGGGACCAATGCATCAATGGATGGGTCTAGCAGATCAGACACAGCTAAATTAGTAACCTGAAAGATTAAGTCAGAAGAAATTATGGACAACAAAGCAACGTTGGTGGGGAAGAGGGTATTAGACACAGTGGATACAATAAATATGTCTAAAATATGTTTAACTGGAGTCACAGGAAGAGAGGTGAGGGAGAATGGGATAGAGTCAATATGCATGTGTTAGAGGCTGCAAATCACACAGAACTGATTTTAAAAACCAGTTCACTGATTAAAGAAGCCCAAGGAAGCCCAAACGGGAAATCCATACCTAGAACCTAGAAATATCCTAGTAAAACTAGAGAAAAACCAAGACAGTCTGAAAGAATAAAAATAATATATTTTCTAAAAAACCACAGAAGTAGCCTGAGGGAATATCCTCAAAGACAGACAGCTGATTTCTTACCTGCAACATTAAAAGCCAGGAAATAAGGGGAAGATAGATACAATGTACTGAAAGAAAATACCTGCAAACCCAGAATACTATACCTAGTGAAGACAAGACAAGGGTCCCCAACCCCCAGGCCACACAGCATTTACAGCCACTCCCCATTGCTCACATTACTGCCTGAGGAGCAGTAACCACCTCCTGTCAGGTCAGCAGTGGCATTAGATTCTCAAAGGAGCACAAATCCTATTGTGAACTACGCATGCAAGGGACCTAGGTTGTGTGCTCCTTATAAGAATCTAATGCCTGATGATCTGTCACTGCCTCCCATCATCCCCAGATGGGACTGCTGAGTTGCAGGAAAATAAGCTTGGAGCTCCCACTGATTCATATAATTATTTCATTATATATTACAATGTAATAATAGGAATAAAGTGCACAATAAATGTAACGCACTTGAATCCTGAAACCATCACCCCAACCCCCTTACTATCTGTGGAAAAATTGTCTTCCACAAAACCAGTCCCTGGTGCCAAAAAGGTTGGGGACCACTGCTTTAATAATAATGCAAAGTAAAGACATTTGTATACAACCAAAACTGGAACAACTTGCTACCAACTAAAGGTATAAAGAAAACAATGTGTGCAAACTACCGAAATATCCATCAACAGTAAAACAGATAAACTGTAGTACATCATGGAGTCCTACATGTCAATGAAAATGAAGAAAATACTTTGAAGATATAGCAAAGATAGAAGAGCAAAGAAGTGGTAAATATACAGTTGCCCTTGTTATATGTGGGGGGCTGGTTCCAGGACCACCCTTATATACCAAAATCTGCACACACTCAAGTGTTGCAGTTGGCCCTGCAGAAGCTGCGTCTATGAAAAGTCAGCCTTCTGTATACGCAGGTTTCACAACCCACAAACACTGTTTTCAATCTGTGTGTGGTTGAAAGAAATCCGAGTATAAGTGGACCTGTGTTGTTTAAGGGTCAATTTTATCAGTAAATCTAAATGAATACTAACTGTACATAATAATGATATCTTGTGGATTTTAGAAAAACTCACACACACATGTGCACACAGCAACTTCAGAAAGAGGATCTCCAAATGGCCAGTAAACACATGAAAAGGTAGTCAAAATCATCAGTTATCAGGGAACGCAAATTAAAACCACAAAGAAATGCCACTCATATTCATCAGAATGGAACAACTAAAACTCATACATTTCCTGTAGTAGTGAAAAATTGTAGAAGCACTTTAGAAAGCCACTTGGCAGAATCCTCAGCTAAATCTATGTACTCTCTACAACCCAGCAATTGCACTCTTAGGTGTACATTCTACAGAAATATGTCCTTATGTGTCCCAAAATACATACACAAGAATATTCATAACTCTAACCTGGAAACCCAGCAAGAGTTAAGACGGATAAATCGTGAACTATCAGCATAATGGAATCCCATATATCAATGAAAAGGAATGAAATACAGCTACTACAACGTTGACTCAATCTTACAGCAATGTTGAGCAAAAGTAACCAGAACAAAAATATGCAACAACAAAACTAGACCATGTAGTTAAGGGATACATACTTACGAAGAAAATACCAAAAAAGTTAGGATACTGGGAAGGAAGAGGGAAGGGCCAACAGAGGCACTTCTTGGATGCTGGTTATTGACATAAGTGGGGGTTAGAGAGTGCGATGGTCCGAATGTGTATCCCCCACAAAATTCGTATGTTGAAACTTAATCCCCAATGCAATAGTATTAAGAGGTAAGGTCTTTGGGTGACAATTAGGTCACGAGGCCTCTAGAACTATGAGAAATTTCTCATTTATAAATTACCCAGTTTTGTTATAGCAGCCTGAGTGAGCTAAGACATACAGGTGTTATTTAACATTTTATAAACTCTGCTATTTGTTACAGCTTCCAGTAAACTTTTAAAATGAAAAAGAAGGCAAGATTAAATAATCTCAACTATGTGACTGCTTAAATGGGGAATGAAATCAATTCTTCACATCTATGGAAAAACAAGTGAGCCAGGGTTGTGATTCCAACTGGATAAAGAATGAACGTGGAATTATTAATGTGATGTAACAGAGGAAGAAATAAGTTTAATTGATCAAGTATTTGCTCAGTATGTACTAGGAGCCTGGAAATTGAAGAGTTTTATCTCTTGGAATTCCTTAAGAAAAACCTTGGCTTAATAATTTAAATGTTTTCATGTCTGAAGCAGGAAAATGAATTAGCTATTACAGGTGCATTCTTGTTCTTTGATGCTTACTTGTTAGGACATAGGCCACCCTTCACTGCTAGTAATGTGTTCTTAGACAGAATTAAAATTGAGCCCACATCACATTCTCACAGCCAAACTTGTAAATCTATCCTTTAAAGCTCAAATTTCTGTTTTGATTAGATGCAAAACATTCAGATGATTTATGATTGTTTAATTAAAAGAAATCAGTGAAATAAAAACAAATTAAACTGTTTTAATTGCTTTTGGGTTCAATTAATCAACTATTGCCTACTTGATGTATCTACCAACATTAACACAAGGAAATATATTCATTAGTTTCATTCACTTGCTATTGAAATGAGACTTTATTATTTCTCATTGATCTCCTGCCAGGATGGCGATATTTTACTCTTCAACAATGTACACTGATATCAAAGTTGGGAAAAGGTTTCTATCCTGAATGTTTGAAAATGAACCAATTAACTACACGACCCTAAACCTTTCAGAATTTTTTCCCCATTCTATTAAAAAAAAAATCATACAAAGGTTACCCATGTATAATCTTAGTTCTTCAAACTGGTTATTGCAACTAACACAGTATACATTATTCTCCATCACTGTGGAAATACAGAGTACCTCAAGAGAGTCTCCTACCCAGCAGCCTAAAGGTTCTTCTACACATTTTGAAAAGGCTACCAAGATAAGAACAAAGAATAAAATTAGGTAATTTACAAAGGAGGTATACAGAATCTAAATAGATACTACCATGGTAACTTACAGTTGGGTGATGCTGGTGGGTTATCTTACAGCTCTTAGAGAGTTTTTTTCTTTCAGGGAGTCTGGCCTATGATGTGACATAGGATGGCCCACAATCAACTGATTCAAAAATAGAGGGTCTCTGTTTCTATCAGTGCAGGATGTTTGCTATGTCACACATCATTCTCACTTCTTTACTCATGTCAAAAATCATTAGTGTGTCTCTGCAGAAGTTAGACTGTACCATCTTATAACCTGGTAGGAAGAGGGACCCCTTCTATTTATAGTCTCTTTAAATACAGACTTCAAGAGGGAAAATGGCAAGGTAGGAATTTTCAGAGATTCATCCTTCTGCTAAAACGACGATTACGCTGGAAAAAAAATAATTGCAACCAACTATTTTGGAATGCTGGAACTTGGTAAGATACTTACAGTGACTAGGGGAGTGTCTGATGAGGGAGAGGCTGTAAAACTTCACTCAGGGAACAGCATGCTTAAGCCACCAACCATCCCCCATTCCTTAGCTCCACCGTAGCCACAGGAATGGTAACTTATTTTCCTGGAGCAGCTGGCTGGAACTGGAGTGGGCAATAAGGACCTAGTCCTCCAAAAATATAGGGCTGTGTATTATGTTCACTTTGGAGGTTCCTGGAAGGACCAGTGCAGACACTTGTCTTTGTTTTGACCCCATCTCACTTCCTTCGTGGAGTGTATCAAAAGATTTGAAGAGATACACATCCTTTTTTCTTTTTTTGAACCAGACATTTAAGAAAAATCCCTCTCAGGTCACAGGCTGATCATAGAGATAAGAACAGAAATTTCAGTGACTACACACACAATGAAGAACACTCAGACTTTGCAAAAATAGTTTGGAAAAGTCACTAGACAGGGCCGGGTGCAGTGGCTCATGCCTGTAATCCTAGCACTTTGGGAGGCCAAGGCAGGTGGATCACTTGAGGTCAGGAGTTCGAGACTAGCTTGGCCAACAAGGTGAAACCCCGTCTCTAATAAAAATACAAAAAAATTAGCCAGGCCTGGTGGCACATGCCTGTAATCCCAGCTACTAGGGAGGCTGAGGCAGGAGAATAGCTTGAAACCGCGAGGCGGAGGTTGCAGTGAGCCGAGATCATGCCACTGTACTCCAGCTTGGGTAACAGAGCAAGACTGACTCCCCAAAAAAAAAAAAAAAAAAAAAGTCACTAGACAAATGCATGATTACAGACCTCAAAAGCAACTCCTCAGAAAGAGAAGAATGATTTCCAGAGTTACCACATTATACTAATTGTGTAGTTCTCAGTAGTTCAATATAAAATTGTAAAGCATACAAAGAACAGGGAAGAATGGCTCATTCACAGGAAAAAAGAATTCAACAGAAATTATTCCTGAGGAAATCCAGACACTGGGATTACTACTCAAAGACATTAAATCAACTGTATTAAATATGCCTAAGGAGTTACAAGAAACCATGGACAAAGAAAGGATATCAAGGGGATACTATCAAAAAGGAATGTCAATAGACAGGAATTATATTAAAAAATAGAAATTCTGGCACAGAGATGTATGATAGTAAAAATAAAAAATTCACTAGAGGTGTTCAATGGCAGTTAAGAGGAGGCAGCAGACAGAATCAGTGGACTTTAAGATAATGCAACTGAATTTATCTAGTCTGAGGAGCAGAAAGAAAAAATGTAGAAAAATAAAAGACGTGGGGGATACCATCAAGCATACCAATATATGCATTGCTGGAGTTTCAGAGGGAGATGAGAGACATAAAGGGTAGAAAAAAATGTTTAAAGAAATGGCTGAATACTTCCCAAATTTGTTGAAAGACATGAATCTATACATTCAAGAAGCTCAGCAAATTCCAAGCAGGATAGCCTCAAAGAGATCCACAATGATCACAATATGAGTCAAACTGTTGAAAACCTGAGAGAATCTTGAAAGCAGCAAGAGGCAAAATGAGTCATCACATAGAAGGAATCCTCAATTAGACTAACAACTGATATTAGAAACTATGGAGGTCAGAAGGCAATGGGATGGCACATTTAAAGTGCTGGCTGAAAGAAAAAAGTAAATCTGCCAATCAAGAATTCTATATCCAACAAAACTATCCTTCAAGGATAAAAGAGAAATTAGGACATTTCCAGATTAAGAAAAGCTAAAGAAGCTTATTACTACTAAACCTGCCCTATAAGAAATGCTAAAGGAAGTCATTCAACCTGAATTGAAAGAATAGGCAGTAACTTGGAACCATATGAAGAAATAAAGAATATTAATAAAGATAATTACATAAGTAAACATAAAAGCTAGTATTATTGCACTTTTGGTTTGTAACTCCTCTTTTCTTCCTATATTATTTAAAAGGCAAATTCATTAAACAATAATTTTAAGTCTAGGTTAATGGATACACAGGTAAAAAGATGTAATCTGTGACAATAACAATACAGAGGGGGAGGGACAGAGATGTATAGGAGCAGAGTGTTTGCATACTATTAAAACTCACTTGGTATTATTCAAACTGACTGGAGGCTTAAAATGTTAATTATGATCCCCAAGGTAACCACTAAGAAAACAACTAATAACCAAAAGAGTCATAGAGTGATTATATTATCAGACAAAACAAATTTTAAGTCAAAACAGGTTACAAGAGACAGAAGACCATTATATGGTGATAAATGTTCAATGATCAGGAAGATTTATACAATTATCAACATATATGCACCTAACAACAGAGCCCCAAAATATATGAAGCAAAACTTGACAGGACTTAAGGGAGAAATAAATAGTTCTACATTAAGACTTGGATACTTCAATATCCACTTTCAACAATTAATAAAAAAATTAAGACAAAAGATCAATAAGGAAAGGGAGAACTAGAACAACACTTTAAACCACTTAAATCTAACAGACATATATAGAACATGCTACCACTAATAGCAGAATGTACATTTTCCATAAGTGCACACAGAACATTTTCCGGGATAGATCATATGTCAGGTCAGGAAAACATGTCTTAATAAATTTAAAAAGACTGAAATTATATAAAATGCCTTTTCTGATCACAAAGAAATGAAACTAGAATAACAGATGGAAACTGGAAAACTCATAAGTATGCAGAAATTAACACATTCTTAAACAACCAATGGGCTAAAGAAGAAATCACAAGGAAAATTGGAAAACACCTTCAGCAAATGAAAGACAAAATGCAACATTCCAAACTTATAGGATGCAGCAAAAACAGTGCTCAGAGGGAAACTTATAGCTGTAAATGCTCACATGAAAAAAGCAGATACATATGATCACATTTGGGATTTTAAAAGCAGATATATCTGAAATCAATAACCTACTCTACACCTTAAGGAACTAGAAAAAAAAAGAGCAAACAAAACCCAAAGCTAGCAGAAGGAAGAAAATAATAGATTAGAGTGAAGATAGAGAATTAAAAAAAAAAATCAAAATCAAAAGTTCATTCTTTGAAAAGATCAACTAGCAATGTTTACCTTAGATTGGGTTAAAAAAGAGAAGACTCAAATCACAAAAACAGAAATAAAAGAGGGGGCATAACTACTTACTGTACAGAAATAAGAATTCTATAAGAAAATACTATGAACAACTGTACGCCAACATGTTAGATAACCTAGATGAAACAAATTTCTAGAAACATAAAAACTGACTCATAAACAAAGTCTACATAAATACATAACAAGAAACTGAATCAGTAATAAAAAATGTCCCAATAAGAAAAAGCCCAAAATCAGACGACTTTACTAGTAAATTCTACCAAACAATTGAAGAATTAATACCAATCCTTCTCAAATACTTGCAAAAAACTGAAGAGGATGGACACTTTATAATTCATTTAATAAAGCCAGCATTACTCTGTTATCAAAGCCAGATAAAGACACTACAAAGAAAACTATAGACCATCATCCCCTTAAGAATACAGACGCCAAACTCCTCAACAAAATACCAGCAAACTGAATTTACCAGCATATTAAAAGGATTATATACCACAACCAAGTGGGATTTATCCCTGGAATGCAAGGATAGTTCAACACACAAAAATCAATGTAATAAACCAAAACAGAATTAAGTGGGAAAAAAAATCATACAATCAGCTCAAATGCAGAAAAAGCATTTGACAAAACTCACAACCCATTCATGATAAAAACACCCAATACATTAGCATAGAAGGGAACTTCCTTAACATTGTAAAGGCCATATGTGAAAAACTCACAGATAATAATATCATGCTCAATTGTGAAAAACAGAAACCTCTCCCCCTAAGATCAGAAGCCAGATAAGGTTGCCCATTTTCACCACAGTACTTAAAGGTTCTAGCCAGAGGAATTAGGCAAGAATAAGAAATGAAAGGCACCCAAATTGGATAGGAATAAGTAAAACTATCTCTATTCAAGATGACATGACCTTATATGTAGGCAATGCTAAAGAATCCACACACATACAATATTATTGGAGCTAATAAACAAATCTAGCAAAGTTGCATAATACAAAATCAATATGGAAGAAAAATCAGTTTTATTTCTATATGCTTACAATGAACAATTCAAAAACAAAATTTTAAAAATCTCACAATAGCATCAAAAGAATAAAATATCTCGGAATAAATTTAAGCAAAGAGGTGCAAGACTGGCACACTGAAAACTACAAAACTTTGCTAAAAGAAATTAAAGAAGACTAAATAAATGGAAGGATATCCTGTGTTCATGGCCTGGAAGACTTAACATTGTTAAGATGATGATACCACCCAAAGCCATATAAAGATTCAATGCAATCCCTATCAAAATCCCAATAGTGGCTTTTGCTGAAATAAAAACAGCCATGTGAAAAATCATATGGAATTTGAAGGAACCCGGGATCGCCAAAAACAATCTTGAAAAAGAAGCACAAAGTTGGAGACTCATACTTCCCAATTACTACAAAGCTACAGTGATTAAAACAGCATAGTACTGATGTAAAGATGGACATATAGGCCAGCAAAATAGAACTGAGAGCCCAGAAATAAACTTTCACTTTTCTTTTCGACTGATTTCTGACAAGGGTGTCAAGAGCATTCAATGGGAAAAGAAAAGTCTCTCTCACAAGTGGTGCTAGAAAAACTGGATATCCACATGCAAAATAATTAAATTAGACTCTTACCTTATATCATATACAAAAATGAACTCAAAATAGGTCAAAGATCTAAATTTGAGAGCTATAACTTTATATAAAGCCCTTAGAAGAAAACAGAGAGGAAAATCTTTATGTCCTTCACCTTGGCAATGGTTTCTTAAATATAATACCAAAGACACAAATAACAAAAGACAGATAAACTGGACTTCATTAAAATTACAAACTTTTGTGCATCAAAGGAAAGTATCAAGAAAGTGAAAAGGCAACCCACAGAATGGAAGAAAACATTTGCAAATATTTTATGGTCTAATATTCAGAAAATATGAAGAACTCCTACAACTCAACAACAAAAAGACAAACAATCCAGTTAAGAAATGGGCAACAGACCCAAATAGACATCTCTCTAAAGAAGATAAAAATGACAAAGACATTCAACATCATTAATCATTACAGAAATATTAGTCAAACCTCCCACAGAATGCCATTTTATACCACTAGGATGGCTATAAAAAAAAAAAAAGAAAAATCTCAAGTGTTGGCAAAGATGTAGAGAAATTGAAATCCTTGTGCACTGTGGGTGGGAATGAAAAACAGTGCAGTTACTGTGGAAAATAGTTTGGTGGTTCCTCAAAAAGTTAAACATAGAGTTACAATTTGACTCAGCAATTACACTTCTGGGTATATATGCAAAAGAAATGAAAGCAGAACTCAAACAGGTATTTGTACACCCTGCAATATTATTGACAATAGCCAAAAGGTGGAAACAACCGAAATGTCTATCAGACTGATGGATGATAAGCAAAATGTGGTATATACATGTAATGGAATATTATTGTGCCATAACAAGGAAGCAAATTCTGAGACATGCTACAGCATGGATGAGCACTGAAGACATTATGGTAAGTGAAATAACCCAGACATAAAAGAACAGATACTCTATGATTCCACTTCACAGAGACAGAAAATAGATTAGAGGACTGTGCGGGGAACTGGGAGTTACTGCTTAATGGGTTCACAGTTTGTTTAGGGTGTTAAAAATTTTAGAAATAATGGTGATGGTCGTACAACACTGTAAATGTAAATAATGCCACTGATTTATACACTTAAAAATGGTTAAAATGGCAAATTCTACTTTACCTATGATTTATCAACTCCCCAAATGAAAAAAATTTTCTTACAATGCATAAAATTTCTCCATGTGTTTGTAGGGGGAAAATAAGTATTTAAGGGTAGGAAAGCTCCAGAGGGAAACCATGTATCCTCAGCCCAAAACCAGGCTTCTATGTTCCATTACCTAGAAGAAAAAGATAAATGGCCAGCACGCGCACCTAAAGCATCAGGTATAAAATAGGGTTGCAAAGGGAAACAGAGAGGCATGTCCTCACGGAAGAGAGATGGCACACAAAGGGTCAGGTGCAGGCTGAGTATTGTTGGACCTGCCAAGCTCTACCTAGGAAAGTGTGAGGTGTGATTGTGTTGCCATGCTTGACTATATGAAAATCTGGTTGGGACAAGAATTCTTGAATTTAGGTCTGCCCAAAGGGTCTATCTTTGGAGAAGGCATTAGAGGTACTGAATGCCTACTAATCACAAAGCAATGGAGAAGTATTCCACCACTACGGCTGACAGCATCCAAAGATGGCTGCCTTCTCCCTTACAGAGATGGAATTTACTTCCTTTTCCCTTAAATCTGGCCTGGCCCAGTGACTCTGACCAACAGAACAAGGCAGAAGATACATTGTGGTAGGCAGTCTCTAAAATGACCCCCAAAGTTCACCACCTAGGGTATTCACAGACTTGTCTAATCCCTTCCCCCTGAGGGTGAGGTGGACTCATTAACACTCTTCTGAGATTAGGTTATAAAAATACTATGGCTGCCATCTTGAATGAGCTCTCTCTCTCTGATCACTCCCACTGAGAGAGCAAGCTGTCACATCATGTGACAAGCAGCCCTATAAATGGGCCCACGAGGGATGGCGAGGAACCACAGCCCCAAGACCAACAGCTTGTGAGGAACCGATGCCTGCCAAAAAGTGCACAGTGAACTTGGGAGGGGATCCTTCAGCTCCAATGGACTCTTGAGATGATTATGGCCCCAGCTGACACCTTGACTACAGCCTTGTTAGAGATGTTGAGCCAAAGGCACCCAGCTCAGTCACTCTCATATTCCTGATCTACAGAAACCATGAGATAAAAAATGCTTGTTGTTTCAGCCATTAAGTTTTTGGGTAATTTATTACACAATGACAGATAACTAATATAGACATTCTAGGACTTCTAAGACCAGGCCTTTGCTCCTCCCTCTTAGAACCCCAGCTATTGTGCTATTAAAAAGCCCAAGCCACATGGAGCAGACAGGTGGACAAGAACCAAGCTGCTCATATGGACAGCCCCAGTCAGAACTGAAACTTCAGACACACCATCCCAGCCAACTGGCTGCCATTTAAGCCACCCCAGCTGAGGCCCTTGACATCACAGAACAGACAGGAACCATCCCCTCTATGCCCTGCTGAATTTCTGACCCACAGAATCATTAAGGAAATAAGAGGGTTGTTGTTTTAAGTCACTAAACTTTGGGGTGGTATGTTATAATAAATAACCAGAACAAACACTAATTATTAGGATTTGCAGTGAGGCAACAGATCACGCAGGTAGAGATCTGGGGCATGTGGACTGCTTTACTGAACCCCAGCAATTTATTCATGAATGGTGGACAAGTGGACAGTGGTCTGCTTAGGGACTAGAGGATGGGGTGCATAAGGAAATGATCCCATGGCCACAAACTACAATTCTATGTCTAACAGGCACTGTCTTAGAAATGTGAGTTGTTGGTCAGAGACAACAGCTTAAGCCAGGCCAACTAAAGAATAAGAAATTCCTTGCATGTGTTCTGTTGGAATTAGAAATCTCTAAACTAAAAGGCTCCACAAAACTAGTATCTTGGTTGCTGCTAAGGAAGGCAGCACCAATATTTTCCAGCATTATTCAGTAATACCTGTTCACCCAAAGAATAACCTGCCAAATCTCTGCCTCTAACAGATCTAAAATAGAAAAGCTTTATCAAATTGAATGAATTAAGGCAATGTCAAATATTTAGAGAAAAGAACAGTACTATTCATATTCAAGTTACATTGATAAGGAGTCAACATTGCAACAAACTATTAAAACAGACTTTCTGATAGACAGCTGGTAGTGAGTAGCATAGGTTGGGCCACTTTTGGAGAGGGCTTGCTTCCTCAGAAAAAAGCCTGTGAAGTGTCTAATTTTAAATAAAGGTAGTCATTCATCTCAAAGCTTCCAGACCTTTCAGGAATGTTATTAGGAATCACATGATATAACCCTATTCCTCCTAAGCAAAAGCATAAGACCATGATTCCCTATATCCATAAACTAAGAGGAACAAGAATGGGGACAAAAAGTCTACAAATGTGCTGTTGTGTCTACACTGGCAAGGCTGGACTTCAAGATCTCAACATGCACACTCTGAAATGTAAGAGGCTGGACTGCATGGACCTGGGATTAGCAACAGCATTTGCCAAATGCTGTACTTCAAATGCCAATCAGCCACTCCAAATCAGTATCACTAGCTTCTGGCTGGGAAACATCACAAAAAATTCAGTTGCCTCCAAGATCCAAACAGTAGAAACTCATTAGTGGCCTATTCAATAATATTCAAAACATGTGTACTAATTAACATAGTCTGTGATGCCAAGTTAGAGATGGTCTAATGCACTTGATGTGCGGTGTACTACAAACTGGTACCTGATTCACCTTCAAATGAGTAAATGTCAAGTCATGGAATACAGATTCCTGGGAGGAGCTACAAAACAATGCTGCCACAGTGCAGCTACAACAGACACCAATAAGCAAACACCTAGCTAATACATTATCTAGCAAAGTAGTATTCCATATCATCAATTCCAGTCTGATTAATAATGATGTTGAAATTGAATTCCTGTAGTAAAGAAATACTTTATATTGTATCCATTGTCTTTAAGAAGATATTAATAATGATTTTAAAAATACTACTGGAACATGCACCAAAAAAGAAACATATATGATCTTTATTAGAATACCAAAATGGAACAGAGGAATATACAGAACCCAGAAAATGTACATTTAATTAGGGGACATTTAGGGGATAATTTGTCACAAAGATAGTACAAAAGGACAAACACTCTTTCCCTTCCTTTCTGAGAAGCCATAGACTAACACTCGTGTAGGTGCCACAAACTGGTCTGCATTTGGCAGGCTTCCTGTGTCCATTAGCAAATAGATATGCTACAATGAAGAAATGCTTTTCCAGGCATTTTGGTAAGGATTATGAGTCCATTTTCAGACAAACGTAGTTATGAATGTACCCTTCTTTTCAACTAGAGTACAATGCAAGGAATAAAACTATCTTCTCCTGAAACTGAGGGAGATGTGTAGTAGCCTGAGAGACAGGTGAAGGTCGAATAAGTAAATCTCAGCCATTTGTAGTTTAAATGCTTCAACAAAACAACTGCTATTTTCTGCCCACATATGATTTTATTAATCAGTGGTTCTGGCAAACAAGACCATTAACTGCAGTCCTAGAAAGCCATATTGGATTGTATAAGGCGCAGGTACACTTATTTTCTGACCAGGAGGCACTGTGATGTAGTTTTAGGGTCATATAACTAAGACCATCATGATTAAGGATGATTTCATCTCCATAGTGACTCATTTAATCACCCTATATTTAAATTCTTCTCTCCTCTCCCCTTCTCTGGCTTTTTAATAGATTTAAACAAAATGGCTATCAGTCTCTGACTTCAGTGATTTCTGTCATTGACCATTCAGACATTTTCCTTATTCTTCACCATCACTGTGTGATCCATCGGCCTTGTACGATTCTTGGCCAATGGCCATATTAATTTTCTACTTGAAAGGACACAAATAGAATACTGCTTATGATGAAGGTAGTCAGACGAGCTTGGGGAATAGCTGGTCATCTTGCTGCATAGCAATTAGCTTGGCAAACTGAAACAGTCACACGATTGGATCTGATACCTAGCCAAAACTGCCAGAAGAAAAAAACTCATTCTGTTGGGGGTGTTAAATGGCTTTTTAAATAGTGACTATCACAGTTCTATTTGCCCTTTTGGAAATGGTACAGGCAGTGTGACATCAGAGATCTCCGTTTCCACGGTGATTATTAGTGATGGCATTTCAGACGTTGTGGTTAGCTTCTCCAGTATAATTCCTTGCACTTTACATTATAAGAGAGGAGACAGAAAAACTGCTCATGTTAACATTTTTAAAGGAAAGAATGCTGATCACCCAAGTAGATAAACATCGTGGTTTTTAAGTAAACACAATTTGTTAACCTTGAACAGACGTGTGTTGATAGAAGCTATATGGATTAAGCTGGCAAATGATACCACTTGGAATTAATAGGGACTAATTAATTGCTTAGATATTTAGCAGCAATTAGCTGTTATTTCTTGCCTACACATTATTTTATAAACTGGTGGTTCTCATAACACTGATTTGTCCATTTTTATATGTAAAAAAATAATATTTTCTTACTGTGAAGTAATTAATCTTGAGTTATGAACTAATCTGGAGTCTAAGTAGGGAGAAAACTTATCTTCCTCTGCAGTCAAAGACAATCAACGAGGGGAAGGTGGGTGAGTTTCCTATAGCCCAACACGAACGTTCACGCAGGGCAGGGTGACATTTCACACATCTTCTTTTTTCATATGTCTCTTCATTTCATACGTGAGCCCTCAATACACGGTGACTTTGATGCTGATGAAACTGAACATTTCATTTTTAGTTTAATTTTCACATTTAGAGTTGATGGTTCACTTTAAAACACAGTTCACTAAGAAAAAAACAGAATAAACCTAAAGGCCTCTTTTTCAAGAAATTGCTTCATTTGATTTTGATAAATGAGAAAGTTTTCAATTTTCTCATGTAGCCATAAAGGTAGTCATCTTTTTAAAAAGATAATCTGCTATAAAATACACAGTATATACCTATAAACAAAGTCTACTGAAGTAGCACAGATAAAAAACCAATTTGTTTTTAAATACAGAAAAAAGAATACCCAGAGTCTTTCTATAGTGACTCAAATCAGATCTACTGTGTAGTTCATAATATTGTCTAGAGGCTGAATCCAAGATCATAAACCCAAGTTACAGAGAAAATCTGGCAAGATGAAGGGAAGTCATAATGAATCAAAATGCAATTAAAAAATTCTACCTAAATGCATTACTCTTACACAACAGTAACCAAAATGATAAATGATTCTATCTTTCCCTTACTCAAGCTTACTAGTTATGCCAGGACAGAGTATCTAGGCCACCACTGTGTACAACTTATACAAAAGCCTACAGACCTGGAACAAGGATGGATTTACAAACTGAGGACAAGGTCGGAAGAAAAGTAAACACTTAGGTCAAACAGTATCACCAGTTGTGACCTAAGTTAACAGGCATTCACAAAGCATAGGATTAACTACCTATGGGAAACTATCGCCATTTTCATCAGCAAACACCCAACCTACAACGAGACCGAGATCTATTATTGATGAAATTAAAGAGTCTCTTAATATGGCACAGAAAAGGTCCCACCTACAATTTAATTAGGAAAACATAATTGGTCATGCTGAGAACTAAAGAAGATACTAAGGGGTAGAATTCTAGAGTCAGAACTGTAAAAGATAACCACATCCACTTTTTTAAAATACGGAAATAAAGGCCCATGGAGAGTAAGTAAAATTATCCTAGATCACAAGAAGAGCTACTGGCAAAGCAGGAATGGAATCCTGGCCACCCGTCCTCCCCACCCCACTCCCATCCAAATCAGTGCCTCTTCTCAGCTAATCCAATGAGGTAACGCTGACAAAATGCAGCCCACAGACACCAGCACGGTCATAAAGAGATTTTCATTCTAAGGATTAATTTATGGAGAATAACTGCCTATTTACAAAAAACTAAAACACACGCACACACATCACTGTACTCACATCAGAGAAACCAAAGTCAAAATGCAAAAACCGGAAAAACACAACATTAAAAACACCATATAATAATAAGCTCTTCACATCTGCCCTCCTTGAAGTTCTTAATAATGGACTAACTTCTCCGGCATCTGATTCAGAAACTTACACAGAACAGTAATAGATTACTAAATTGGAGAAATAAAAATGCATCATCCAGACAGCAAATGTTCTTGTTCTTTCATTTGAAGGGTGACCAGAGCTTAAGTCAAACAGAAAGTCCAGGCGTACGTAGTTTCCCCTATAGAGAGCAATGGTGGGGCTTCCAGGCAGGGTGACAGGAAGTAATGCTTACGGCATCCTCCCTTCTGAACTCACTAGAGTCCCAAGAAGGCATTCCAGGGCTGTTCCCAGAGAAACCCACTGCCAAAAGAAACCCCTTGTATAGAAATGAAGTAGACCTATCATACCAGCTGACAAGAGAAAGGTTCTTCCCTGTTAATTTGAGCAAGTCTCTTCTTGTTATTTGAGAAACTCTACATGCAGATGATCTGAAATTGAGCTATTATTTAGATTATGATAAAAAGCTAGGGAGATAGATATGGCAGAAAGAGGGCAGATGCTGATTTCCACTTAGAAAATGGAAATCACCCCGCTCATAAAAAGCAGAAACTGAGGCTCTTATGAGCAATTGGATATGACCTCAGGCAAGCCAGGGGTCCTCTCTGCATGCAACAGTGTAAAAAGACACAGATGTCATAAAGGCAGACGAAATGATGTAGAGCAGTGATGGAATATGCATGCTCTTCCATTTTAAATTTGATTAGGTTCCCACAGACACCAGAAAGTCACTTGACTATTATCAGACTCTGGGAGTGTAGCACTGCAAGGATCACAGAGCGTTGTCGTTATCTCAGTGACTGAAAAGAGAATACACTTGGAAGAGAATACTAAAGCCTTCCTTGTGTACAAAGTGTGGTCTGAAGACAGCATGGTATCACCTGGGAGCACAGGCCCCACCCAGGCCCACTGAGACAGAGCCTGCATTTTAACAAGATCTCCAGGTGATTTGTAAGCACACTGAAGTTTCACAAGCACTTTACTAGAACGCTAACAGTGCTCTGACAAAAGGGGCCATGGAAATTTCAGGTGTTATCAACTCTACACAGACACATGTGCAGAGGGCTTCTAAGTCAGTCTGGCCCTTGCCTGGTACTTCTGATCAACCACAGGTTAAACAGTTGAGAAGTAAACCTTTTTTAATTACAGGTAACAGTACCAATCAAGTGAGCCTTATTTAGTTACCTCTTTGTGCGATGAAAGATAACAGAAAAAAAAATAAATAAATAAAGCTAGACATGTGAAAAAAAAAAAAAAAGCTTTAGGAATCTGTCTGGATAATGCCAAAAACCTCAACCACACTAAATGATTATAAGTGAGCCTGAGTCATTACATTTTCATAATTATAATCATTAAAACCCAAGCATGGGTATTGATTTACTGATTGGCAACAACTTATTTTTTTTTAAAAAACCTCATTTCAACTTTCATTTTCAGAAGAGATGATTTTCTCAGAAGGCGTATTTTAGCTTTAGGAATGTAGTAGTCTAATGGGAAAACAAACATGCTGGATGAAAAATAACCTACATTTTGATCATGGCTCTCACCCTGTTAGCTTCTTATGGGAACAGCGATTTCTGTAAGGATACACTATGGAACAGCAGATGTGAAAGGGGTCTACGTCATTTTTTGCTCCACTCACACATGCTGTACTGAATTTTCCTTTTCATGCCCACTTCCCCAGTGACCTGCTGTCCTAGATAAGGAATGGGGAAGCTCCTGATGGGGTTCAGAACACACTACCGCAAAAGACGGTGTCTTGGCATACTGAGTATCTTAAGGTGAAGGAATCAGAAAATGGCAGATGCAGGAAGGACCCTTAGACCTTCCCCTTCCTTCTCCCCTGACGCAGGTCATGAGATGTTCATGAGGAAGGTGTCCTCACACCACCTGGAGCAAACAAACATCTTCATCTCTGAAGGCAGAGGGGCACCTTGAGGGATCTAAATGAACAGGCCTTGCTAAACATTCCCGTTTATCACCCTTAGCTCTTACTCCTGTGTCCTGTCTTATTTTTTCATGACTTTGCACTCGTATAAAAACACTCAGGTTCAGCCATTTCTTTGGGTCTTTATTTCCTTATAAAGGCTTTCCTGTTCCATAAAATTTATATGCAATAAATGTGTATGCTTTTCCCCTGTTAATCTGCCTTTGTCAGTTTAATTTTCGGACCCAGCCAGGGACCCTAAGAGGGCTGGGGAAAACTTTTTTACTCCCAAACAGGGGAAAGCTGTTCCCCAGGATTGAAGTTACTGAGAACAAAATTGAAAGAGCAAGAATTTGGCCTTTAAACAGCTCGTACTGGCAACTGAGGTTCTATTTTAATTTCTGAACAATAGTGATAATCTCCACAACAGTGAGAAACACTCATGTTTTTCTCCTGTCCATATCATCAAATTCCATTTCCTCAGATACAGTAACTGGGCACAGCACAAAGAGGAGGCGACCATGCTGACCAGTGTGACAGAGAGTGCAGAAGAGGGCATATGGGTCACAGGTCCTGACTCTCAGAGGGCTCGGAAATCTCTATTCCACTAAACTGCTTTTGTGAATTTTGTTTGAGCACAAGTCCTTCGCCAGTCAGCTCAGCTCAATTTTGAACGTAATAACCATCAACAGGGGCAAGAGGGTACCAACATAGTTTTCACTGTGGTGCCAAGTTCAAAATGGGAAGGAATCATGAACTTCGCCCTCCCCCAGTTACCTGATATCACAGCGATTTTCCCAGACCCATGTTCTTCTCTAGCTATTCTTTCTGCTTCCTCCATCAGCAGCATGCCAAATCCCTGCACGGAGCAACAATGGGGAGTGGGAATTAAAAAGGAAGGAAGTTCATTAAGAGGGGTCCATAAAACAAGAAGGCTATATACTTTAGTAGTTGCTAAAATCTGTTAAGAGTGAAAAAGCCCACTTATGGGAGTAAGGAAAAAGAAACCATTCAATCCTACCAAAGGTACACTGTAGCAGACAACTGAAAAAGGTGTAACTTTTGAACAAGAACTACCAAAAGGTATGTTGTGGATGATGTAATCTATTCACAGGAAGACAGTAATTCCCTCTCAAATTCAGTCTCTTTTTAGGTGGGTTCTAGGCAATCTCTAAATGATGGAAGTCTGGGGCAGTATGTCTTTAATTTCTTAGTCACCTCTCTACTTTTTTTTTTTTTTTTTTTCTCTTGAGACGGAATCTCCCTCTGTTGTCCAGGCTGGATGGAGTGCAGTGGCTCACTGCATTGGGCGAGATCACTCTGGCTCAATCTCGGCTCACTGCAACCTCCGCCTCCCAGGCTCAAGTGATTCTCCTATCTCAGCCTCCTGAGTAGCTGTGACTACAGGCACGTGCCGCCACGCCCAGCTAATTTTTGTACTTTTAGTAGAGACAGGGTTTCACCAGGTTGGCCAGGCTGGTCTTGAACTCCTGACCTCAGGTGATCCCCCTGCCTCAGCCTCCCAAAGGGCTGGAATTACAGGCGTGAGCCACCACTCCCGGCCACCTCTCTACTTTCTAAGAGTTGAGAAACCAGGCAAAATTCTTAAATAATCAATTTTGGCTCGTATATCATATCCGCCATTAGGTTTTAACACATTTTCTGGAAATTTTTAAAAGTGAGCTATTAAGGTAGGTTGTCTGGGGTTAGAATAGGGTTCCCCTATGTATAATATGGCTTAACCTTAGGAAGTGTTTCATAAGTGCTTTCCCATTACTGTCTAACCTGACTCCACAATAAGTTGACCCATATGAGATTGCCAGTATTAGACGATTTCTTACTTTCAAAAATACTAACTGCAGGCCAGGCACAGTAGCTCATGCCTGTAATCTCAGCACTTTGGGAGGCCAAGGTGGGTGGATCATCTGAGGTCAGGAGTTCGAGACTAGCCTGGCCAACATGGTGAAACCCCATCTCTACTAAAAATACAAAAATTAGTCAGGCATGGTGGTGCACACCTGTAATCCCAGCTACTAGGGAGGCTGAGGCAGGAGAATCACTTGAACCAGGGAGGCGGAGGTTGCAGTGAGCCAAGATCACGCCACTGCACTCTGGCCTGGGTGACAAAGTGAGGCTCTGTCTCAAAAAAAACCAATTCCATGTGGTTCAATCTGTTATGTTCCAACTGACTGAATCTCAGTTTATCCTTTCCTCCCAAAAGGATACAATTTGGAGAGAAAACATCTCTGAACAACTAAAACACTGGCTCCTCTGTTTCTATGCTTCTCTTTCCCCTCTCCTGCTCCTCTGCCTCTTCCTCTTCTCTTCACCCCATTCCTTTTCTCTTTTCCTACTTAGGCAGTTTCTTAGAAGTCAAATAGAAATGGAATACAGGATACCTGATGCTGAAATTTAGTAGGATCCCGGCTGCTCACAGGGACCACACTCCCATACACATGCAGCTCTCGTACTATGGAGACACCTCCACCCAATTCGAAACGGAAAGTTTCTTCTGAACACTTGCGTAATCGTAGGAGGCCAATCAAAATGTCTTGATCTGGGTCTTCGTATGACAAGAATGTTTCCCAGCCACCATTTGCAACATAATCTCTCCTTACCAATTCAACCTATTTAGTAAAAAGCCACAAAAAATATTATTCAAAATTAAAGAACCAAATTCATTTTTGTAATTGTATGTATTTATTTAGGTTAATATCTAGTTAGGGATAAGGAATGAATAATCACTAATTATGTTTCTTTTTACTTGTCTACTCTCAAATAGCACCAAGATTAAAGTTCACACCTTGTTCATGGACTATTATAAAAGGAAAATAACTGTATAATTTCACAAATACTTGAACTTCATTAACCTTGAGACTCTTACAGAGATCCAGCTCAGTAAAGGCTTCCATGCATTTGACTCCCCATGAAGAGTCTCTTAATGTAAAATTTCAAAATCACGTCTCATGCGTAGCTCTCAGGAGCACCCCTTTGTCTCAAAACTGTCAGGTGTTCAATGGTTTGGGTTTCATCTTCTAGTCCTTATCGCCTCCACTGAAACCTATCTTTGGGGAAGAAAAATGTGATGCTGGTCACCTGCACCTTGACGAAATTTCAAGGAAGTGTGGCCTCCCACAGGGCACTTAAATATTATGCATAATTATGGGATAAAAATGTTAGAGAAAGTTCAGTCATGGAGGGTAGCTTCTGGGGGGAAGCTTTGTGGTAGCAGTCTGCACAGGCTTTTGGCTCTTCAGCTCATTGTACAAATGGCTCTTGTACTTTTCTTAAATAGAAGCCATATGTAACAATATTGCACGCACAGAGAAAAGTATACATATGGACATGGCCACACGCAGAAACACTCGGTAGATGGGGAGATGGTACCCAGAGCAAGGTGAACAATTCAGACTAACACATATTCCTTCTCAACAATGTTTGCTAAATAACTGAACAGCACAAGAATCTGGCAAATTGTGTTGGGTCTACTTTTTCTCTCAAAAGGTCCTAAATGTGAAAAATGTCAATTAACTGATTCATGCTGAGAACAGAAATATCAATGCAGAGATCATCTATTCCAGCCTTTCTCAAATGGGGTTCCACAAGAGAATCAAATCCTACAGAAAATCTGGCATACAGCTAGACATTATAAGAGTATAAGAGAAAAGTTAATTCATTACATACCATGAATGCCTTAAGGCATTATGCTTAATTTTTGTGGAGCCTGTGGGTAAGGGCTGATCTATTCATTTGCTTATCACCATTGGGCCAACAGCTGAATAGTTACACATAAAGAGAGAAGCAGATCATACTATGCTCTTCCCAAATGTAGCTCGTAGTCACAGGGGACTATTTACAATTGAATTTATTTTAAATTAAAAATTTAGTTCCTCATTTGTACAAGCCATATTGCAAGTGCTCAACAGTCACCACCATATTGGATATTGGATAGCTCAGATCACAGAACATTTCCAACACTGCAGAAAGTTCCACTGGACAGTGCTAATCTAGAATGAGGTTCAGACTTCGTTTTCCTAACCTGGCTCTTCTAGAATTCTTGTATTTGGCTTTCACGGTTTGACACCGGTATCTAATCCTCGATTAGTCTCTGCTCTTAGTTATTCACTCCTGGGGCTCTGTCCTTGGTTAAGAATATGTGGGCCCAGGGTTGGCAAAGATCTAAGGACAGTACCTAGGCCCTCTATGACATGAAGAGACTAACCTGGTATGGCCGTACTTTGTGATGAATTTCTTGGATTCCAACTTCTCTGGTTCTCACATCTCGACACTGTCAAAAAAAAATGGCGTGAGCGGGGTTGGGGGGTGGGAGGGGTACAAATATAAAACTGGTAACCAATTCAATCTTTATTTTTATTTAAACCTCTCCACCAAACCCTGGGCTCAAAATTAAGTTTGCATATAACTTGCAGTGAGATAAAAGAGCTGAATTTCAAAATAAAACCACCTTTAATGAATCTGAGGATGGGGAAACCAGAGTAGGAATGTATGAAGTAGTACAGTAGTGCTTTTAAAATAAATTTAGAATTCGAAAAAGATCAATATATAATATAATCTTAGCAGTAAAGAATGTAAGTCATAAAAGTAAGAAACAGGTTTGCCTAGGGGATATAACTATCTGAAAGTACAATCCAGAAGTATGTATATAAAGAGTAAAAAGTAAATTCCTAAATGTTTAAAACCTCCATTTTACGGCAGTTAACATTTTTAGCATCCCCATATTTGTATCATTTTAGGAATATCCAAAAATTACATGTTGAAGATGGCTTTTTTTTTTTTTTTTTTTTGCAAGAAGGGCACTGTGGAAGAAAGGAAAGGAGGAAGGAAGGAAGGAAGGAAAGAAGGAAGGAAGGAAGAGAGGGAGGGAGGGAGGAGGAACCTAGAGCTATGTATTACATACTTTGAAGCACAATCACAAATGGCTCTTGAATATCTGAGAAGGCATGGAGCTGCCTGCAGACAATGCCAATGCAATGTCTGGTCTGCATGGCCAAGCATCTGTGATGTGGCTCTCACTTCTATTCCACAACCCACAGTGCATGCTATGCTACCAGACATTTACAATTACACAATCCTTTTCATTATTATAAATCATTGTAATTATTCAATTATATATCTTATGGTATATTTCCCCCCCATAGAACAAACCATAAACATTTTCTTCCAGTAAGAAAAGATCACTGTGGGAAATTTGATGATGTCACATAAGCTTTTCTAGTAATAGTATTTTTATGAAGGACTGCTATATATGTACAGAATTCCAAGAGAAAAATAAGAGCTCATTATTCAGTTGTAGAAAACTAAAGCTACTTCCACACCCCAGGAACTAGCTCAAGACAATGCTTTGCTGATGTAGAGTCCATGAATTCCAGTAAACAAAAACTGTACAGCAGACGAAGATGATCAATCTCTGTAATTATTAATCTACTTAATGTAGCTGCTGTCCTTTCACTACAATAGTTCTATATAGTAGCTAGCATGGGAATGTATTACTGTTCCATGTTCTTAATGAACATCTGCATGCTGTTTCTGTTTTTTTTTTTTTTTTGGCATGCTTTTTTTAAAGGCAGAGATTGGTGTGTGCTTATTTTCTGCTCAAGATGTTGCCTATAGGAACTAGATATATTTTGGCTATGACTGAATTCCAGCCTTTGGACTCAATCCCAGCTTACTTTAATAGAGGCTAACAAGGCTTATGAGGGGTGAGGGTTAAAGAAGATGGATGGATAACGAGATTGTTGGGATAACCAGGCCAGGTCAGTCACCTTGGCCTTCTTGAAGGTCAGTGGCCTTCTTGGAGGCGAGAGGAGATGGAGAACACAAACAGCTGGAGCCTTGGAGGCAAAGCAGGCACACAATCTTGTTTGGTGTCCTTTGCTATTTTTCTGGAACATAAAATTGTTCACTTTTTTTTTGGTAGAATATGCCAATAATATTCACAAACTCTCCCCTGAACAATCTTCTGAAACATTTTCTCCCTAATAATTTGAGTGAGAGAATAAAATGTCTTAGGTTAAGTCCACAAACACCATATGCAATCCTTGGAACCATGTCTTTCAAAGTGTGGCCCAAATCTGAATTGTGCATGAGAACCATGTACCTAGTGCTGGATAACAAACAGATAGGTCCCATCCCAATCTACTGATCCAGAATCTATGAAGGCAGAGCCCAGGAGTCGGCCCTTGGTCTCAACACCACTCCTGGTTTATCCCTTTAGCAGCTCTAAGAAGTTCCTGAGCACTGGAGTTTTAAACCTTCCTATGACTTAAGAATTTCCCACAGAGACTGTTAAGTTGCAGGTTCTTGGGCTCTTTGTATATCCTGGGCCAGCACAGAGGAGATGTTTAGTAAATATCTGTGAGCGAAGAAGGGACTTCAATGGCCAGAGGGATAGGAGACTGGTATATGTGGGGCAATAGCAGTTTTGGCAATTATTTCATGCACATAATACTTGTCTTTTCAAATGATTATACTTTCCTTTCAGGATTCACGTCTCCTTTTCCTTCAGTCAATAACTGAATACCTAATACTTCAAAAGAAAAACTGTTTTTAAAAACTGGAGTGGGGCACACAGTTGGCAATCTGAGCAGGCAGAAGAAAGCAGAAGGGAATGAAGGAAAAGGAGGCAGCCCCTGCACCACTGGCTTCAGCTCCGACACAGTTCAGTGACTATGCTTTCAACATCTGGGAGCTTTCTGACCTGACCCGCAAGTCTGGTTTTAGGGGTGGTAGTGGCAAAGTCTTTCGTGTTTCAGATTTCTCTTTTTCTCAACAGTTGTGGCCTGACCGCCATATTTGCTCTTACCTGTATTCCGAGGTCTTTCATTCTTGCAAGTGCCAGCTCTCTCAGGTTACCATGCTCTACTCCTGAGCTAACTAAAGGCATTGGAATATCCCTGTACACAGGAGAAAAACATAAGCTGTTGCAAAATAGAAATCATTCTCCACAGCAGTAAGGCAAGGATATTAAAAAAGTTAAAAAGAACAAAAATAAAAAAGCAAAAAACCTATGAAGCTGACCAGGAAATCAGAGGCAAAGCCTCCTAACAAGGAGCTTCTCTATGCCTCAGCTTTCTCATCAAGGAAATTATGATTTCCCCTGACCTTCAGGGTTTCTGTGAAAGGCACCTGATGGAAATCACTTTATAAAATTACAGAGTGCTAAGCAAATGACTGAATGCCCAATAACCATTTGTAAAGATTTTTTGAGTAAAGAGACATTTGTACCAAATAAATCAAGAAATAAATTTTTTCCTTTACAAAATCTGTTCAACAATGTAGCTTACATTTTCCCACACAGCTGCTGAATGACAAGTAACTGGGATGCTCAAACGCCTGCCTTAGCCAACAACTGGTCTCAAAGATTAAATCTTTTTTCCTTGTTTCTCAAAAATCTAAGTTAAAAGTGACTGTGCATTAGAGGAATAACAGCTTGCCTAAAGACAGGAGGAAATAAAATTTATTTCCTGGCATTAATACAGCATAAAGTGCCAGGCATCAAGGAAACTTCCATCAAGAGCTGAAGTTATGAGTTCCATTTTAGTTGCTCCAACACTCTCCTCTAGACAAAAATCAGTATCTAAAGATAAAATAGTTAACAAAATCTGAAGTAAAAATATGCTCGGCACATCTGCTTCCTGTTCAAAGACAAGTCTCTAATTTGTTTTGTCTCCTATGTGGTTGATCAGAGGAAAGATGTGGAGAATATGCCAATTATCTTTTCTTCTCATTTTGCTTTTGAATCAACTTGAGTCTTTTCCTCCTCTTTTCACTTATCCCTTCAAATGTTAAATACAATTAGCTACTTCATCCATTTGATTTTAATAAGATATTCCTCCAGCAAAAGTATCAAAAGCCAATCGATTAGCTTTAAAAGCTATACAAGTAAGTCTGTTAGGCTCTGGAAGCCAGGAGAGTTGCCATACAAACTCTATAAATCAAAGATAAGTCAAAATTCTTTAAGGCAAAGACACATTGGAGCTTTCAAACTGAGAGTGACATAAAATGTATATATTAGAGTGACCAGAGTTAGCATATATGGCTTACTTAACAGTTATCAGTAAAATAAATTTCTATCTTTGGAACTATAATTTTCTTAAAATCAAATACATTTTAAAATTAGTAATCAGATGACGCTAAATGAAGGCTACTAAAGTAAAAAATATGGTTAATTTTGGCAAGGAACATATGTATATTTTTAAAATTTTACTGTTTCAGATTGTACAAGCCAAAGTCTTCTAAATGCCCTTTTTTACCCTGAAATAATTTATAAAGAACTCACAAATATATAAATTATTAAATATGTGGCTATACATCATATAGATTAAATATATGGCTATACATCTCATATATACACATATAAGAAATATATAAAACTTAAAATTTAAAACATCATACACAGCACAAAATTAATCTGATAAAGTCAGTGGCAACCAGTGTTAGCGCCCATTACATGACAAATACATTTAATTCTTGTTATTCATGATAGTTGTGCTGTTGTGAATACTGAATTAGTGAATACTAAAGCATTGTCCACAGGGGATATACAGGGTTAGGTTCCTGTGAGCCCCTAAAACATCTTCAACTGATCAATGCATAACCTTGTTTGATGCATGTTTCTGTTTAAAGGCACCTTATTTAACATATAGCTGATTCATTAACATTGAACTCATGGCCACAGCACTATAACTCATGGACAGCACTATAACTCAAGGACAGCGCTATAACTCAAAGCAGCTTACCTAACACATGTAATTTCTCTAAGGCACACAACAGCCTTCTTGCATTTAGGAACATGAGATAGCATCTCAGGACTACACTTGGGGCAGTGCTCCTCTCTGTATCCTTAGTTAATTAAGAAGAAAATGAATGAAGAGGTGCGGAATACCATGGATGGCTGGACATAGGAAGAGAGCAGAGGCCTAAAGGTAGGGCCTCTGTGGGTTGAAGGATGACTGTATGTAGGAAACTGGTCACTGAGAAGTTAATTACCCAATGCACCAAAAACCAATTAAAAAATCTCAAACCCTTAAAAGAGGCATCAATTAAACTCTCATCAGCTCTGTTACCATAGGTAGAAAACACGGTTTTTAAGAGTCTCCTTTGTAGAATGGACTCAGAGGAGATAATCCAGGACAACGATGTGTAAGAGACTCGCCCACGGAGCCTACCCAGCCCACAGAAGGGGCTGCAGAACCCATCTCTCAACCAACAGGACAACTTCCCTCCATTAGCTCCCCAGTCATAAATGATGCTCTGTTGTCCTGCTCTTATCCTATTGCCCCTTCCCTACATCCAAATTAAACTTCCTCCCTACCTATGACGAAACTGATTTACTTATTAATTCATATGCACAACTTCATGCTTGCTCTTTTCACTGGCACACAGAATTCAAAGAACTGTTCTAATTTCTAAACAGCATACTTTGAAACTTGATAGGGACAAATGTGGACAGGTATTAAACACATGGAATTCACTAATCTGATAAGTGGCAAAGGTAAAACATTAACTAAAAATTCATCTAGACAGACTGATAATTTACAATCATAAAAAGCTGAGGCACTTTGGAGCCTTAATTTGACATTAGGGAAGAATATTAGGCCCTTCTTTGGTACTTTAAGTTCTCTGCTGGCAAATGACAATTTGGCTAGGCAGACCCTGAGTCTGCCTCATTATGGAAACTACTAAAGCTTGCAAATGACATGTAAACCCCACAAGGATTTTCTAGGATATGACATCTGGTAAAACACCATAGTCAGAGCTACCTGGATGTTCAGTAATGGTTTCAAAGGTAGGATGTAGGACCTACACATTAAAAATCATTTATGGTACCAAGACAATTCTATGAGAAAATAATAGTCTTTTCAACAAATAGGCAAAAGAATGAAACTGGACCCCTACCTCATACCATATACGAAATTTACTCAAAATGGATCATAGACCTAAATGCAGTAAGAGCTAAAACTACACAACTGTTAGAATAAAACACAGAAGTAAACTTCATGCTGCTGAGCACATTTATTTTTTTGTTTTGAGATGGAGTCTCGCTCTGTCACCCAGGCTGGAGTGCAGTGGCATGATCTCAGCTCACTGCAACCTTCGCCTCCCAGGTTCAAGCGATTCTCCTGCCTCAGCCTCCTGAGTAGCTGGGATTACAGGTGCCTGCCACCACACCCGGCTAATTTTTGTATTTTTAGTAGAGATAGGGTTTTGCCATGTTGGCCAGGCTGGTCTTGAACTCCTGACCTCAGGTGATCCACCTGCCTCGGCCTCCCAAAGTGCTGGGATTACAGGCATGAGCCACTGTGCCCAGCCACTGCCGAGCTTCTTATACATGACGCCAAAGCACAAGTGACAAAGGAAAAAGACTACATCAAAATTAAAGACGTCTGTGCTGCAAATCATACCAATAAAAAAGTGAAAAAAATAACTCACAGAATGAGAGAAAATATATGTAAATCATGTATCTGATAAGGGACTTATATCTAGCATATATAATGAACTCTTACAACTCAACAACAAAAAGACAACCCAAGTGAAAAACAGGCAGAGAAGGGACTTCCAGTTTCTGGTTCTGCATTTAAGGAGCTTGTAAGTTGCTACTCTACTTGAACAAATAGAAGGTCAACACTCTGAAAAGTCACAACTCTTCTGGACCTATAAGAGGGGAAGACACAAGGTAAACTACTGCCCCGGGGCTGGAGAGACAGAGAGGCAAATAGAGGGAGTTGTGGCTTCCCAGAACAGAGACCAGAGACTCCTAGTGGAAGTCGTGGCTTAACAGAGCAGAGACTCCTGAGTGGAAACTGCTGTGAGAAACCAACACTAAGGTAAGAAAACCTGAATTCTAACCGATGAACTGCTGGAGGCTCAGACAAGTCTGAGAGTTAAACACTCCGGATGGGCCAACTCCTACAATATTGTGAGATTTACCTCCAGTAACCTGGCCAGATCCTCACATTAAATATCAGAGAAATAAACCCTTCTGCTTCTGGCTGGGAGAGGGGAAAAGAAACCATTTTGAAACATGACCTAGCACTGCTTTTCTTAATTAAGGCCTTCCTGCAGGAGAAACTAGTTAACCAGAGCCTAACTGACCTGGGGGAAGGAAATATCCAACTCCTGCCCACTCTAGTCATCCTGTCCCATCTAAGGGCGTAGGAAAAACTGAGAAACCCTTGTGATGTTCACAGTCCAGGGGCATAGGCTCACTGAAAGACTAAGACCTAATCACAGGACTAGCGAACACTTCTCCCCCATCATCTTACCATCGGGTTACTATAAGCCTATTTACAGCAATTCCTTTTACCTAGAACATTATATGTCCGACTATGAAGAAAAAATTAGAAGGCATACCAAAAGGCAAAAGATACAACTTGAAGAGACAGAGCAAGAATAAGGAACAGACATGGCAGGGATGTTGGAATCATCAGACCAGGAAGTTAAAACAACTATAATTAACACGCTGAAGGCTCTGACGGAAAAGGTAGCTAGAATTTAAGGACAGAGGGGAATGTAAGCAGAAAGATGGAAATCTGAAGAAACACTAAAAAGAAATGCTAGAGATCAAAAAATCACCGAAACAGAAATAAAGAATGCCTGTGATGGGCTTATTAGTAGACAGACATGGCTGAGAAAAGAATCTCTAGGCTTGAGATATTATCAAGAGAAACTCTGAAAATGGAAAAGCAAAGACAACAAAGACTGAAAGAAATAGAACAGAATTTCCAAGAACTGTGGGACAATTACAAAATGTGTCACACAGGCCGAGTACGGTGGCTCACACCTATAATCTCAGCACTCTGGAAGGCCGAGGCAGGAAGATCACTTGAGCCCAGAAGTTTGAGACCAGCCTAGACAACATAATGAGACCACATCCCCACAAAAAACGGAGGCACATGCCTGTAGTCCCGATTATTTGGGAGGCTGAGGTGGGAGAATGGCTTGGGTAAGAGTGAGACCCTGTCTCTAAAATAAATAAAAGGTGTAACATGTGTAATAAGAACACCAGAAAGAGAAGAAACAAAATAATATAAGAAATATTTGAAACAAGTGACTGAGAAATTCCCAGAATTAATATCAGACACCAAACCACAGATCCAGGAAGCTCAGAGAATACCAAACAGGATAAATGCCCCCAAAACCTACATGTAGGCATTTCATTTTCAAACTACAGAAAATAAAAAGATAAAGAACATTCCTGAAAGAAGCTGGGGAGGGGGGGAAACACCTTACGTATAGAGAAAAATAAAAATTATATCCAACTTCCCCTAAGAAACCATGCAAGCAAGAAGAGAGTACAGTGAAGTATTTAAAGTGCTGATAGGAAAAAAAACACCCGCCACCAACCTAGAATTCTGAATCCTATGAAAGTATTCTTTCAAAGGATAATAAAGGAGAGAAAAAGGCTTTCTCAGACAAAAATTCAGGGAATTTGTTGCTAATAGATCTGCCTTGCAAGAAACGTTAAAAGAAATTCTTTAGAGAGAAGGAAAATGATATGGGTCAGAAACTCAGACCTACATAAAGAGAAATGTTGAACAAAAACAAGGGTAAAATAAAACCTTTCCTTTTTCTTATTTTAAAATGATCTAACAGAGTTTGTTCAATAGCAACAATGTATTCAATTATGTATGCTGCTATAGATAGCTTATGTGTGTGTATATACATACATATATACAAATGCTTACTTATGCATGTATTTAAGTGAAATGAATGACAGCAATGACACACAGGACAGGAGGGAGGAATTAGGATTATTTTGTTATTATAAAGGTATCACATTACCTGTGAAGTGAAGTGGTATAGTGTTATTTGAAAGTGAATTCAGATTAGTAGTAAATGCACATTGCAAATTCTAGGGCAACCACTGGAAAGAAAAAGTAAAAAAAGAAGAATAACTGATATGCTAAGAAAGGAGAGAAAATGGAATAATACATAATGCTTAATTAAAACCACAAAGGGCAGAAAAAGAATGGAAGACAAAAATAGAAACAAAGAACGAGGGCAGCAAAAGCAGTGCTTAGAGGAAAATTTATAGCACTGAATGCCTATATTAGAAGAATAATCTAAAATAAAAAATCTAAATTTCCATCTTAGGAAACTATGAGTAAATTAAATCCAAAGTAAGCAGGAGAACATAAATAATAAGAATTAGAGTGGAAATTGAAATTGAAACAGGAAATCAACGGAGAAACAAATCAATGAAACCAAAAACTGGTTCTTTGAAGAGACCAATCAAAAGCTGATTAGCCTCTAGCCAAGCTAACAAAAAGGAGAGGATGGAAACGCTTAGTATCAGAAGTGAAAGAGGAGACATCACTACGGAGCCCACGAACATTAAAAGGATAACAATGGAAAACTATGAACAACTCTATGCCCACAAATTTGATAACCTAGATGAAATGGACAAAGTCCCTGAAAGATACAATCTGCCAAAACTCACAAGAAGAAATACTCAATCTGAATAAGACTCTATCACTGGTGAATTCTACCAAACATTTAAGCAAGACTATGCCAATTCTCTACAATCTCTTTCAGAGGACAGAAGCAGAGGGAATACTTCTTAGTAGTTCTTAACTCATTCTGTGAGGCCAGCATCCTTAATACCAAAACCAGACAAAGAACTTACAAGAAAACTACTGTCTGAGTCTGTTCGAGCTGCTCTAACAAAATACCATGAACTGTTTAGATTATGAACAACAGGAATTTATTTCTTCCAGTTCTGGTGGCCAAGATTAAGGTACTTGCATATTCAGTGCCTGGTGAGGGCCCACTTTCTCACAGATGGTGCCTTCTTGCTGTGTCTCATATGATGGAAGGAATGAGGCAGTTCTCTGGGGCCTCTTATATTGAGTAACTAACCCCATTCATGAGGGCTCTGCCTTATTAACCTAATCACATCCCAAAAGGTCCCACCTCCTGATGGTATGGATTTCAACACATGAATTTTTATTTTTTTGTGGGTGAGGAACATTCAGATCACAGCAACTACAGACCAACATCTCTCATGAACATAGATGCAAAAATCCTCAACAAAATATTAGCAAATGAAATCCAATGTATCAAATGCATAAAAAGAATATGTTGAAACCAAGTGCGATTTATCATAATTTATCAAAACAATGAGCTAAAGTAGAAAATCTCACAATATTAGTCGATACAGAAAGTGCATTTGACAAAATCCAACACCCATTCATGATAAAAGCTCTCAGTAAACTAGGAATAAAGGGGAACTTCCTCAACTTGATAAAGAGTATCTAAAAATGCCTATCGCTAACACCATACTTAATGGTATCCAGTTAGAAAGTCTTTATTCTCACTGGATGTGTCTAGTGTTTCCTCATGACCAGAGGCCATGAATTCTTGGCAGGAATACCACAGAAATGATGCCCTGTCTCAGTGAATAATATAGGCATGCTATATTGACCTGTTTCATCACAGGATGCCCTGGTCAAGACTGCGTCTGCCGGCTATCTACACCATGGTCACCATTTCCCCCTTTACATCTGAGTAATATTTTATGGGAAGAAATGTCAATATCATGACAACACCCTGTTCCTCATCAAACCTACAACTACTAGTCTCATATTGACTGATGACTCCTGTGTCTATCACCTAATGCTATTGTAGTATTACACCAATGTAGTGTAGTACTGTAGTATTACACCAATGTAAATGCTATTAGTAGTAGCATTTACTACTAATCTAATGGTTGCCAAATAGTTACTATTTCTACCATCCCTTCTATATTTACTAGTTGACCTTGTATGTAAGGAAGACTTTTCCCTTCTTTCCTATTTATCTATTCATTTATGTATATCAGTACAAACTTATGGATTCCTATTTTATACAAGTTTTTAACTAATATTAACATTATTTATTTTGTTGCTGACATTAGATTTTTGCCAGTGGGTATGCATTCAGGCTGGTTTCTGGGTCCTTCTGACATGACCTGTCATTCTTTGATTATTTACTTACTCTCTGGAAAGACAAGATGTTCTGTGTTCATCCTGTATGTTTGCTGCCCAGCCCTGGAAATGGCCATTTTTCTAAGCACTGATTTCTTTTAGTGGAGAGTGGCTTTAGAAACTATAATCTTGGAACTCACTGTGTTTATTACTGCTGGGTGTCATTGCCTCTAGAACCTCTCAGTACATACTACTAAGAAATATATGCATGCATACACACATACACACACAGAGAGAGACATATATTTATATATATAAACATACACGCTATAACTATTTCTATATATAAATTTTTAAACCCGTAAGTTCATACTGATAATTCCAATACTAACATGGTACGTTGGTGTTCTTTTCAGCTTTCACCTTTTAAATGTTTGTAAATCCCTTCAGGGAGTGAGAAAACTGGCTCTCCTTATCTTTAGGACATCTACTCATTTGCTAAATCAAATAACTTCTTTGCTCAATGTAACTAATCTCCCAACAACTGCAGTTGCCATCTCTGCACTCCCTCTCCTTACCTCTGCATCAGTCAGGTGCCAGGCACGCTGCTGGCCACGCTTCAGGTGCACTGTCTCCACAGGCAGTGGGAAGAGGGGATGGGAAGGTAAGGGGAGATGATCTCTACAAATATTTTTAATAACAAACTGGTACTTTCAAAAGACATTAAAATTTCAATAGACGTAAACTCTCTAGGGAAGGTTTTACATACAGTGTTGGTAAGCAGAACTGTATGATAAAAAGACCCAGGAGGCTGCTACAGAATCTGTGGGGCCCGGTGCAAAATGAGAACATGAGTCCTTGTGAAAAAAATTATTAATAATTTCAAGACGGTGACAGCAGAATATTAAGCCAAGTGCAAGACCCTATGAGACTGCATGGGTCACATATCCTTGAAGCTGGCCCTGATTACCAGAGAGCACAAGTCAGTGAGGACCTGGTAACAGAGGCATTCACATTGATGCTGACAATTCACAAATGTCCTCAAATTTACGTCTGCCACTATGAGAATGCAACATGGATTCAATGGTCTTTGGTAGTATCGTGCTGCGAGTATACCAGATGGAAGTTTTTCCTCATTAAGGAACAGAAATGTGGTAATTGCCAGTTTCAGTGACAAAGTCTTTTTCACTGAAAATGAAAAGAGATAATTCTATGTATGCTGAACATGTTCAATGGACAGAGTACTGCAGTAAGCAATCTGGACTATATAAGCAGGCATTGTTACAGTCTTCTAGGAGTTGAAAACCTAGATGAGATTACTGACTATCTGAGCTTGCTGCATTCATCTAGGTAGGAGTTAAAATTATTTTTACGTTTCTCCATTTGATTCAATCTAGTTCCACTTTCTTGGCCTGAAGATCGATTACATACAAGAACATTCACTGTTCTATTTCAACAGGTAACATTTCAAGCTTAGAGGTGCTGATATTTGCAATTTGCTCATCAGAAACCTTTCAAGTGATGTCTAGGCCTTTTTTTGTCTGCAGTTGCTCATACTTCAGAAACATGCTTGGGTTGTGAATTGGTATTCCTATTCTAATGTTTCATGATGATTTAAATATCACATCAGCAGACAGCTGTCAAATAGCCTGAGGGCAGCAACAGTTTAATATGGCTCCATCATGTGTCTGGACAGAATTTTACATTTAATCATTGACTGCACCCTTCAGGGCTGGAACACAGAATCTTCTATTAGGATGCTGCTTCATAAAAACACCCTGGAAGATGTTCCTAACTCAACTGTCATAAAACTAAAAAGTATAAATAGTCTTTTTAAAAAAAAGGTAATGGGTAGGGCAGGGTGGGGAAAATAACCAATTAAAAACATCAAGTAATCTATCAGTAAAATACAGTAAAATTTTAAAAGTGTGAAACATTGTGTTCTCACTCAAATTATCTTCCTTTCCTCCATTCTCCCTTCTGATACCTGCCTAAGTTTCTTCTTGGCCGGGCATGGTGGCTCACGCCTGTAATCCCAGCACTTTGGGTGGCCGAGGCAGGTGGATCACCTGAGGTCAGGAGTTCGAAACCAGCCTGGCCGACATGGCGAAACCCCGTCTCTACTAAAAGTATAAAAATTAGCTGGGCGCGGTGATGGGAGCCTGTAATCCCAGCTACTCAGGAGGATGAGGCAGGAGAATTGCTTGAACCTGTGAGGCGGAGGTTGCAGTGAGCTGAGATTGTGCCACTGCACTCCAGCCTAGGTGACAAGGGTTAGACTTCGTCTCAAAACAACAACAAAAAAAAGGTCCTTCTCCACATAAACCTTGTAAGTTCAGCTTCACCAGTCAACAGTGTGTTGCCTATAATTGGTGGAAGCTGCCACTAGGTGAACCTCCATGGAGGCTATGCAGATTTTCTAAAGGCACTGAACAGAAAGACACAAATGATTTTCCTTTACAATGATTTCAAACAAAAATAAATAAACTATAATTATTAAAAATCATCTGGACTAAATATCCTGGAAGGAGACTTTTCTCCTTTGCCAGTGGTTTCTTCCTAGCAAGACATAACTAATATCAAATTAAACAGAGTCAGGGTGCTTAACTGTAGTCTTAAGACTAACAGCAATTTTCTACAGTCTCAGAATTGCTCTAAAACTTTAAGGCTGAAGCTAGAAAAAAACATTGCTGAGTAAAATCCCCATGAGTCTCTCTTCCCAAATCAGAAAGCTTCTCAGCCACTTGATGCTGTATAAACACTCAGCCTTCTCATACACATTTGACTATAATGTTTAAGTTAGCAATTAACATTTTTCTGAGCACTTTTATTTCAAAATTTTACTATCTAGCTTTTGATACAGGTTTCTTTTTTATTTTATTTTTTTTTGAGATGGAGTCTCACTCTGTCACCAGGCTGAGTGCAGTGGCACGATCTCAGCTCACTGCAACCTCTGCCTCCCAGGTTCAAGCAATTCTACTGCCTCAGCCTCCCAAGTAGCTGGGATTATAGGTGCCCACCACCACACTCAGCTAATTTTTTTTGTATTTTTAGTAGAGACAGGGTTTTGCCATGTTGGCCAGGCTGGTCTTGAACTCCTGACCTCAGGTGATCTGCCCGCCTTGGCCTTCCAAACTGCTGGGAAAACAGGCGTGAGCCACCACGCCCAGCCTGATACAAGTTTCTTTCTAAAAGTCTAGACATTTTAGATAATGTCTGAATTCCAAAATTCTAGTTACCAAATTCTAGTTCTATCTGAATATAAATTTTGAAACACTTTGAAATGGAATTTCAGGGTTTTTGTTTTTGGAGACAGGGTCTTACTCTGTTGCCTAGGCTGGAGTGCAGTGGAGCAATTACATCTTATTGCAGCCTCAACCTCCCAGGCTCAAGTGATTCTCCCACCTCAGACTCCTGAGCAGCTGGGACTACAGGCATGTGCCACCTCATCTGGCTAATTTTTAAAATGTTTTTATTTATTGGTAGAGATGAGGTTTCACCGTGTTTCCCAGGCTGGTCTTGAACTCCTAGGCTCAAGCGATCTACCTGCCACGGCCTCCCGAAGTGCTGGGATTACACACGAGAGCCACTGTGCCTGGCCGAATTTAAGGTTTTTAAATAGAGATATGAAGCTGTTTTACTAGAAAACAGCTATCAGATTGTTATTATGTGCTAAGTGTCCTATACGAACATGAATGTGGCCTCTTGGTTCCCTAGTCTCCTATTCGTTTGGGTGAGAGGAAAGAATTCAAAATGAGGCAACATTTATGAACTTTTTCTGAGCTTTCTCAATAAAAAGACAATATTTATAATCCAAATTTCATGACTGGCAAATTAAATATAAACATACAACTGATGTAAGAAGAAACACAAATAATAATCAGTTACAAGGGAAACTAGGGAAATGCAAATTAATACCCTTAATTAAATAAAATAAAAATACTATAAAGCACCCAATTCTATAGAGGTTGTGATAAAACCAGTAAATGTTTACTTTAAACTGGTATAATCCCTTTGGAAAGCCATATCAATATTCATAGCAAAAACTGTAACATTTATTTATTTTCCCCTTGTTCCAGAAAGGATTTAAGAAGTATAATAATAATGAAAAGATGCTTAGACCCTTTACCATGCGTAATCCTTCTCCCAGATTATACTACTCTAAGAGATTACTTCAACAGCAGTAGAAAGTTCTATGAAGTTTAGCTGTAGTGGAGGCCAGGATAATTACATTTAAAAAAGGAAGAAGAAAGCAAAGAAACCTGGAAGCGACCTAAATTTCTAACAAGGCGAACAGTTTACTAAAAAAGACAAATTAAAATTGCAGAGTACTATGCTGCCATTAAGTTTATAACCATGAAGATTATTCTAAATCCTTAGGAAATGGAACATGAAAGTGCTAACAGCAAATTTGCTAGTGTATAAAATATACTGATACGTAAAGATGCACTCCAACTTTGTAAGGAAATTTTTGGAAAAATAATGTTAACTTGTTATTAATACATATATTGAAAGTGGTTTAGTAGTTTTACAGAGAAAACATTATTTTGCTCATGTAAATAGAATATTTTATGGCTAGAAATCAGGAAGAAACATAAGTTCTGGATAATTAGTAATATTCTACAGACTGTTGGGGGGGAGTATAAAATCACATGATCAAAAAAGAAGTGTATGAGATCATGGGAGTGGTGCTACACAGCAGAAACACAAGATGTAATACATTGACTAGAACGTGAAATCTCATAAGCTACCTCAGCACTGCATATGCCTAGTCTAAAATTTCAGTGATTTCAGTGGCTGTTAAGAATAAAAAGCAAGTTCCAATATAAAATAAATCTGAATCATTTTTCAATGTGGTATATACAAAGAAATGAGTAAAAAGGAAGTAGCAAAATATAATAAATATGAATGAGTTCTTACGCAGGCAGTCAGAGTAATAGTTTAGTAACACTCAATGCAAAACATAAAGTAACATAATGCATCTCAAGGAATTCTCCTCATGCTTACAAAAAAGTAAATGCTTTACTGAACCTCAGTCCACAGTAAGGTACGTTAAAAAAAAAATGAATTCTAACAGAAACGTGTGTGACAACAAATATCATAGTTAAAAGCACCAAAACTACATAAAAAATAAGAAAACAAAATGGAAAATACTATGAACATATTAGTCTTTGTACTAAAAAATCTAGCAAATGATCATATTCACAGTTAACTACATTATCAATCCTAAAGCATAAAAACCTGACATCACAGCTAGACTCTGGATGACTCTCTTCACCAATGGCCTTACTGTGTTAGGAACTGAGTCATCACTATCTTCAAAAAATAAACTGTCCTCAGACTCATCGAGGACATTACTAATTCCACATTTTGAAAGAGATTGCACCACTGCCTCTTGTTTTACAGTATTCCATTACATTTTAATCCACCCACCTATGTGTGAAGTAAGAGTGTCACTTCGAAATCTTAAGCCTACATCCACCTGTACCACTCCTCACTCACAAGCTCCATAAGTGATGTATTGATAGAGAAACATATGTGACAGTTGGGCCTCCTGAAATTAGAGCTTGTGGACTCTCCTATGGGCCAATTCTCCATAGGATAAGTGTAACGGGGTCATATCAGAAGAACTGAGAACAGCCAGGTTTCCTTAACAGGCCTCATATGTTGCTTATTAATAATGTCATGCCTTTCTTATCATATGACCTTTCGGTTGTATCATATAAGTGTTCTCCACTCTTCCTGTCATCACTCCTTTACATTTTTCCTATAGAGACTATTTCTGCTGCCCTTGTTTTCTTCAAGTCCTTATTTTCTCAGTTGTTGGTAGGCCAGGATAATGTCGCATAGTGGTATTTAAAAGTCTATAAAATTAAGCATTTAATAGTATAGCAATGTCTCTGCTGCTTTTGACTCACTGGTTACAGCAGAAAGAAATTTAAGCCGAAAACGAAGGGAGAAAATGCAAATTCTTCATCTGATTGCCTGTGGGATCCATGCCTTGTTACTTTCGGTATTTCTGGATGTGAAATTGCTAACTATTTTGTGCTATCTGTTGCCATGCTCTGCGGCTGAGAAGCTGCATCTTTACTGCTTTCTGGTTGCTTGAGTCAGTTATACATGCAAATCGTCTTTTTCTTTTGTCTCTGTGAATGCTATTTACTGCAGCTTTGTTGTCTAGTGTATTAGTTTAGATTTTGAAACAATCACAAAGTTACATAAAAAGTCCCAAGTGCAGTACAAATAATTATTTTCCTGAACTATTTGAAAGTTAATTTGCAAATAAGATGTCCCAACGCCCTGAGAATACTTTAAATATTTCCTACGAGGATATTCTCTTACATAACCACAAAAGAACCATCAAAATGAGGAAGTTAACATGGATGCTTCACTAGTGTCTAATCCTAGACCCCATTTGAGTTTCACCAGTGTCCCATTAAAGTCCTTTACAGCCAAAGGACCCAGTTCAGAACATTGTATTTAATTGTCATGTCTGTGTAGTCTCCTTCAAGTTAGAACTCTTTTCTTCATCCTGATACTTTTGAAGATTACGGGCCAGTTATGTTTTAGAATGTTTCTCAATTTTGTTTTGTCTAACGTCTCCTGACTATTGGATTCAGATCGTGAAGTTCTGGCTGAGTAACAGAGAAGTGATGCTACGTTCTCATACCCTCTATCAGGCAGCCTAGAATTGTGATTTGTCCTATTACTGATAATGTTCACTTTGATCAGCTGCCAGGTTTTCCCACTATTAGGTTATTCTCTTTCACTCTGCAATTGCTAAGTATGGTGGGGGAGATACTCTGCAACTATGTACAGTCGGTAGTTGGTTCTAGTTCTGTTAGCAGGCAATAAGTAGTTAACATTCTACACCGAGTGTCACCAACACACTTACACTGTATACTGAGTAATTGCTCTTAGGGAAAATACAAGGTTAGGTTCCCGTGAGGCCCTGGTCACAATATTTTTGTCGACTGTTTAATACATAACCTTGTTTTATGTGTGTTTCTGTTTAAACACACCTTATCTGATATATATTGTTGATTCATGAACACTGAACTCATGGCCAATGGCACATCACTCATGCCTGAACAAAGCTTACATAACATGTATTCTCTCCAGAAGGCACGTCACAGCCTTCCTGCACTCAGGAGCAATAGCCAGCACTTCAGTACTATGCTTGGGGGCCATACTAAATGGCGAATCCTCAAAAAACTGCACAAAACTTTGAAAAACATGGCATGAAACAGACTGCAAGAAGGACATTGGCTCCCAGTGTGAGCGCTGAAATGAGAAGGCAGAGCACCACCTGTTTGACCTCAGCTGGTGACAATGCTGGGCAACTCAAATTTTTCACTGCTAAGCATGCCCAAGAATGACTGTGAAAATGCCAGTATTGGATTTGAGTCACAAACGAATTTTAGTGAGTAGGAAAATTTGCAAATAAGGAATCTGAGAATGATGAAGACTGACTGCAAATATTATGTTTCTGAATCACACTTACAATTTATTAATTAGGAATATTGGTATAAACTAGTGGATTCCTATTTTATTCAGCTGGTTATAATCTGTTAATATCAATATTTATTTTGATGCTCAAATTGTCCCAGATTTGGCCAATGGGAGCCCTTTAAGCCAGATTCCCTTTTCTTCTTTGAATACTTCCTTACTTTCTGGCACAAGAGGTTCCTTTTAGTAATGGAGAGCATTTAGAGACCAAGATCTAGAAACCAGCTGTGCTCACTGGAAACTAAGTACACTGATTGCTATAAAACACACACACACACACACACACACACACACACACACACACAAAATATGTACAGTTGTCCCTCGGTATCCAAAGGGGATTGGTTCTAGGACTCCCAAAGACACCAAAATCCATGGATGCTCAAGTCCCTCATATAAAATGGTGTAGTATTTGCATATAACCTATGCACATCCTCCTGTATACTTTAAATCACCTCTAGATTACTTTTTTTTGAGATGGAGTTTCACTTTTGTCACCCAGGTTGGAATGCAATGGCATGATCTCTGCTCACTGCAACCTCCGCCTCCCAGGTTCAAGTGATTCTCCTGCCTCAGCCTCCTGAGTAGCTGGGATTACAGGCACCTGCCACCACGTCTGGCCATTTTTTGTATTTTTAGTAGAGACAGGGTTTCACCATGTTGGCCAGGCTGGTCTCGAACTCCTGACCTCAGGTAATCCGCCCACTTCGGCCTCCCAAAATGCTGGGATTGCAGGCGTGAGCCACCACGCCTGGCCTCTAGATTATTTATTGATATCTAATACACTGTAAGTACTATAACTAGTTGTTATACTGTATTGTTTAGGGAGTAATGACAAGAAAAAAAAATCTATACATGTTCAGTACAGATGCAATAACCACCCACTGTTTTTTCTGAATATTTTCCATCTGCAGTTGGTTGAATTTGTAGAATGCAGAATCCGAAGATATGAAGGGCCACCTGTGTTGTTATTCATTACATTTACACTTATTTCTACATGTACCTATATGTTGGAAACCATGAGTTCACACCACTATCTCCTGTTCCAAAACACCACAGTGCTCACACTAATTTTCTCCTTTTTCAACTTTTGTAATTGACTTCTAAGATAACAAAAAAAACCTAGCACCCAGTATCCTTAATATATCTGCTGATTAGATCAACTCCCTGTAAGTAACTGGTCTTTTCTTGCTGTCTCCTCTTCTGCATATACCCCCAACCCACCCCTAGAGGACGTACAGCTCTGACATCCTGTACCAGATCTGCCCTTGGTGGGAATGAATGCCCTTTTCGCCACATTCTGACTTCATCAGCCTGCACCACGCCTCTGCCTCCTGCATGTGAATGAGTGACCTTCTCACCCTGCTCTGGACCCTGTGGCTCCCTGCCTCCTGCATGTGGATACCTACACTGCTCCGCACCACCTAATGTCCTTTGGACTGAATTGCTTCAGAAGGGTTGAACAACAAGGGGAAGGGCCACACAAGCAATTTCAACAGTTGATTTTTCTATTAAAATCTCCTTAGTATTCTTAGGTGTATTTTTAAAAATAGAGACCATATAGGCAATTCAGATCCTGCAGTTTGGCCAATGATTTTAAAACTGAGAAATCAGTATGCAGCAGAAGTATCATGTAAATGTCCTTTGACCTTCAAGCAAGTCAGTTACTTTATATCCTTCATAATTCTCCTTAAGTAGTTAATTCGGCTTGTTTTCAGTGTTCATTGCTTTACATGATCAGTCACACAGTTTCTGTGCTCAGTGGAGTCCTGCTCTAGCAGCTGATTGTAATGCATTTGCAGTCTCCTTCTGGCCTTGCATTTGTAATATTGGAACCTGGGTAGTTTTTGGCAGGGTGGTGGGAATGTGTGTGTGGGAATTGGCTTTGTTAGGATTGTAGGTATACGGGTAACTTTATGGCTTCTAAAATTTTTCTGTGATGTTATGTTTCCAGTATATATGTATGTATGTATGTAAGTATAAATAGGTAGATAAGGTTCCTGATTGTAAATGAGATCTTACTTTCTCTTTTCTAGGAAGAAAGCAGTTCAGATTATTTTGTTTTCTTCAAGCCATCAGAAATATGTCACCTTTCCTCCACATTTACATTAATATCTGTAAAGAGTGATTGTTGCTACTTTTTCTTTCAGAGGCTCTAGAACAGAGATTGCACACACGGCCACACTTCTTATGCTCATACCCATTACTGCATCTAGATGGAAGCAGACCTGGAAGAGGAAACACTGAACTAGACCATAAGCTGCTCGGAAGCAAGCACCATGCCTATTGACCGTCATGGCTCTGTCTCCAGGCTCATGAATGAATGGGTAGATAAATAAATACGTTATTGGCAAAGTGGCTTAGACATGCTATGATTTCCATCCCTCCCTATTTACAGATAGCATTCCAGTTATCTTATTTCCATTAAGAAAAATCCAAAACCCTCAATATGAAATCAGACTATTTCCATGAGAAATAGTAAACAGACTAGTCACCAACTATTTTAGGAATAAAAGATAACACACTACCTCTGTACTCGGTACACTCGAGTCCATGGAGGCACGAGGGCTAGGATCCGAGCCACCAATTCAACCAGGTCACTAGGAGAGTAACTCTTATATCTTCCTGATTTCCAAAGCTCATAAAGCCCGGTCCCACGAATCACCAGGGTAGGATAGAGTTTCAGCCCATCGGGACGAAAAGCAGGGTTCTCAAAAAACTCCTGTGAATAGAGAACAGAAAATGACTTCTCCATTAGTTATGCAGAGATCACCGAGGGTGAAATCTCAACCCCTGACAGCTTCTCTGGCACACCCAGTAGGCCCTGGGGCAGCCTTTGCTTCTGACCAGGTAGGGCGTACAGACAGAACAGAAACTCCTTGTTTCTGTAGTCTCACTGGGGCAAAGCAAGTGTGTGCTGGACTGCACTAGGCCCTCACCATTCCAGCTTGTCTCCTGCACAATCTCATCTCATGCCACCCCTCACCATCTGGCCTTTCCACTCCTGCAAAGGCAATTTCCTTTGCCTGGAAAGTTCATCAATTTTTCTTTATCTAGCTAATCTTCAGGTTTCAGTTTGAATGCCACTTCTTCAGAGAGGCCCCTCTGACTTTCAAATACTAGCTGTCCCACTTAAAAAAAATCCCACTGAACCCAGTATTACCTCTTTCTTATCATCACATGACAATCTATTCAATGTCTGCCTTCACCTCTAGAGTATACCTTTCTTTAATAATGGAATATACTTAATTGCTTACATTTCAAAAGTTGTGACAGAGATCATCTAGCTTACAAAATTTAAAATGTTTACTATAGGGCCCTTTAGAGGAAAAGTTTGCTGATCCCTGGATATGACTACTCTGTCCCTAAACCAACTGGCACCATTCCTATCCTGGGCTACACCTTGTCCATTTGTTATCTGGACACTGAGCAATAGATCTAACTCAACTACTTTTGGCAAGTCATTTCTTATACTACATCACCCCAGCTGGCTGCTTTCTTTCTTTATTTTGGGATGTAGCAATGAGACACCAGGCATTCTCCTTTCCATGACTTTGCACTGATAATTTGCTCTAATCTTGTTTTGCATAATATATTTTGGAGAAATGAAAGTGGACTCACAGTCCCCTCTCACTCCCACCTTGGTGGGAGTATCTACTCAGCTGGCAGGGCTCTATCTTGTAAACTGGAAAAATACTTTTTATCTTTGCCACATTAGTCTTCCAAAGCTCTTCATTGTTTAACTTGCTTTACAAAGAAATATAACAATAGACTTTTCCATCTCTCATTGACATCTGTCACGTTCTTAAATGCTGTATTCTTTATGTACTATTTAGTTTCAGAGATCTTCTTCTGTAATTGTGTGATTTTCCTGTAACATTTATATTTTAAAGAATCATCAGGTCTTTAATAAATATTCTGCAGCCATCCCACAAAGAGCACGTATGGAAGCCATTGTTCACCCAGTCTGAATCTACATTTGAACATGGGATTTAGAAAAGTATTTCTGGTGCTTGTATAATAAGTTTCGGAGACATACAGGCTGATACATTCCTTTGGAAAGAATGAAAATTGATTGGTTCTCAATTTTCAGTTACACTAGAGAATTTAAAAAAGTGTTTATTTTCTTTCCCTCCAAAACCACACTAAAGTAACAGGGGCCAGGCGCAGTGGCTCACACCTGTAATCCCAGCACGTTGGGAGGCCAAGGCAGGTGGATCACCTGAGGTCAGGAGTTCAAGACCAGCCTGGCTAACATGGTGAAACCCCATCTCTACTAAAAATACAAAAATTAGCTGGACGTGGTGGTGCGCGTCTGTAATCCCAGCTATTGAGGAGGCTGAGGCACGAGAATTGCTTGAACCCAGGAGGCGGAGGTTGCAGTGAGCCAAGATCGTGCCACTGCACTCCAGCCTGGGTGACAGAGCGAGACTCCATCTCAAGAAAAAAAAAAAAAAAAGGAACAGGAAAGAATTTTTTAAAAAGTATAAACCCAGAAGAACAAAGAGAACAAGAAAGGAGGCAAGAATGAGACCCAAGATGGCAACAAATTCTTCAAAGACAGAAACTAGGAAGGCTTGTGAATGACTTTGCAAGTAAAGAAAATAGCAAAAGGAGACAGTAACGAAAGGCCTGCTCAATCACACTGCAGAGTTCCAGAAAGGCTCACGGATCAGAGGTACCAAGAACTGGGCAGGATGGAGGAGAGACATGGAAATAAAAACAGGGGTACTGGATCAAGTGTGTACATAGAGGGAATTATCCGTTAACCCTTAGCCTTTCCCGAACAGGCAGATGAGAACATTTAGTCCCTGGAGAAACTGGAAAGCCTCTGCGCTCTGAGATTCCAGGTACAAAGGAAGGTCTAGATGAAGACCAAGGCTGAAAACAGGGAAAAGCCAGCACATAGACTGGTGGACTCTCCGCCCTACTCTCTGGATGTCAGCAACCAACTTCCTGAGATATACTCAGGCCACTCAGCCCAAAGCAGGAAGTTGGAGAGTTCATCTCTGGATGAATCAAATGGCTCTACGTAAGAGTTCACGATACTGACATTTAGGAATCCCATAAAGAAAGAAGCGCTTATTGCTAAAAGAACATTCTTCAGTGAAGCACGCCTGCAAGCTAGGCACACAGGCCTTGCCATCCGGCTTTTCAAACCCCTACTCTTAAAAGCATAAGGAATCGCTTTAGGCCAGGCGCAGTGGCTCACGCCTGTAATCCCAGCACTTTGGGAGGCAGAGGCGGGCGGATCACGAGGTCAGAAGTTCGAGACCAGCCTGGTCAACATGGTGAAACCCCGTCTCTACTAAAAATACAAAAAATTAGCCAGGTGTGGTGGTGGGCACCTGTAATCCCAGCTACTCAGAAGGCTGAGGCAGGAGAATTGCTTGAACCCGGGAGGCAGAGGTTGCAGTGAGCCAAGATCGTGCCATTGCACTCCAGCCTGAATGACAGTGCGAGACTCCGTCTCAAGGAAAAAAAAAAAAAGGCATAAGAAACTGGTTGAAGATCATCATAAACTTGGGGAAAGCCAAGTACATTAAGGGGCCAACCAAAACAAAAAGAAAACAAAAGGCACTTGGAGGAAACAGAGGCAATGCATACAGAAAAATAAAATGTATAAAAAAAATCTGTAATAAATTTCTTCAGAGAGATAAGAAAAGATAAATTATATCCACAATACAAGACCAAGGTGCTGTAGAAAACTGAGACCAAATGTAGTTTTAAATTTCGCTTTTTTGAAGATTAATTACTTTGAGAACTTTTTGATAGGTTTATTGGCTATTTGAATATTCTCTTTTGTGAAATGCTTGTTCAAGTTTTTTGCCCATTTTCCTACTGAGCTGTTTGCCTCTTATCAATTTCTAAAACTTATTTATTTTAAAACAATTTAATTTGTAGAGAATTCTTCTCTAGAAAGAACTCAGATTTTTCATTTTAGCTCCCTTCTGTTACTCTTTACTAGGATGCAGTTAGAAAAGAAATATGATCCACTCATATTCCCTGTGAGTTTCCCTGCAAAGACTACAAACAAGCAAATAAATCTGTTTACAAGAAAGGTTGTCCTTGCAATGTTATTACTGAACTATTCCTTATGTTGAAGACACCAAGGAAAATATGTACTGAGACTCAGCTATTTGCTATGGCTTCCTACAGTATGAAACATACTATATTTTTCAGGAGCACTTAAACTTTATGAGTTCTGGCTATCCTACTGGTCTCCCTAGGAGCTGTGCTAAAGAACAGTGTGTTTCACACTGGGACACAGGGTGGGGAACATCATACCCCGGGGCCTGTCGTGGGGTGGGGGGCAGGCGGAGGGACAGCATTAGGAGAAATACCTAATGTAAATGACAAGTTCATGGGTGCAGCCAACCAACGTGGCACATGTATACCTATGTAACAAACCTGCACGTTGTGCACACATACCCTAGAACTTAAAGTATAATAATAATAATAATAATCATGATAATAAAAAGTGTGTTTCAGGTGCCTTTTTGGCCTGGTGTCTGAGCACCTGGCTATTAGTTACTGAGGGGAGGATACTAGACTCACAGTCTATTACATATCCATTGTGGGGGAATTACGAAGAGGGATATCTGTGAATTAATGTTATCTCATAAACAGGTCCTCAGGTGCAGTTCACCAGCTTAAAAAATAATAAAAGTAAACTTCTTGAGAGGAAAGAATTATTAACTTCACAAATAAGACATGGTAAACTGCATTTTTCTAAACAGAGCAAATTAAAAGTACTTTTATAGATGAAATAACTTGATAAATATCGTCATCATCTTAAAACACACTTGCCCTATCGGAGAATCTGAAGAAAAACAAAAGGCCTGACCAATCTCATTTCCCACAACAAAGTTAACATGGATCAAGAAACTGTGAGAGTTAAAATAACAACAATAAAACAACCCAGAGTTAAAATTCAAAGAACAGAAAGGCAGTTCTAAGCTTAGAGGCATTTGAAGAAAAAAAAAAAAAAGGAAAAAAAAGATCGACTTAATGGAAGCACAAGTAAAAGGTCAACAATAGGTTAAGGAAAATATTTAAAACAAATATAAAAACCAATGAGTCCATAATCTCCTTACCTAAAAAATTCATATAAACTAATACTAAAAATATTCTTATCTCAATAGAATAATGAGTCAGAGGATAAAAACACACAATTCCAAAAAGATGAAAGAAATGTAATTAGTAAATACAAACTTGAAAAATGTATTATTACAATTTCAAAATGCAAGTTAAAATGGCACTTTTATTGATCAAACTAGCAAACAGTAAAATATATGTACATATGTGCATATGCATCTATAAGCATATATAGAAAATAAACAGGAGAGAATTATTTGGGAAGAAAAACTCTGCTGAAATGAGTATAAATTGTTATAACTCTCTGCAAAGCAACTTATTAATACAGTGAGATTCTTAAAATGTTTCTACCTTTACCTGATAATTCTACTCCATGGAATTTATCATAAACAGATAAACCTAAATACTAAAAAAAATTATACACATAAAGTCATTTACCTGCAGTGTTTTTTAAATAATATTAAAAAACCAGTATATCTTAAATTCTGAAAAACTTGCAAGGGTTTAAGCAAGGTATGACATATTAAATTAAAAAGACATTTAAATATGTTAACATGTTAACAGAGACCAGGCTACAACATGGATAAATGCTTGTTAAAATGTTAAGTGAAAAAACTATTACAATAATTTCCTATGTCATATATATTTGTATGTCTGTGTTATATTTGCATAAACAACCTCACCCCCCAAAAAACCTATGCATAGAAAAATCTTGGAAAGAATTCATTAAAATGTTAAGAGTTTTGTCTGATGGGGCTATGGGTGATGTCTCTTACCCTACTGTGTTTCTAATATTCTATAATAAGGATGCATTTCTTTAACACTGGAAAACATCAACAGTGAACAAGCAACAAGACCAGATGGGATAAGAAACATGCAGAGCCATTCTGAATGCGCCTGGCTGAAGTCACACTTACTGTGAACTGTTCAATGTCTCTTTCTAGTCCCACGTTTGGCAGGTCAGGCATCATATGGGCCACCACTTTAAAACCGGAATCTTTGGCCAGGTGAAATGACTCACACACTGCCTTCACAGTGTGGCCCCTAAGGAAAGAAAATCACTACCTGTGAAAATCACTACCTATTTGTGTAACATCTGTTACACAAATAAATGGGTGACAAAGTTAACACAAGGAACAAGGGGAAAACAATCTCTGAGACAGGTAACAGAAGTTCCATAACCAAAATCATATGGCTGGGGGAAAAGACATCTCAGAAAGTCATTTTTTACATCCCCACCTCTCAGGAGGCCTGGAAGTAAATAACTTTATTTCTGAGATATTTCTCAGAAATTCTCTTACACATCTACTTAAAGTCTTGAAAGTAAAGCATTGGGATGGCAAAAGTTAATGTGTATTAAAATTATTTGGTTTAGCATCACCAGTCAAAATAAGCTTATGAATGTAAATACCTGTATTAAAAATTAAAATGAGCTCAAAACCATGCAGAAGCAGCAAGCTGCTATGTTCTTTCCTTTAAAGATCTTGTGAAATTATTTGTAGACAGGGAGGAAGAGTGAAACCTATGATACAAAATAGATTTCACTGGTGGGTTTGGAGGATCCTTAAATAACAGTAGAAAGAGAGAATGACTTAGTGAGAAGGCAGAGTCATTTGGGGTCACGTGGATAAATCATCTTAACTTGGCATTCTAGAGCCAATCCAGCAGGAAACAAGTCCTAACAATAGTTTTGGGCAACTAAACTGAAGTCTTGTGGCTATCCTTCTGCCACGAAGGTGTTCCCATTCACGGCAGAAGGATCCTAGAAACCACAGACTCCATCTCACTCTCTCAGAATGCTCCCAACCATTTCCATGGCTTCAATTTCTAATGTCTTTTTGCTGATGACTTCCCAATTCCTAGGACAAGGCCAGGCCTCTCTCATGAATTCCAAACCCAAATAACCAATACTTTAAAGCAGCACTATTTAAAATGACAGCCACTAGGCACATGTGGTTATTAAAATTTATATTTAGAAGAATTAAAATGGAAAACTCAGTTGCAGGCACAGAACATTTTGATCACTGCTGAACTGTCTATTGCCTAGCCCTGCTCTAAAGCAAACCTTCACTTGGCTATTCTACAGGTATCTGAAACTTAGTGTAGCCAAATGAAACCCACATTCTCTCCAAGCCTCCTTGACTTCCCATTCTCTCTTATCCTCACTTCCAATCAGTCACCAATCACCACCATTCACTTCTTTCCAGGACATCAGTATTTCCTGCTTAATTTCTGTAACAGCCTCGTACCTGATCTCCCTTCCAACTTGCTCTTCTCTGACTGCCCCTTACACTGTAAGCGATCTTTCTAAGCTGCAGATATGCTCCATCACATTGTAGCTTTATGCGTGCTGGTGGCTTGCTCCATTAGATTCATGTCCAGCCTCCCTGGGCTGACTCCTCAGGCCCCTAATAATCAGCCCCTCTGCCTGCTTTTCAGCCTCACCTCTTATCACTCTCCTATTTCACATTCTAATCAAACTAAGCCACTCCAAATTCCTCAAATGTGCTATGGCACTCCCATCTCTAGGAGTTCATTATTTTCTTTCTGCCTCAATCTTCCTCTTCTGCACCTGACCAACTCAGACTCTTCCATGAAGTCCCAACTCAGATGTCGTATTCTTCAGAAAGCTCCCCCTTCCCCTCCATCTGCACAACTGTCTCTCTAGCACAGCCCTTGAAGGCTACAGCACTCCACAGTTTCCCTGGTTGAAGCCTTTTCCCACATAAGAGCATCCTATTCGGTTACTCTTTCTTAATTAAACATGATATCCATGAGATTCTTCCCCATGCTAAAAAATATTCAACAGATCTCTATTCCTTAAGGGAAAATTCCATCCTCCTCGGCCTGGCATTCCTCTTGGTTGTTTCTAAGATGCTGATCAGTGCTTGTTTCCCTAGTTCCCCTTTGCTTCCTTCTCCTGGCACAACACCAATCACACCTACCCAAATCCTACAGAATAAAGGGGCCTTTAACATCCAACTCAACACATCCTTCCTCCAAAGCCCACCGTTAGAATTCTCGGTCAATCATCTCAGCTGCCTAATAAACTCTCAATTGTCTCCCCTACTCCACTAATTTAGCAATTAACTGTGAAGTTCCTTATACAGTTAACCTTTCGCGGGTATTTTCTTTTCAACTAAAAGATATACTTCTAGAGGGAACATAATAAAGCTCTAACAACTCTTACTTCCTTCTTTTCTTGCACTCCCAAATTTCTCAAAGTTTACAACCATGGCATCACCAAACTTTTTGCTAGTTGGTATTTGCTCCACAAAAATGAATCTCTTAAACATTACCCTGATGTCCTTTTTATTCAAACTCTTTTCTTTGTTCTTGGCCTTCTCTCCTGCTTTAAACTACTAACCCCGAGTCCTCTCCCCTGCTCTCTATATGGACAAGGCTGCTTAGGACAAGAAGAGGGAGAGAGATGAGTGTGTTTACAGGCTGCTGGAAAAGACCCACTAGAGAAAGACTGAAAATGAGGGAAAGAGGGGATGGAATTAAGAACACAGACAGAAGAAAGAACTCTGAAAAGGAGGAATACCCATACTTCTTTCCCTAAGAGTGGTCAGAAGGAAGAAAGGCTGGGTATGAATGTAGAGAAAATGGTGAACTTGGAGGAAGACTTGTGCAAGATCACCTGCCACCATCTTACCTGTTGGTGTCTCTAGCCACATCTTCATAAACACTCTGCACCCCAATCTCCAGCCTTGTGCAGCCATAGGTCAACATGTCACTTAAATGTCGCTTCATGCAGTAATCTGGTCTGGTTTCAATAGTAATTCCAATACACTTTGTGAGGCTTCTCTCAGAATACCTGTAGAGCAAATCTAAAATAATTAACCTGTTGCAGGTTTTAAGACATTACTCTGTCTCAAAAAACTGCCTTCTCTCTGTCCTCCTAGTATGAGATAGTGGTAAAGAGTGTAGGCTCTGGAGCCAGGCTGCCTGAGTTCAAATCCTGGCTCTGCTACTTCCTAACTATGCACATGGGGATGCTATTAACCTCTGTGCTTCGGTTCCTTTAACTGCAAAATGAGGATAATACACTATCTACACCTCATAAGATTGACGTGACTGAGCTAGCATAGTAATGTTATTATCATCATTATCATTATTATTCTCCTGCAGTAAGCTGCAACCATAATCTCCTTGAAAGCAGTGATTTCAACTGTGAAAACCTATTTTTCAATTCCTAGCAACCATTTTTCACATAAGTGAAAACCATCTACATTATTTATTTCCCACTCTATATTTTAAATGAAAGAAAAAAAAGGGGGGAGGGCATATGTAATGATTATAGGAATATTTTAGATGAAATGTCTTCTATATACACAAAAGCCTTTTCACCTAGTCTATTAATCTTAGCAATGATTTACAAAATTACCAATCATTTTTGTCTTTTACTAAAATCATGTATCAGAGTAGCGAGCACCACTTTAGATTCATGCTGTCTCAGTTAGTGGCCTTAATGCTGGCCAAAGAGGCAGAGAAGTAAGTCTCTTGCTAGCAGGGCTAGTGAAGTGAGGCGACAGGAGCTCACATTTACAGAGGCTGTTGTGGGCCAAGCTCTGTGCCACACACTCTAGTACTGAATCCTCCCACTAGCTCTATGAAGTGTGTCCTATTACCTCCATTTCACAAGTGATGAAACTGAAGCTGAAAGGGAGTAAACAGCATGTTCAAGGGCACAGAGCTAATAAAATCGGAGTCAGGATCTGAAGTTGGGTCCACCTGACTTCAAAGTCCTTGCTCTGTATTCCAGTTACCACACTGCTTAGACAACTCAGCGTGGACCCACCCCAGACTTCTCTGCTTTTCAACATCTCTCAATTTTTTTTTTGATTCGGAGTTTCACTGTGTTGCCCAGGCTGTAGTACAGTGGCGCGATCTTGGCTCACTGCAACCTCTACCTCCTGGGTTCAAGCATTTCTTGTGCTTCAGCCTCCCGAGTAGCTAGGATTACAGGTGCGTGCCACCACACCCAGCTAATTTTTTTGTATTTTTAGTAGAGACGGGGTTTCACTTTGTTGGCCAGGCTGGTCTCGAACTCCTGACCTCAAATGATCCACCTGCTTCGGCCCCCCAAAGTGCTGGGATTACGGGCATGAGCCACTGCGCCCGGCCAACATCTCTCAATTCTTAGAACCCCATCATTCTTCTTAGTGCACCCTTCTACAATGTTCTCAATTTTGGGGGGAGGATGAGAGAAGCCTTTAAAAAAAATTTCCCATTTATTTTCCTTCTTTCTGAAGAAGTTCATTGTTCTTTACTGAAAAGTAAAAATCATAAAATTTCTGTAATTTTTGTAACTAATTCCATGAGGTTCACTCTTTCACTCTTAATTGTCAATAAAAACGGACTTATTTATTGCCAATAATAATTAAGAAAGCTAAGAATCACCAATCTAGAGAACAAATTCTCAAATCTTTCATTCTGGACATTTGAACTCTTTTGCATTGTTTATTTCTGTATTCCGCGAGGTTTTAGGTAGGATTACCACAGGCAACAGGACTAAAGGTAAACAACTAGTTCAAAGTCACTAAAAGATGAACTATGAGACAGAAAAAGGGCTCAGATCTTATCAAATCTTGCCTAAGACAGGATCCAAACTAATTTGGCTTCTCTGAAACAATAGAATCATCAGGTCCTGTGCCTCTTAAACAGGTGGGTACTAAGGCACGCAGTAACAGTACATGATGCCACAGGAGAGACGTAACACACCTTCCTCCAGCATCAATTATTGGGTTTGAGGGAAAACATTTTTCAAATAAAAATAAATATTCATATATTATGGAGAAAGCACACCATACAAAGGTTGAAAAAAAAGTACCAAAAAACCCCAGAAAGCAAAAAGCTCTAAATGACGTTTTTAAAAGTAAATGAGAATATCCTAGAATGAGGCATTCCAACTGGTATTTTTAAAAAACCTGCAGTATTTCTTAAAAGTGATACCATTAAGTTAGCAAGCGTGGTGGCATAATAGTAGCTTACATCACTGGGAAAAACTAGAGGGGAGGCAATTGCACAAATGGGAATTTGTGTAGAGGAAAGAGAAAATTTATTAGCTAGTCTTCCTATTGCAGAGTGTCAAAGGCCCCACCAAGGACATACAGAGGACACTGCTGCACAAGGTCTCTTTATAAGTCATCAGAATATAGTACAGGCCACAGAAGGAAACCTTATTCTCAAATAATAATTTAACTCCATTTCAAAAATGTTTTTCCTCAGGCGGGAAATGTCATTACCTTTTGCAGCAACAGAAATGGTGGAAGAAAAAAACAACTCAAGTTTTGAAAAAATATTTTATATTTATAAAAAGGCTTTCACTATATTTCCTCTTTCCAGAATTGTATTTGCATCTGAAAAGCAATTAAACAGAAATTTGTATCAAATTTGAATGACAAAACAATGAATTTTTCCCATAGGCTTACTGTATTCTCATGAAAATTTTTTGATACTATATCTAATCCTACATCTCACCAAATCTGATTCTTCATTTAACAGAGATGTAAATATATCAACATAACTGTTCTTTAATATGCAAATATGCGCATACAGGCTTTCAACCAATCTGTGCTGACACTTTATGGCCTGGTATTAATATGATCCCCCTGTATCATTTAGGTAGCTATCCAACAGTATGTGCCACTTAGACAGCCATCCAAAAGCATGGCTCTCCTTCAGTACCTAGTTCAACTCCCATACCTCTTTGGGGGCTACAAGTTCTTCGGCATGCAGCAACTCTGTCAACTTCTCGAGAGACAAGGCCAAGACTCAAAAGGGATCCTCTGATTCCAATTCCACTGCTCTTTTTGTGGTATTACAGGTTCATTTTAAGCCTGTACAGCTCAACACTGTGGGGTTATGTTGAATCCTACGCTTTTCTGTATGCCATAGGAGTGGCACCAGCTATAAAAGATGCTATGTTCTCTGTGAAGCATAGCTTAAGTCAAAACCTTACGTTGACAGAATTTTTAAAAATTGTGGAGCAGGGGTGAAGAGAAATGGGACAATAACCCAGGAATTTAAAAGCAAACAAAAACCAAAGGCTACCAGCCTTCAAAACAGAGCTCCAATACATTTCTCCCCTAATGACATCTTCCCAGAACCCCTCCACCCTCAGTGAGATCTCAGTGCTCCCATTCCCAAGCACCCTGCCCACACTACAAGTAGTCAGCCTTGTTATTTGTGGTTATGTCTGTCTCTCCATCTGGACAGGAAGCCCCTGAAAGCCAGCAGGCTCAAACATGTCTAGAGGCTAAAAGGCTTCAACACTAAAAATTCTCCGTTGATTAAAAAAAAATTACAAATTTGAAGAAGGAATAAATGAATTAGGCATAACTGGGAACATAGGAGGTCTCTCTTCACTCCAACAGCAGCCTCCAGATACATCTACCGCTTATCTTTCCTCTTGCAAAAAGTTAACCTTAGAAGGTGCCTAGCAGTAGGCCAGGTATTCTTCAGAAAGTAAAAATATAATAGTTCCTGTCCCAGACATGCTTAACAATCTAGCTGGGGGGATAAGACATACAGAAAAAAAAAAAAAAAAAAAAAAAGAGAAATGACTACAGAACAAAAAGCTAGAAGTGGCAGAAATATAAATAGATTTAGATTATTTCTTGGGAAGCATGTTTCTATTTCTGGAAAGAAGAAAGCGACCTTTTGACAGAAGCACTATCTATTATTACTGTCTCCTTGCACTAAGGGCCCAACCAGGGGGACACTGATGGAAGGAAGATAGCACACTGATTTTAAAGTCTCTTTATTATCTTCTGGAAACTATCTTTTGTTTCACTCCAAGAAGCTGTGGTATCAAAGAGGTGGGCACCTCTCATTACAAATAATTCGTGGCAGCTCCTCTTTCAAAACCTCTGTCCTTACTGCAACTGGATGTGCCTGAGTCTAGTCCTGCTTAAACTCTCACAAGAACTCAAGGCTCAAGTTGCTGAATGGCTTACAGAACATTCCCTGTGTGGACATGCTGCAACCTCATACTCAACCTGTTCAAACCAAATTGCACAGTAAAAAATGGTACAGAGATGAAATATTCATTTTCGTTAGTCACAACATACAATCTCTTCTCCATCTACGGTCCCAAAACAAGTCAGTGGAGTTTACTCACTTCTTTGAACAGCCAGATTTGTTTGAATTGTTGATAACACCTTGAGTTATTGGTGTAACTCCTTGGCAGCAGCACCATGAACAAATTCCTCTTCTTAACTATTACCCTATCTTGAAAATACCTCAATAAAATTTGAAGTTCTGCCCAATGCTCTGCTAGTGATGCTCTAGACTTAACTGAGTTGGATGTTTGATGTGCTTGAGGATTTAAAAATAACTATTACCCCCAATCTTTTTTTGAGATGGTAGTCAAGTCTGCTTCCTCGATATTGGTGGTTATATCATGAGGTTCTATAAATTAACCACGCCCAACACAAAATGAAGTAACGACAGAATTTTGATTTAAAAATGAGTACTACCTATGAAAAACCAACCTGGTGGCACTGCAGCTTACAGACTAATCAAAGACCCTTGTGCCCTATCACATTAGCTGGCAGGGCTTAAGATATATAAAAACAGCTTATAACATTTTGTTTGAGGTTTGATTTTTTTCATGGCTGACAAAAACTATCATTTTGTAGTCCCCTCGTGTAGCTAAAGAACCAGCAGCAACACATTATTAATAGAAAAGAAAAAAAGAATCACAGATATTGCATTCTTTTAATATTATATCCACATTGAAATTTAAGGGTTATATACATAAAAACATTATAGAAAATGATTGTCAGAAAGTGGTTGCTAAATGAAGAATAACTTGTGAACATATCTTTTAGATAAAAATTCTCTTCATTAGAAAGCTTCAAATCATAGATGACAGAAAGGTATAATTTTAGAGATAATATAGTCCTAAACCTCCTCATTTTTATAGATGAGGAAACTAAATCACACACACAAAATAAGTGGATTAAACCAGGTAATAATGCAAAATAATAATATAAATAAGTCTGGAGACTATGTCTCCTGATTCTTAAGGGACAGTTCTTTCCACCGCATTCACTTAGCATTTATTAAGTACCAGAATTCTATGCTTAAGGCATTGTACTAGATATAAGGAGTCCTCTACCTTTCTCTTAAGAAGATATTCCCTATTAAAGGATATAGAAAAAATACATTATAAAGAATTAGACCATAATAGTATTCATTACAACTATTATTCTTGGCTACTGAAAACCAAAGTGAGGAGATGATTAAACTGGCAGATATAAATCAAACCATCAGCTTAAACTGATGTATCAATAATTACATCAAATGTTAACAGACTAAACACTCCAATTAAAAGGCACACACGAGCAAAATGGATAAAAAAAAAAAGAGCCAATTACTGTAGACTTCTGTCTAAAGAAATGCATTTTCAAGATAAAGAAACATGGGTGGAAAGCAAATGTATGGAAAAGGATAATACACAGGGCAAACAGTAAGCACATGACGGCTAAATTAACACCAAGTAAACTGCAAGACCAGGGATGCGGAAGGACATCTCATGATGATAAAGAGGTAATTTCACAATGGTGAAAAGCTCATACATCAGGAAAACACAGCAATCATAGATGTGTATGTACCTAATAACAGATTTACAAAATACATTCAGTAAAAATCAATATAAATGAAGAGAGATGTACAGAGTTCCTCAATCATACTTGGAGATTTCAATCTCTTAGCAATTGATAGAACTACAAAAGAATAAAAAACAAAATTTACCTGAACACTACTACCAACCATCTTGGTTTAACTGATATTTATAGAACATGACACCCAGCAACTGAGAACACACATTCTTTACAAACACACATGGCATGTTCACCAAGAGAGACCACATATGCTGGGCCACAAAACAAGTCTCAATAAATTTTAAAACACCAAAATTATACAGAGTAGGTTCTCTGGCCAAAATGAAAATAAATTAGAAATTAATAAGATATCAAGAAAAACCTCATTGTCTGGAAATTTGGAAATTAAACACCCCATTCCTATACATTCCATGGATCAAATACATATATATAAAGGGTATGAAAAAATATTTTGAATTGAATAATAATTAAAATACACCATATCAAAATGTGTGGGATTCAGCTAAAGCAGTGCTTTGAGGAAAATGTCTAAAATGATGGCCAAGCTTTTTTTCTCTTTTTTTGAGAAGGAGTCTCACTCTGTTATCCAGCCTGGAGGGCAGTGGCGTGATCTTGGCTCACTGCAACCTCTGCCTCCCAGGTTCAAGCGATTCTCCTGCCTCAGCTTCCCCAGTAGCTGGGATTACAGGTGCGTGCCACCACACATGGCTAACTTTTGTATTTTTAGTAGAGACGGGGTTTTGCCATGTTGGCCAGGCTGGTCTCGAACTCCTGACCTCAGGTGATCCGCCCACCTCACCTCCCAAAGTGCTGGGATTACAGGCGTGAGCCATTGCGCCTGGCCAAGCTTTTATACCTTATTAAATCACTAGAAAAAGAAGAGCAATTAAACGGAAAGAAAGTAGAATAAAAATAAAAGCAGAAGTCTACAGAGTAGAGGAAATAAAACCAAAAGCTACTTCTTTGAAAAGAACAACAAAATTGATAAACCCCTAACTCGGGTAAACAAGAAAAAAAGAGAAAACACAGATGATGAGTATCAGGGTTGAAACAGGGGTGATCACTAAGATTCCACAGATGTTAAAAGCCTAATAAGGCAACATAATACCAAAATGTTTGACAAAATGAATGAAACAGACAAATTCCTTGAAAAACGTAACTTTTTAAAATGGACACAGATGAAACAGAAAATATGAATAGCTCTATATCTATTAAATGAACTGAATTATGATCTAAAACCCTCCCATAAAGAAAATTCCAGCCCTAGATAGTTTCACTGGTGAGTTCTAGCAAACGTTTATGGAAGAAATCATATTCATGTTACATGAACACTTTCAGAAAACAGGGGAGGGAACAACACATCCTTACTTGTTTTGTGAAGCCTGCGTTACACTAATACCAACAACGAATACCTGACAACAAAATTATAAAAAAGAAAATTACAGACCACCACCCTGTATGAACACAGACACAAAAATCCTCTACAAAGTATTAGCAAGTTGAATCCAACAATATGTAAAGATGATGATATAATAGGGTTTATCCTAGGCATGTGAGGTTTAATGTTAAAAAAAAATCAAAATGATCCATATTACCAAATAAAGGAGGAAAATCATATGACCATTTAAATAGATGCAGAGAAAGCATCAGACAAATGAGTTAATGATAAACCCTTTCAATAAACTTATTCAATCTAATACATGTAACTATAAAAAACCCACAGGCAACACTGGACTTAATACTGAAATAAAAATGTTTTCCCTGTATCACTGGGAACAAGACAGAGACGCCCACTCTTACCACTTCTGTTTAACACTGTAAGAAAAGGTCCTAGGCAGTGCAGTAAGGCAAGAGAAAGAAAAGCATACAAATCCAAAAGGGAAAAGTAAAATGCACTGTACTTGCAGATGACATGATTGTTTAGGAAGTAAATATTAAAGGATTTACAAAAATAGCTTTTAGAATTAAGTAGTGAATTTAGTAAGGTCTTATGACATAACATTAATATATAAAAATCAACCGTATGTATATATATTAGCAGCAAAAATTTGAAAAAATGAAATTTATGGCCGGGCGTGGTGGCTCACACCTGTAATCCCAGCACTTTGGGAGGCCGAAGTGGGCGGATCACCTGAGGCCGGGAGTTTGAGACCAGCCTGGCCAACATGGTGAAACCCCATCTCTACTAAAAATACAAAAATTAGCCAGGCATGGTGGTGGATGCCTGTAATCCCAGCTACTCGGGAGGCTGAGGCAGGAGAATGTCTTGAGCCCAGAAGGTACAGGTTGCAGTGAGCTGAGATCACGTCACTGCATTCCAGCCTGGGCGACAGAGCAAGACTCCGATTCAAAAAAAAAAAAATAATAATAATAATAATAAAATTTAAAAATGAAATTTACATTTCATTTACTGTAGCACCAAAACACATACAAATATTTTGAAAGAATTTGTTTACAAAAGGCTTATACAATCTCAACAATGAAGATTGCTAAGAGAATTTAAAAACCTAAGTATACAAGGAGATAGACTATGTTCATGAATTGCAAGAAGCAATAAATTGTCAATTCTTTCCATTTGTTCTATAGTTTTAACACAATTCTAAATCCATTATACTTTTTAATAGAGCATTGGCCAGCTGATTCTAAATTTTACATAGAAATGCAAAGGACCTAGAATTTCTAAAGCAATTTTGAAAAACAATTACAAAGTTAGAAGACTCATATTACTTGACTTCAAGATACACTAAAAAGCCACAGTAATCAAAACAGTGTAGCACTGGCATAAGGATTGAAAAACAGATCGATGAAACAGAAAAGAGCCCAGCCCACATTTACTGAGTCCTTCGATTTTTAACAAAGGTGTGATATAATCCGAATAGGGAAGGAAAATCTTTAAAGAAGTGATGTTAAAGCAACTAGCTGTCTATATGGGGAAAAAGGAACCTTGATCCCCACCTCATATTACACATAAGAATTAATTCAAGATGGAACATAAACCTGTAAGTGAAAGCTCAAACCTGTAATTAGAAGAAAACACAGGAGAATATCTTTGTGCCTTGGGAACGTGCAATGGTTTATTAGAGACAATACAGAAAAGCAATAACCATGAAAGAAAACAACTGCTAAATTCTACTTTATCAAAATTAAAAACTTTGGCTAAACGATATCATTAACATAACAAACAGCCAAACTACAGACTGGGTTTTCATGTTTGCAAAATATAGAGCTGACAAAGGACTGGCAGCTAGGATATACAACCACCTAATCAAAAATGGGCAAAAGATTTTAATAGATACTTCACAAAGGAAATATACTCAAATAGCATAAGCACATACTAAAAAAGTGTTCAACATCATTAGTCATCAGGCAAAAGCAAACTAAAACCACGAGATACCATTATACGCCCACTAGAATGGCTAAAATTAAAAAGAGTGACTACACCATATGTTGGTGAAGATGTGGTACAACCAAATGTTCATACATTATTGGTGGGAGTACAAATAGTAGAGCCATTTTGGGAAAATGACTGGCGGTTTCTTGTAAAACTAAACTTACATAGCAATTCTATGTCTATTTATTCCCCCAAGAGAAATAAATACATATAGCCACAAAAAGACTTACACAAGAACGTACGCTGAAGTTTTATTCATAATGGCCACAAACAAAACAGCTCAGGCGTCTATCAATAGAAGGATGGTAAACAAACTGTGATCTCTGCATACAATGGAATACTACTCAGCACTAAATAGGTAACAACTAATGAATCACCCAACACATGGATAAATCTCAAAATACTATGCTCAGTGAGAGAGGCCTACAAGTGTATGCTATATGGTTCCATTTATATGAAGTTCTAGAAGAGACAAAACTAATTTGTGATGGGGAAAAAAATCAGAAGAACGGCTGCCTCTGGGAGGCGCAGGGGAGGATTTACTGGCAAGTGGGATGTGGGAACTTTCTGGGATGACGGTGACATTCTGTATCTTAATAGGACTTTGTAGCACAGGTATATGCATTTGTCAAAAATAATCAAATGGTATACTTAATATATGTGTTCATATATATATATATATATATATATATATATATATATATATATATATATATATATATAAAACGCCACAAGTTGTTTTGTACTGTATGTAAATTTACTTCAAAAGAAAAACACTGCAGACAGTGAACACTAGTCAGTGATATGCATGATGAAGTATCCCGGGAGAAGTGTACTGAAGCATACAACTTACTATGAAATTCATCAAAAAAGACAGCGCAAGCACACGCGAGAGACACTGATGAATGGATAGTGGAACTGACAGATATGTGATAAAGCAAGTATCGTAGAATCTAGGTGATGGGTATGTGGATGCTCACTAAAAACTGTTTAATTTTTGTTTCAAATAAAATGCTGAAAGAAAAACCATATCAACTCTCTTAAAGTGACTAAGATTGTATCCTATGTTCTCTGGCCAATGTTAAGGATCCTGGTCACCATGTATGGAAATCTGGGTGACCAAAAGAGAAAGTAAAATGGTCAATAGAAAAAGTGAGAGATAAGCAGTGTCAGCGTCAAAGCCCAGAAATGCAGAAGGTCCTGAGGCCTGCCAGAAATGACGCCCAGGGCAGCAGGGCCACAGTCACTCACTCTCAGGTCTCTGTAGGTTCCTTTTGCTTCCGTTGCAGCTGTGCAAGTCTACGAAATTGTCTTCTGGGCCTGGTACCTAGCATTACCTAGCACTTCAGCTTTTCTCAGACAGGTAAGAACATAGTTGGAGGATCTAAAGTCATTAATGGGGCGTGGGGGGCGGGGCGGGGGAAGAGGAAGGAACGGGAAATGAATTTAAAATTCCACAGGGAGAAAGTATGACTCACTCACTTTTTAATGGGTAACTACCCTTTAAATTGCATCTTGTGAAAACAGCCAAGGAGCATTAAAGATTGAATGTAAAACTGCTTCTGGGCAAAGCTGATTAAAAAGGAATAAAACTATTTTAAAAGGTTGTTGGAGTTATTTGGCAACATTTGCATTCTAGTGAATGGGTGACTCAGATCCCACTACCGGTCTTTTTCATCTCCAGAGCCTGATTGTTACACGATGACAGTCACCAGTAATTGTTGCTCTCTGGAGACTACTGAAGAATCTCAGTCCAGCTGATAGTACTGAGTGATTAGCACTTTGCTTGATTTAATGAGCCTTCACAAAAGCCATACCTGTTTTGTCCTTGAACTCTCTGTTCACTCAACTTTCCAATTTATCCATCCACGAGAATATATATAACACACTGCTTGCTACTAGCTTGCCATAAATAATAACCAGGCTCTGCTTGCTGGGGCTTTTCTTTACCTTAACTCCTATTCTTTTAAGAAGCAAAACTTTAATCAGGTTCAACATATGAAAACATAGCAGGGACACCTGAGCCAACACAGCAGTAAAACTTGACCCTAACGTGAACAGACTATTAACCTTAAATGCTGCTTGCTGACTCATAGGTCACAATACATCATTTTTAACCTAATTTAAAATTAATCTTTAAAAAACCCTGCTAAGCTAATGAAAGTCAGTTTACATCTATGTAGTCAGCAAGCAAAAACAAAAGTAAAATAAACATGAAGTTCATCACCTTACATCTAAGAGCAGTGGGCTACGCTGTGCAAACCAACCAGTTTTCACTCATAGACTCTGGGCAGGATGAGAGAGAAGGGCAAGGTCAAATCCAAACATTTCCGAGGGCCACATTATGTCAAAACCACAACTTCTCTGGGCTGCTTTTTATTTCACAATTATGCCAACACTTGAAAATACTTTCTGTCTCTAGTTCTATAGCACAAACTAGACTATTATTTCCTCAAATACAAAGTTTCCCTCAAAACAAATACAAACTCTATTATGAGGGGTTTGTAGTAAAACTTTACCTTAACAAAGCAACAACACGCCACAAATCAGGTCTTTTTTTTTTCCAGATGATCTCATAAAAATATAGAGACTGAGAGAAAAGAGCAAAACATTTAAAGTGTGTGTTGGCAGAATTCAGTGTAATTTATGGATGGTTTTATGGCTCCCAGATTGTACTTTCATTACTTCTCAAGAGGCATTCATGAGATGTGTTGCAATGAAGACCCAAATCATATATAAATTTTTATCTGAAAATAAAGTGTTCGTTGCCCTCTTGAGGTAAATTCAAGAACAGAAACAAAACAACACTGGCACTGCCTAGAATATTACTGAAAGAGGATTTCTCTTCCACAGGGCTTTTTCTACAAACACATCATGATCTGCACTGAGCTCGCTGGACTAGACAACCCTATTTTCAACCCAATGATGGAAAACTTACATTCAAGCACCATTAGCACTAGAACATTTCTGCAAAAATAAAATGTTACACCAAGAATAAAACAAAATTTTTACTTTCAATTGATGAAAATGTCAAACTAGATACATACTAAAAGTTCACTATGCAGATCTTAGTTGGCCTGCTTCATATACCTCAGGGGACCCAAACTGTAGGAGATGAAAAGCTTAGTGGCAAATTTTTATGGGGGAGAGAGGCAAGTCTAAGATATTTACAGCTCAATTCCACTTAATATGTAAGGTCTTCAAGATAAGAAGACCTTACATATTAAGGTCCAAGAAATGAGTACAGAAGTATATAAGCTTGCAGAGAAAAACTTATCTTCATAGATGTCCCTGCCAGGGAATTTTCAGAGCTGAATGAACTGTGGTCAGCAACCCTCTGAGAGAACCTTCTGCTGCCATCCCCGTCGCCTGGCTTTGAACTAATAAAGGTTGTTTTTCCTCAATCACATTTTATCTAAGGTATAGTTTGATTTTTCAGTATTATTAAGAGTAATTAGCTGGATGATATCATTACTCCTCTAAAGTTTGAAGACTTCAGCATTTACTAAGTATGACTCATATTAATGATCAGTTTTTTTTGTTGTTGTTTGTTTTTTGAGACACAGTCTCACTCTGTCGCCCAGGCTGGAGTGCAGTAGTGCAATCTTGGCTCACTGCAACCTCTGCCTCCTGGGTTCAAGTGTTTCTGTGCCTCGGCCTCCCAAGTAGCTGGGACTAGAGGCACCAGCCTCCATGCCCAGCTAATTTTTACATTTTTAGTAGAGAAGAAGTTTCACCATGTTGGTCAGGCTGGTCTCAAACTCCTGGCCTCAAGCTATCTGCCCGCCTTGGCCTCCCAAAGGGCTGGGATTACAGGCGTGAGCCACTACGCCCGGCCTCTTGATCAGTTTTGAACGAGCAGTAACAATGCAGTCGCCATCTCCTCTATTACTAAAGCCCCTGTAAGACGAAGAAATCACAATGCTACAGGTCCAGATTCACGGACACAGAATTCACCTGTTGCATTCCCTAGAGTCAATCAAACAGAAGTGGGCTGCTGTCCACACAAACTCTCCCAGCTGCCAAACCTTTCAGATGGGCTCTTTGAGCTACCCTTGGTATTAAATTTTATGAAAAAGCTCCTCTCTTCTTTTCACTTTTACAAACCCAAGGAGAACAAAGGAAGTTAAGGGGGTAGGGGGAGTAGCGAGGGCACAAAAAGATGTGGCTGCCCCCAATTCCAAGAGGCAACCCTACCCAGGTCATTAGCTAACTGTTCATTCAAAATTCATTCACGCATTTACTTGTGCTTACTATGTGCCAAGAACTGCTTTACTTACAGGGTAATAAAAACCACTCTTAGGTCTATCCAAAATTTTGTCCTACACAAAAAATCTTAAGAGGTGGCACTATTTGAACAACCTTATAATTAGCTATATGAAACCCTCACCCCATATAAAAGAGAAGCCAGAGAAAAGCCTGAGGGTGGTAGGGAAGGAGGGCAAGGAAAAACAGGCCATATTCCTTCCAAGATCTTCAAGCTCTGATGATGTGCACACACATGTGCACATACATACAGACACACTCACATTCTGACACCTAGCACAGCTTGCAAAGTTAGGCTCTGAAAGCAAAGCTACCTGGGATTTATATCCCATTCTACCACCAACCACCTCTGCAACTTTGGGCAAATTGCTTATCTCTCTGTGCCTCAGCTTCCTCACCCATAAAACAGAGATAATCTGAACACTTAACTCAAAGGCTAACTATGAGTACTAAATAAGTGAATATTAAACACCCATGACAACACCTGGCCCACTGTATACAGAGCAAATGTAAATATCCTCCTTTGCTGCCATTTCCCATGTCCTTTCCTCCTCAGCTCTAAGGTCTATGATGACCATTATTCTGCCACCTTTTCTATGCATTTATATACAGATATGTGTGTGTGTATGTGCATGAACACACAAATAATGGGATCGTACTATAAGAATTGCTCTAAAAATTGCTTTTCACTTAGTATACCTTGGAGATCCACAACTCTCCCATGAGGTGGTCTCCTCCACTTACATGGTTGTCAATGTTACCTATGAGCTGATAATCCCCAGTTTCGTACCGTCAGCTCAGACTTCTCTTGCATTCAGAGCCCACCGACATCTCCACTTGAATGTATCACAGGCTCTTCAGACTTCACACATCCAAAACAGAACTCTTGATTTTCTCCCTCTGAGATTTTCTCTGCTCTTCCCGCTATCTTTCCCACCTCAGTATACAGCCCTACCCTACCTTCCTACCATTTCTGACAGCCAAAACCTTAGTGTCAGGCTTGATCCCTTCTTTTCTCTTACCCCCATCTCAATCTCCTCTCCATCACCACTGCTGCCGCCCCCATCTGAGCAGGGATGGATGTAATCAGATGGCCTCCTATCTGGTTTCCCACTTTCACCCTGGTACTCCTCTAATCCATTAGCCAGACAGTAGCCGGAATGACCCTACCTGTTAACCAGAACTTGCCACTTCCCCTTCATCTGCTCCCTACTGCATTTCAAATAAAATTTCAACTCCTTAAAAGCATGTATCTTGGCCCTTACCTAACACTTCAACCCCGTCTCATGACGTTCTTTCTCTTGTTCACTGGGATCTGACATGGTTTGGGTGTTTGTCCCCTCCACATCTTATGTTGAAATGTGATCCCCAATATTGGAGGTGTGGCCTGGTGGGAGGTGTTTGGGTCCTGGGGCTGGATTCCTCATAAATAAATGGCTTACCACCATCTCCTTGGTGATAAGTGAGTTCTCGCTCAGTTGTTTCACGTGAGATTTGTTGTTTAAAAGAGTGTGGCACCTCCCTGCACCCGTCATGTGATGTACTGGCTCCCCTTCACCTTCCACCATGATTGGAAGCTTCCTGAGGCCTCACCAGAAGCAAATGCCAGCACTATGCTTCATGTGAAGCCTGTAGAACTGGAACCAATTAAACCTCTTTTCTTTATAACTTACCTAGTCTTAGGTGTTCCTTTATAGGGACACAAATGGATTAACACAGGATCTAACCATGCTGGCTTCCTCTCTGTCCCTAGAACACCCCAGGCTGCTTCCCATTTCAGAGCCTTTATTTTATCTTTCTTGCTGTTGGCCTAACTCCTCCTTGTACTTCCGGTCTCAGCCTAAATATCACCACTTTCCAGTATCTAAAACAGCACATAGTATCTAGTGGGCCCTCAAGAAGGATTTGTTAAATAAGGAAAATAGTAACTATCCAGGTGTTCCTGCAACTCCTGAGAACAAAAACTATTTTAAGACTTTCACTTCTTAAATCACTGAACTACATACTAACCTGTAGTATTCTTCTTGCTAAAAACAAGGTGTCAAAATGATGCATAATTTTGTCAACTAGAATTCAAAATGACTAAATTAACTTGTGGTTTGAATAACACATGATTTGACAGACATGAGTTTGTCCCCTCTAAAACTCATGTTGAAATTGTCATTGTAACAGTATTAACAGGTGGGACCTCTGAGAGGCGATCTGACCTTGTGGGTAAGATTAATGCCATTATAAAAGGGTGAATTGGTCCGCTTTTTGTTTCTCTTGTCTTTTGCCGTGTGATGACGTAGTAAGAAGGCTCTTGCCAGATGCCAGCACCTTGACATTGGACTTCCCAACCTCCAAAGCTGTGAGCCAATACATTTCTGTGCATTATAAATTACCTAGTCTCAGATATTTTGTTACAGCAGCACAACACAGACTAAGATCCCAATCATAAACAGTTACTATTTAATAATTATGAAATATTTACTATAAATTAGGTTTTTAAATAACAGTACCTTGTTTTGCTGATTTTACAGCAGCTAAAATACTCCCAGCCCCCTTCTTGGGTGGGCTGAAAAGACATTCATGGACCATATTTGGCGAATCTCTCTATTTGAGAATACTACTATGTCAACAAACTGTATTCATTTTTTCTTTAAAAGGATTATTTCAGTGAAAGGATTATTTTCACTGGAAAAGATTATTTCAGCGAAAGCATTATTTTCACTGAAATAATCCTTTCCCATGAAACAAGAAAGATTATGAGAAGTAAGAATGTGGATGCAGGGCAGAAGGCATTCTCGTAGACTACTGCTAGGAGCATAAACTGACAACCACTCTGGAGACTATGATAAAATAAGAATTTCTTACTTGACTGCCTCGTAAATATTGTTGGAAGTATGTCCTGATAAGGCATCATGTAAATTTCGAATAAAATAATCTCTGTATTCTTCTGGAAGGGCCATAAACGTTCCACCCATCACAATAAACTCCACTTTATCCACACTATGACCAAGTTGTTTTAACTGAAAGACAAATTCATCAGCATTAGAATGATATAAGCATAAGGAACTACTCTAAGAAGGCATTGCAAATCTCTTATTTTGCAGTGTTTTCATCAGTACAGTTTAAAAATCAGAAGTAATGAAACACACTTAGCTAATTCTGTGGATAAAAAATAGGCCCAAGTCTGAAAGAAAAAAGTGAGTACAACTCAAATAAGGAGGGAGAATGAGAATATAAAATAACAAATAAGAGGCTTGACTTGAATACCTACAAAGCGGAAATTTAAAAACACGAAGAATATAAACTAGAAAGCAGTAAAGACAAATATAATACAATTTGCAAAACAGTAAGTATTTATTGATCATGTATTTTATGTCAGACTTGGTGGTAAGCCTAGAGGACAAAAAGGTGGCATTTATGGTCAACAATGATACATGAATGATTATGTAACATAATAAGGATTTGATGTAATGGAAGAAAAAAAGAATAGATTGGAAAGAAAAATCAAGACAGCAGTCTAAAATTGATGGATGATTCCAGGCACAGGAGGCACTTCAAGTCTGCTTTCTAAAAAAAAGTGAAAGTCTGATTAAAAATGAAATATTCAGGCCAGGTGCGGTGGCTGATGCCTGTAATCCCAGCACTTAGGAGGACCAGGCTGGCAGATCACCTGAGGTCAGGAGTTCGAGACCAGCCTGGCCAACATGGTGAAACCCCGTCTCTACTAAAAATATAAAAATTAGCCAGACATGCCGTAATCCCAGCTACTCTGGAGGCTGAGGCAAGAGAATCGCTTGAACCAGGAGGCGGAGGTTGCAGTGACCCAAGATTGTGCCACTGCACTCCAGCCTGGGCAACAAGAGTGACACTCTGTTTAAAAAAAAAAAAATAATAATAATAAAATTAGGTCTCCTCTACTAGTGGAGAGAATGATACAAATCTTTCATTTTGTTGACTACAATAAGCCAAGATTCTAATTTTTAAAAATAGGTATTGAAATTAACACTAATTTCTGAAAATGGCAAAAAACGTATACAGAAAAACTATATATATGCATGTGTGTACATATATATCAACACTAAAAGAATACTCTATTTCTGTATCTATGGTTCTTTACAAGAGATACTCATCAAAATTACCCTGGTAGTTTTTAAAAATATCTTGCTAGGACCTTAAAGCAGACTTAATCAGAACCTCCCGAGGTGAAGATGTGACACGTTTTGGAGAAGTTACTCAGGTAATTCTAGTGCATTTAAGAAAAGAATCACTGCTCTATGTTCATTTCTAAATCTTGTAAACTATGCTCCTTTTTTTGGTAAACATAAGCATTTCATGCTCAATAGTTTTACATTTTAAATAAATTAACTATCATAGCCCAAAAAGAAATTGAAGCAAAGGTCAGTTTAGAACCCACTGTTTGGAAAAATGTGGGCTCCCCCAGATGGAGTCCTCTCCTGTCACCGACAATCCTGTTCCTCATACGCTTGGGTGACAGCAAAGTGGATATTAAAACTGAACAGTATTCACCAATAAGCCAATAAACAAACCCAGAGACAACTTATCCACTATGGTTATGTACCATTATCTACTTTAGACTTGGATGTGCCTACTATACATTACTATTACAACTATGGACAGTGCTTTACATTTTTTAAATTGGACAAGTTTAAAATAAACTTGTAAATAAAGGAAATCTGTATTAATGTTCAGATTTCTTGAACACTGCAAGGTCATGTACATAGTACTTGTTTTTAGTCAACCATACTGAGGTATAATTTAAATACGATAAAATCCACTAACTTTAAGTGTACAATGGATGAGAGCTGATAGATATTTAGAGTTATGTAACCACCACCATGACCATGATAGAGAACAATGCCATACCCCGACTAGTTCTTTGTACTCCTTTGTAGGAAATTTCCTATTTCCACCCAACAAATCTGTCACAATACTTCTTTTTGAGACAGGTTCTTGCTGTGTCACCCAGGCTGAAGTGCAGTGGTATGATCACAGCTCACTGCAGCCTTGACCTTCCAGGCTCAAGGGATCCTTCCACCTCAGCCTTCCAAGTAGCTAAGACTTCAGGTGCACACCACAATGCCATGCTAATTTTTGTATTTTTTGTAGATGGGGTTTTGCTATGTTGCCCAGGCTGGTCTCGAACTCTTAGGCTCAAGTGACCTGCTGTCACAGCCTTCCAAAGGGTTGGGATTACAGGCATGAGCCATTGCGCATGGCCAGTCAAAATACTTCTTAATCTGACTTTTGGAAATTAAAAGTCAACACACCCACCCATTGTCTAAGAACTTTCATACATCTTTATTCCACAAATTTCATACTACAAATGACTTTCTACAAATTCAAAAAAACTTAGAGAATATAAAACCCTTAAACAATAAATACAGTCTTTAAAGAAAGTAGTGTTTTTGACCTTGCTAGGCATGGCAAATTCTCCCTCCCTCAAATGGATATTGAAAACTTACAAAGAGGAAAAACACCTTTTTCATTCTTATTTCAGGTTCAATTTGAATCAAGCAACAATGGCTTCTTACTAAGTATAAACACCTAATTTTTAAGAAACATGTTTTTTAAAAATGTACCTGTTCTATTCGGTGTCTTGTCTGTAGGAAAGGGTCATATCTGGCACGGATAGCTCTCATGGAGGTTGGCTAGAAGAGAAAAATATTGTTATGCCCACATTGAATTAAAACTAAAAAGTAGTTTCAAAAGGACTGTATTTTAAAAAAAACTCTCCATGGTTCCGAACACTGAAAACGTGGCTTGTACCCGCATTAATTTTTCTCAGTCTTGTCAGGGTTCAAAATAATGTCCTGAATCGCATCTGGCAGGTGTCCACTCACGCTGTCATAAACACCTCAACAGCAGGGTGTCTCCTTGGATCACATCTGTCTTTTGTATAAACACTTCTGGAATCCCAGGGTCACCAAAGTGTTCTGCTCACAGACATAGATGTGCATACATATACCAGAATCATATAATAAAGTAACTTTTAAGTAAGCTTCTAAAATACCACACAGTTTGTAATGGCTACCACCATACAGTGGAATACTCTACAGCCACGAAACAATGTACTGACATAAAATGTTCACTAAGATATTGTAAAATAAAAGGCAAAGTGAAAGAGGACTCTGATATGCTACCTTATATGGAATCAGTCAAATAAAGAATACGTCCAGGTTGAGCATCCCTAATCCAAAAATCAAAAATGCTCCAAACCTCATAATTTTTTGAGTGCCAACATGATGCCATAACTGGAAAATTCCACACATAGTACTTAACACAAACTTTGTTTCACGCACAAAATTATTAAAAATATTGTATAAAATTAATTCAGCCTAGGTGTATCAGGTGTACATAAACCCAAAATGAATCTCATGTTCAGATTCGGGTTCCACTCTCAAGATTTCTCACTATGTATATGCAAATATTCCAAAATCCAGAAAAATCCAAAATCCGAAACACTTCTGGTCCCAGGCATTTCACATAAGGGATAGGCAACCTGTGTATGCTGTGTTCCCTAAAATATCCCTGAAGGATGGGGAGGAAATAACAAACAACACTAACTGGTAGGGGGAAGAGTGAAAAAGAGTGGCTAGGGGATAGGAATGAGAGGAAGCCTTTTCACGAAATCATTCCTCTTGTATTTTAAAAAATTTGAACCCTAGAAAACAAGAAAAAAAATGAAAACAGATATGAGAAAAAAGTCACAAGCTTTCCTGGCTTCTGAGGTGTTCTGAGGAGGGTGACTCCTTCAAAAGCACCTCACTGGCCTTCTGCCTTCTTTCTGGTCTCCACTCTAACCCTTTCTCTACATGGCCATCAAAATGATCTTTCAAAAAACCTAAATTGGATTGTATCATTCCCCTGCCTTAAATCCTAATAGCTTCTCATGACTCCTACGCTAAAATGGAAACTCCTTACCTTTGCTTACAAACCCCAGCTCATTTGCACTCCCAGCCTCATGCTTCCCTCACCCCCTGCACTGCACAACACCCCCATGTCTTTCCTTCCTTGGGCCTCATTCTAGTGACTTCTCTGCTAGGAATGCCCCTTTCACATATTCTTAGGACTAGGTCCTTCTTGTCATTCAGACTCAACTTCAATCTCACTTCACAGAATCCCTTCCTAACGACCACAGCTAAACCATCTCAGCTGCCATCACCTTACTTGATTTTACATCTCTGCTTAGCATTTTTTGAGTGCCTGATACTTTTTCTTGTTTCTTTACTGTCTACCTTCCATTATTAAAATATAAATTCCAGGCTGGGTACAGTGGCTAACGCCTGTAATCCCAACATTTTGGGAAGCCAAGGCAGGCGGATCACTTAAGGTCAGCAGTTCGAGACCAGGCTGGCCAACATGATGAAACCTTGTCTCTACTAAAAATACAAAAATTAGCTGGGCGTGGTGGTGCTTGCCTGTAGTCCCAGCTACTCGGGAGGCTGAGGCAGGAGAATCACTTGAACCCAGGAGGTGGAGGTTGCAGTGAAGGAGATCGTGCCACTGCACTCTAGCCTGGGTAACAGAGTGAGACTCCATCTCAAAAAAAAAAAAAAAAAAGAAAAAAAAATGTAAATTCCAGAAGACAATGGGACCCTGTCCATTTTCCACTGCTAAAGTGACAGTACAATGTAGTGGTAAGCAGCACAGACTTCGAAACCTGGTTGTCACTTACTAATAGTGTGTCTTTGGGCCAGCTGTTTAAGCCTGCTATGCCCTAGTTTCCTGATTGGCAAACTGGGATCATGATAGTGTCTATCTTCAAAACACTGCAATAAGGTTTACAGTTGTAAAGCACTTAGAACAGCATTTGGGATAAGAAGTAAGTATTATTTATGCTTATGTAAGTATTTCTCTAGTGGCTAGAATAATATAGGGCACTAGTAGACACTGGCAAATATTTGGTGAATGAACAGCTTTTAAAATCAGAAAAAAACAAAAACAAAAACAAAAAATTGTCAGAAAGCCAGTACTGGTAAAACCATACTACAGGTAAAGCATGATGCAACATTTCATCAGGACAGCCTCAAAGTTACTGTACCTCATAGCCAGTGTAAGACTGGGTGGAATACTCAAAATCAGAATCAGGTCCACCAGGGCAGTATCTGCCAGTACAACAAAAGAACAAGAATGTCAGATGCAAAACTGAGTTCAATCAGCTAGTTCCAAGCATCTACCATCTCCAAAGAATCCTGATAACAAATGAGCTTCCTTTTCAAATCCTAACAGAAGAATCTACCTTTGCAGTATCTGTAAATAATGTATTTTCTACCAAGAAGTAAATAAGATAAATATGTAAAGGGACATTATTACACCCATTTTCAAAATAACTGCAGTTGTGTTTATTTCAGAGGTTTAAGCTTTTAGGGGCAAATAACAGAAATGAAGTTTTCCTAAGTTTGAATCAATACTCAGTGTTCTCTTGGGAACCACACTCAAGAAAATCTTTCCCCCCTTTTATCTTCCTACCCAGAATCATGCAAACTCTTCCGCTAATTCTTTCAAATAGGTGAGTTTGAGAAATCTAAAGGTTACGTATAAGGATAATTTTTTATTTTGATATGTTTCTGATCCAAATTCATTTTAAATTTCTGACGTGGAATTTAGGCAGCTCATATTCCCATGTTTCATTTATGAGTTTAACAGAATGTGCTGTTTTGAGTTGCATATCCCAATGTCTACTGTTGTGAGTTCCATAACCTACATTTTTAGAATTGTATATTGCAATAAATTAAAATATTCATATGTTCTAATTTTATTTATTTATTTTGATATGGAGTCTCACTCTGTTGCCCAGGCTGGAGTGCAGTGGCGTGATCTCGGCTCACTGCAACCTCCACCTCCCAGGTTTAAACGATTCTCCTGCCTCAGCCTCCTAAGTAGCTGGGACTAGAAGCGCATGCCACCACGCTCGGCTAATTTTTGTATTTTTAGTAGAGACGGAGTCTCACAGTGCTGGCCAGGCTCGTCTTAACTCCTGACCTCAGGTGATCCACCTGCCTCAGCCTCCCAAAATGCTGGGATTATAGGCGTAAGCCACTTTGCCCGGCCTTATATATTCCAATTTTAAAGCACTAAAATATCTACCAATGGTTGCTTGTTTGAAAGGAGTAATCTATAAATCTATTAAGCTGAAGTTTTAAACATTACCAGGATGTACTGACTAAGGGCTAGAGGGGGCATATTTAGCTTAATTAAAACATACATACAATTTAATAAAATCACCATACTTACACACATATATTTCCTGTAAAACTGATGTGTGGACATCTGTGGGGTTTGCACATCACAGCCACGACAGCAATCTATAAAAGAAAGATGAATAAAAAAGCTATTATAGGATAATTAATATAAAACTCCACAGAGTGCTTATCCCTCGGAAGGAAGGAGAGGAATGCAACCAGAGAGTGGCAAAAAGGGGCTTCAAAGGTATTGACGAGGCTGTATTTCTTTTTTTTTTTTTTTTTTTTTTTTTTTTGAGACGGAGTCTCGCTCTGTCGCCCAGGCTGGAGTGCAGTGGCGGGATCTCGGCTCACTGCAAGCTCCGCCTCCCGGGTTCACGCCATTCTCCTGCCTCAGCCTCCCAGGTAGCTGGGACTACAGGCGCCCGCCACTACGCCCGGCTAATTTTTTGTATTTTTAGTAGAGACGGGGTTTCACCGTTTTAGCCGGGATGGTCTCGATCTCCTGACCTCGTGATCCGCCCGCCTCGGCCTCCCAAAGTGCTGGGATTACAGGCGTGAGCCACCGCGCCCGGCCGAGGCTGTATTTCTTAAGCTGGGCAATGGGTACAAGAGTGATCTCTGTTCAATATTAATCATCTTTAAATTGTCCGTATGTAATATATATGTGAAGTTATATTCCATTTTACAATAAATTAAGTACAAAATAACAAATTAACTGTTAAAGCCAAAGTGATTCTTAGTCTTTCTCTCTCTGATTGTCTTAGTAAACAGCCTGTAAGAAAAAAATTTCTTTAAGCAATTCTATGAAATTATATATAAACCTAACCTTTGTGACTCAAACGCCTCATGAACACACTGGATCTCAATATTTGCAGCAGGTACTATTAAACTAGCAGCTTCATGTTTCAGGGTCTGGGTGTAAATAACCTCAGAGGGGTCTGACAGAGCCTCAGTGAGGTGACGACAGGAGGCAGTGGCAGAGACGCAAGATTGGTTACATCCAGGGCACTTGGTCAAATCTGGCCATTTACAAAAGTGAAAGCAAGCCAGGCTTCTTACTATCAGAGAAGTAGCTATAAACATGGAAAGAGAGAGAAGCAGAATGAACTCTGTGGGCTGGGTGGAATTAAAGGTATTGTGGCCAATCAGAGTGTTCAACATATGGTAGACTGATAAATAAATACAAATGGAAATGTGTTACATGTATGTGTGCATGTTATGTATGCAGCTATACATATATATGTCCTCGCTTGGTCCACTGAGAGAGTCTGGCAGCAGCAACACCCTAACAGCAGTAAGCACACCTAGGACCCAGGTCTTAGTATCTAAATATCCTTCTCCAACTAAAAGAAACCAGGGCTCCTTGGGGAAATGGCTGATTCCAGGGCTGGAGCAAAGAAAGTCTAAGATAAGCCTGGAACATTTTCCTTTTTTTTCCTTTTTGAGACGGAGTCTCACTGTGTTGCCCAGGCTGGAGTGCAATGGCGTGATCTTGGCTCACTGCAACCTCCACCTCCTGGGTTCAAGCAATTCTCCTGCCTCAGCCTCCCAAGTAGCTGGGATTACAGGCATGTGCCACCATGCCTGGCTAATTTTTTGTATTTTTTTTTTTTAGTAGAGACAGGGTTTTGCCATGTTGGCCAGGCTGATCTCAAACTCCTGACCTCAGGTGATCCACCCACCTCGTCCTTCCAAAGTGCTGGGATTACAGGCGTGAGCCACCATGTCTGGCCAAGCCTGGAACATTTTATTGTGCTAGAAAGCTAGAAACTGCTCAAAGAATGATGAGGACATTTTAAAAAGACATAGAAATCAGCTTGAAAAGGCTCCCACTGGTCAAGTCCACAATAATTTGTGCATCAAAATAAATAGTAACAGATGATAACCCACCAAATAGGAAACCATTAATTCCTTCACACAAATAAAGGAGTGAACTGGGTACGTGATGAGAAACAGGATATCCACCTAGTTTCTCAGTATTTCTCCATACAACACTTCTTAATACAAAGTGGAAAAAAATAACTTGACAGAGGGTAAGTCTGGTGGACAGCACCTTGATCAAAATGAGGAACATCAGTGATAGGAAAACCAAACCTGCGCACCACTGGATGGGAGATGACGAGAAGAACGTAGTGCTGCTTCTATGAGGCACGGGCCAAAGACGCGTAACCTGAATCTCATGATGAGAAAACAGCTGATGAACCCACACTGAGGGACGTGCTACAAAATAACTTGCCAGAAATCTTCAAAAGCGTTAAGATAACGGAGTCCAAAAAAGACAAAGGAAATGTCCAGACTAAAGATATATGACAATTAAATGCAACAGGTGATTCTGAACTAGGTTCTGTGGGATGTTATTGAAACGGCTGGTGAAACTTAAGTGAGGTCTGAGGCTTAGATGACAGTAATGTATCCAAGTTAACAACCATGGTGTTTCAAGAACACAAACACGAACTCAAATACAAACTCAGAATGGGTTATGGACCTAATTGTCTATATTTAAAAGTTGTGCTCTGAGAAAGACAATGAAAAGACAAGCCACAGACTAGGAGAAAATATCTGCATAATTGGTACCTGATAAACCACTTCCAGCTAAGATATACAAAGAACTCTTAAAACCTAGTAAGAAAACACCCAATTAAGAACAGGGCAAAAGATGTGACTAGATATCTCAATAAAGAAGATATACAGTGGCAAATAAGTATACGGAAAGATGCTCAACATCATGTCATTAGGGAATTACAAACTAAACAACAAGGAGATACCACTGTTCAACTATGAGAATGGCTAAAATCCAAAACACTGGCTGGGCACCATAGCTCACGCCTATAATCACAGCACTTTGGGAGACCAAGCTGGGAGGATCCCTTGAGCCTAGGAGCTCAAGACCATCCTAGGTAACATGGTGAAACCCTGTCTCTACAAAAAACACAAAAATTAGCTGGTGTGGTGGTGCATGCCTGTTGTCCCAGTTACTTGGGAGGCTGAGGTGGGAGGATAGCTTGAACCTGGGAGGTTGCTGCAGTGAGCTGTGATCATGCCACCACACTCTAGCCTCAGTGACAGGACAAAACCCTGTCTTAAAATAAATAAATTAATTAAATAAAATCCAAAACACCGACATCTCCAAGTGTTAGCAAGGATGTGGAACATCAGAGTGCTCACTCACTGCTGGTGGGAATGCAAAATGGTGCAGCCATGCTGGAAGAGTTTGCAGTTTTTTACAAAGTGAAACATAGTCTTACTATATGATCTACCAGTTGCACTTGTTGACAGTTACTCAAGTAAGCTGAAAATGTAGGTGGACACAATAACCTTCACAGAGCTTTGTTTAAAACTGCCAAAAATTGGAAGCAACCAAGATGTCCTTCAATAGGTGAATGAATAAGCAAATAGTGGTACATCCGTACAATGGATTATCATTCAGTAATTAAAAAAAAAGAATGAGCTACCAAGTCACAAAAAGACATGGCAGACTTCAATGCATATTGCTAAGTGGAAAGGCTGTATGATTCCAATTACTGTACATGACACTCTGGAAAAAGCAAACTTTATTAAAGACAATAAAACAATCAGTGGAAGTCAGGTTACGTCTAGAACATGCAGAGGGAAAGGGACAAATAGGAGCTGTTTTTGTTTGTTTGTTTGTTTGTTTGTTTTTTTGAGACAGAATCTCGCTCTGTCACCCAGGCTGGAGTGCAATGGCATTATCTCGGCTCAACGCAACCTCTGCCTCCTGGGTTCAAACTATTCTCCTGCCTCAGCCTCCCAAGTAGCTGGGATTACAGGCGCCCGCCACCATGCCCGGCTAATTTTTGTATTTTTAGTAGAGACAGGGTTTCACCATGTTGGCCAGGCTGGTCTCAAACTCCTGGCTTCAGCTGATCTGCCTGCCTCAGCCTCCCAAAGTGCTAGGATTACAGGCATAAGCCACTGCGCCCGGCCACAAATAGGAGATTTTAGGGTAGTGAAACTATTTCATATGACACAGTAATAGTGGATACATGACATTATGCATTGGCAAAACCTACAGAATGTAGAACACAGAGTGTATTCTAATGTATGTACAGGCTTTGGTTAATAATAATGCAACAATATTGGTTCATCAATTCTAACAAATGTACCAAACAATGCAAGATATTAATAATAGGGAAACTGGGGTAGGGGTGAAGGTGCTAGAGGAAGTGTATAAATTTTTTTTCTCTATAAACCTAAAACTACTGTATAAAATAAACAAAGCACCATCAGAAAAACAGCAAGAATAAAAGCATGGAGGTGAGAATGGCAGTAGATAGGGAATGGCCACCAGCTGTGTGTTTCTGATACTTTCAATAGATCACTCTTGTGACACTGTTAAAGATGCATTTCATGTAGGTAGGACAAAATAGATGCGTAAGGAAATGACTGAAATAATCTAAACAAGAAATAATAAAGGCCAAAGCATTCTTACCAGTGGCAGTAGGAACGGAAAATGCATTTCACATTTTTTGGAAACTGAGTGCACGGTGGTACCATGAACTAACATGGACAGGAAAGGTGAATAAGCAAGTCTGGTATTAGTTTTGGTTATGCTATACTTCAGGAGGTTCTCAGGCAGTCAAAGGACAGATGCCTAACTGACAATCTGACAGGAGTCTGAAGCTCAGGGAATGGTTCATGCTGGGAGTCAGCATACATCAATACTAAAATCATCAAATGGATGAGGTTACCAAAGAAAGCATGTAAAATACCAAACACAATGAGCCCAGGACAACAGAAAACATCAACTTTTAGAGGTAAGCACAATAAGGTAGCCAAGATAGGACAGAAATGATCAGAGACAGAGGAAGAAACAGAGAGGGTGGTATCACAGAAGCCTCGGTTTGCCAGTCAGGCTGAAAGGTTGCTAAGTTTCTGTCTTCTTTAATGGCAAGCCCACACATAATGCTTAACTCTAAAAAGTCGGCCAGGCACAGTGGCTCACGTCTGTAATCCCAGCACTTTGGGAGGCTGAGGCGGGCAGATCACCTCAGGTCAAGAGTTCGAGACCAGCCTGGCCAACATAGTGAAACCCTGTCTCTACTGAAAATACAAAAATTAGCTGGGCATTGTGGCACATGCCTGTAATCCCAGCTCCTTGGGAGGCTGAGGCACAAGAATCGCTTGAACCTGGGAGGCAGAAGTTGCAGTGAGCCAAGATCGTACCACTGTACTCCTGCCTGGGCAACAGAACAAGACTGTCTCAGGTAAAAAAAAAAAAAAAGAAAGTCAAGACTTATCTATTATGTAAAGAATGTTATTTTATTTATGGATATGGAAGTTAATGCTAAAGAAATTGGCTAAGAGTTAAAAATGGTTGCCCTAGGGTAGAAAAAGGGAGGTGAGGGGCATGGACTATTAGTTTTTCTTAACAAGTTTTTTTGTTTTTTGTTTTGAGATGGAGTCTCGCTTTTTCGCCCAGGCTGGAGTGCAGTGGCATGATCTCAGCTCACTGCAAGCTCCACCTCCCGGGTTCACACCATTCTCCTGCCTCAGCCTCTGGAGTAGCTGGGACTACAGGCCCCCGCCACAACGCCCGGCTAATTTTTTTTTTTTGTATTTTTAGTAGAGATGGGCTTTCGTCGTGTTAGCCAGGATGGTCTTGACCTGACCTTGTGATCGGCCCACCTCGGCCTCCCAAAGTGCTGGGATTACAGGCGTGAGCCACCGTGCCTGGCTAACAAGCTTTTTACACTAGATACAAACAAACAAAACAAAACAAAAACACTTAAGTACAAAGAAGAGGATATGAGGTTTGGTGGTACATTGTATGTAAAAATTTTAGGGTTTAATTAGCCACAAACGTAAGGTGATCCAGGAGATATGGTCACCAAGTCAACACAAGCTGCCTGGAATATAATATCCCAATTCAAATAACAGAATGAACTTGTGGGATCACATTAGGAACAGAATTTGGTGCTGGGGACCATATGGTAGGAGGGTCTTAATTCTATCAATTTCTGTGCATGTATCTCACACTCATCTTTTTTCATCCTAGAGTCTCCATCCTAACTCAAGTCCTTAACACTGCATACTGACATCATACCAAGAGCATCTAAGCTAGTCTTTTTGTCTCCAAACTACCCTGCATGTTGTATCCAAATTAATTTTCTGAAAATCTACTTTGTTCATATTACTACCTTTTTCAAAACTTTTGTTTCCTATTATCTAGCTGCTTTGCCAGACACTTAAGATTTTTACAAGCTGATCCCAAACTACCTGTTCAACGCACAGTCCTACTCTCCTGAACTGTTAACACCCTTCAGTCTGGCGTACTCGCTATTTCCTGCGTGCACCACGCCCTTCCTGTCATTTCTACCTCTGTGCCTTAGCCCCTGTGTCCTTGCTCCCATGACACTTAGAGCCTGCTCTTCTTGGCTTATGGGTCAAGCAAGCTGTGTGCTTTCTACTGGGCCTTCCCCAGCCCCTTTTGCTGCAGGGACATCGCTGTTGTCTGGACTTCCACAGTGCTCATAATCACCATATACAGAACTACTTTGCACCATTAACTACCTTTCAAAAGTACCTTTCATAAGCATCAATTATATTGAAAGCTACCAGCTTAAGATGGCCAACATTTATCCTGTTATGATTGTCACCAAGCCTAAATCTATATTTTTAAAGAGGTCAAAACATCATCTACTCCTTTAATCACAATTATATTTTTTTCTCTCTCTGCTCTCCTTGCATTCAGCACAGGTCTCCACTCCAGCACATATCCTAATACAGGGACTTCATTAGTTCAGAATCCCCAACCTCTACCTCACTACACGGGCGTCACATGGAGCAGGGACTTCTGCCAGAACAGATACCCAGTGTGTCGATACCTCATGAGTCGAATCACTCACCCCACTAGCAGTTCTGATGGGTTTCGCCTTTAACTTGGGCATCAAGACCTTGCGATACTGAGGAGGGACGGCAGCAATGATATCCACCAGGCGGGGCTGGGCAGAAAGGCCATATTTGGCAGCTGTCTTGGTTTTCACCCTGAAAGTAAAGCATCTCACATTATCAAGATTACGGTTATTTAAGGACAAGCTACCAAGAGGATGATCTATAAACAACATCATTAACAACTGTCACTCTCCAATCCCTTCACCACGTGACAAGGATAGTTTTAAGATCTGTGACTATCAGGGAAATAGAAGAATAAAATTCACGAGTGAATGACTACTTCCCACCCTTGAGTACCAGAAAGAAAACCAGAGGACTATGGAGGGAGAAGGGTCCCTGGACGATGACACAATATAGATCTAGTTCAGAATAGTGCTGCAGCTTCAAAGGACTATTCTGACTCCACCTTTCTCAACCTCAGCACTACTGATGTTTGGGACCACACAGTTCTTTGCTGTGGCAGGTGGCCAGCGAATTGAGGGATGTTTAGCAGCATCCTTGGTCTCTATGTACTACCAGCCTTCTTCTTGTCTTCCTGTTGTAACACTCAAAAATGTCCCTAGACATTGCCAAATGTCCTGAGGAGGAAATCACCCCTGGTTGACAACTACTGTCTTAGACAAAACAACAACAACAATTAAAAAAAAAATCAAGGATGGCTATGCAGAACCAAATAGGAAATAAAGTACATATTTTTGAAAGTTTAAAAAAAACTTTTACCAGCTTTTCTTTGTGCCTCCTAGCCAAACTCTTAACAGTCACCCTGTCTTCTAACTTTAATCCATCTAGAAATATCTGTGAAGTGCTCACATATTTGTCAACAAATATTAACTGAGGACCTAACACGTACAAGAGGCTGCCTGAATACCTGCTATGTTCAAATGTGCAAGGCACAGTCCTTTCATGTTCTATGTTTACATGTTTGCAGACAGGCGTACCAAGAAAATTAATGTATAAATGATTAAAACATATGTCATAAAACACACACACATACCAACAATGAATGCTTCCAGAGTTCAGGGAGGAATCTGATGTGTGCTGGGGAGATATTCATGGAAATGAGCACAGAAGAAAGAGTAGGTCTCAGTCACTAAAGACACAAAGATGACATGGAGGGCAGACAGGCTGATTTATGTGCAGATGCAAAAACAGGAATGCATATATTTTAAGAAATACAAGCAGACCAACTTGACAGAAAGCAGAAGATTTTCAATGTAAAGGTACAGAGGTTTAAAAACTTGGAAAAGCAGGTTGAAGCCAGACTGAGAGACCTTCCAGTAATAGGCTGGTGACATCTGAGGAGGGGCGAGTTTTAAGGACGATGGCAGCTTTAGCTTTAGATGTGCTAAATTAAAGAGAACAACAAATATATATAAGATGTAGAAATGTTCACTAGAAATTAAAGATTTGTATAATCAGGGGTATAACCAACAAAAAAAGAAAGAAAAACTTCTAAAGACACGGTAGAAAAATCAGTAAAATACAATAACTTTATAGTCAAAAGAGGATATTTACTTATTCCTGTAGCAAATATTTACTAAGCATGAGGATTCAAGGAAGGGGTAAAATATTGCAGCATCTCAAGTATCAGAGAAGAGAGTCTAAGAAAAGGTCATTCCTGTATGTGATGATTAGACGACCTGGGGTTGGGGAGAGAACCCTTTCATTAGGGAAGATCTACATAGAGTGAATATATATTATAGTTTGAAAAAAAAAATAGATGCAGAGATGAAAGACAACTCTTATTTGAGACTGTAGGAAAGTCCAAGCTGAAAATGATTATGGAGAGGAAGTGGATGAATGTGTCAAAGAGGTTCTACAGCAGGGGAGGGTTGGATTAGATCAGGGGCCCCAAAGGGAGGGTTTTCCTGACAGAAAGCTGCTGCTTCAGCTGAGACAGTAGGGAAGGAAAGTAGGATGTGCAGCGATGCAGCACAGAAGAACATGGGCTCTGGAGACGGCTGACCTAATTCCAAATCCCAGCTCTGCCAATTACTAGTTACTTACCCCTGGACAAATTATTTAACTGCTCTCTGACTCAGATTACCCACCTGTCAAGTGTGGCTGGTATCAGTACCTATCTCACAGAATTTTGAGGGGATTAACTGAGCTAATACATACAATGCATTAGCAACAGTGTCTGGAATACAGTAAGTGCCCAATAAATGTTAGAAGCTATTAGTATTCTTAAGCTGAGACAATTTTGCCATCAAGAAATGAATGACGGCCGGGTGCGGTGACTCACGCCTGTAATCCCAGCACTTTGGGAGGCCGAGGTGGGCAGATCACGAGGTCAGGAGATCGAGACCGTCCTGGCTAACACGGTGAAACCCCGTCTCTACTAAAAATACAAAAAATTAGCCAGGCGTGGTGGCGGGCGCCTGTAGTCCCAGCTACTCAGGAGGCTGAGGCAGGAGAATGGCGTTAACCCCAGAGGCGGAACTTGCAAAAAAAAAAAAAGAAATGAATGACAAGGCAAGGCAGAAAGCTAAAATTCTCAACTAAAATAAAACTTGAGCTGGAAAACAAGTAGTACTAGATAATTTCATAAAAGAGATCTGCTACCTAAGAACAAGCTTGCTCTCTCTTTATATCCACTTACTTATTTAGATCGATGTCTTTCCCCTGCTCGTGGGCTTCAATCAGTTGTTTAATAACATCTCCTATAGTCAGCATCATCAGCTCAGCAGGGCTGAGATCTCCTGGAAAGTTAATATTCAACAATGTCAAAAATCGTATCATTCAATCAAGATTTTAAAATCTGATTTAGTAGCAGTTTTCCATCCGAAACCATACAAATATGCCAAATGAATAGCTCAAGTTCAGAAGATGCTAAATCTCTACTGTTTACAATTTGATCATATCTTTTGTATCTTTAAAACAAACGTGGCTTTACATATATATGGGAAAAGCTCCCTTTAGAAGCACATACTCTATGAGATTATTAAAAATAAATACAGGAAAGGATACAGGAGTAGAAACAATGTGAGGAGAAAGAACTTAATCACACAGGAAAGGACCAAAGTAATTCTCTTCCCTTTATCTCCAGAGGTGTAATTACTAATATGTGCATAATACTTTAGAGTTCATAAAGAACATTTAGATGCATGAATTCAGGTAATTCTCAGAACAGAGGTAGACAGAACAAGAATATGTGCCTGTTACATGAAGATGCTATCAAGGAGTAAAGTTGAAACTCAAACCCAGGTATCTGCCTAAGAATCTTAATGCATTTCTAAAATATTGTCTGTCCACCATCATGAACTTCTGGCAACTGGGGCTCTCGGTCTCATCCAAAGGCAACAGCAGAAGCTGACAGGTTCTTGTATGACGCCATCCACTCAAGCACAGTTCAAGGATTGGTTCAAGGATGGGCATATCTCTAAGCCAGGCCAATCTGAGCTCTTTTCTTCAAGGTAAAAAATGCCAGTCTTTTTCCAGGGACAAAAGCTGTGGGATATCAGCTTGGAAGCTGTCAGCAAGCAAGCTTCTCACCTGTAGAGCAGTGGTTCCCAACCTTTTTGATAAAAGGAACTGGTTTTATGGAAGATGATTTTTCCACAGACCAGGGGAGCAGGGTGGTTTTAGGATGATTCAAGTGCATTACATTTATTGTGCACTTTATTTTTATTACTGCATTGTTATATGTAATGAAATAATTATACAATTCACCATAACGAATTCTGTTCCCATAGAATCAGTGGGAACCCTGAGCTTGTTTTCCTGCAACTAGACACTCCCATCTGGGGGTGATGGGAGACAGTGACAGATCATCAGGCATTAGATTCTCATAAGGAGCACACAACCTAGACCCACCACATGCACGGTTCACAACAGGGTTCAGACTCCTTTGAGAATCTAATGCCACTGCTGATGTGACAGGAGGCAGAGCTTAGGCAGTAACATGAGTGATGGGAAGTGGCTGCAAATACTGATGAAGCTTCACTTGCTCGCCTGCTGCTCACCTTCTTCTGTCTGGCTCAGCTCCTAACAGGCCATGAACCGGTACTGGTCCGTGGCCCAGGGGGCTGAGGACTCACACTGCAGAGAAAGCTAAAACATAATGAAAGCGTGGATGGAAGGCCCTGGCAATTATGGAGCCCACACATTTACTTTATCTCATTTGAACCCTTACAGTAACACGGAGGGTAGGTACTGTTATCCCATTTTATAGATGTGAAAAATGAGGCTAAGGCAAGTTAACAAGCTATCGTAAACAGCAGAGCCAAGACTCAAATCCAGCTCTTTTCACCACAACTTCCATGCTTTTTTCACTGTAACACACTGCATCTAATTTAATGAGGCAAGGCTAACATATACACAACAATTTTTGAGAGAAATAAAGTCCATCTATACTCAAAGGCTAAATGCTTTCCAAACCATGTAACTCAGCACTTCCAGAGTTCTACAAAGGTGCCTCAGGGGCCATGCAACAGAGGTAGGACTGGTGGTGGTCATGGCAGAGGAAGGGAGAAGGGAAGAGGAAAATAAGGCATGGAGGAAAAAAAGGAGGAGGTCTCTTTATTTCCACCACAGCAGCTCTGCTTTCAGCTGTTTATATATTGAGGTTCTGTGTAAGAATTTATTTGGAGGGTAAAAGGGGATCGGCTGATAAGAACAGATAAGATTTGGAAACCACTTGTATAGCTCTTGAGTGTATCAAGAACTGGAAGAGTAAATGAGTAGGAAAAGACTTCATGAAGGAAATGGCACAGGGATCTTTAAAGATAGGGCAAGATTTGGACATGCAAAACAGAAGGCAATCCAGAAGAAATAATGTCAGGCATAGGAATTACCTATCTTTGTGTGAAACAGCACAGCCTAACTAAAATCCAGCTTTCTAACAGGGTGTAATAAAGAACAGATTACAGGGGACCCTGGCCACTAGGCAAAGGCATTGAAATGGAATGCAACAGACAGTGAAGAATTGCATATTCTCAACTTTGGAAATAAAAAGTTGAAAGTAACGTTTAAGGAAGGTAAGAATATTATCGGTACAAAGAATGATTCAGAAAGTGAAAAAGAATACATATAATATGGATACTACTCAAATGGCTCTTGAAAGGCAACATTGTTTTAAAAAACCCACAAAATCTAAGACAGGATCCAGTCCCAATGCCTACTGGCTGTGTGGTAACGGAAAAGATCGACAATTTTTTTTCTTTTTCTTTTTCTTTTTGAGACAGAGTCTTGCTCGGTCACCCAGGCTGGAGTGCAGTGGTGCGATCTCGGCTCACTGCAACCTCCACCTCCCAGGTTCAAGTGATTCTCCCGCCTCTGCCTCAGCCTCAGCCTCAGCCTCCCAAGTAGCTGGGATTAGATTACAGGCACCTGCCACCACGCCCGGCTAATTTTTGTGTTTTTAGTAGAGACAGGGTTTCACCACGTTGGTCAGGCTGGTCTCCAATTCCTGACCTCAAGTGATCCACCCGCCTTGGCCTCCCAAAGTGCTGGGATTACCGGCATGAGCCACCGCGCCTGGCCAAGATCAACAACTTTTGAGTGCCCATTTCCTTGTCTGTAAAATTGGGGTAATACATCCAAATTTCACAAAACCATTCTAAGACTCAAATAAATAATGTATATGAAAGCTGAAATACCATTCAAATATTAGTTAGTGATGAAGGTGGGTTAGGAGGTTGGCGGCCAGAATGAAGAGGAATAAACTATATCAAGAAGTAATTTCTAAGTAAGAATCAACATGACTTGGTGACAGAAGAAACTAAAAGAATCCTGGTAGATTGAGAAGGAGCAAGTTAGAGTGAGATAACAAATTAATTTAGGGCATGCAAATATGACAAGACTTAATCTAAGGTAACTTGGACACTTAGAATTGTTGCTTGGAAGAAAGAAAAATAACAGTTAATGTCAAGAAGCATAGGGATTAACGATGTATTTATTTTTCATTTTATGTTTTTTGAGGTCACAGATACAGCCTGACCAGCCAGCTCCATATCTAAGTATAATTTTGGTCTGGGAAAGTTACTTAACTCTTTGAATCTCAGCTTCTTCATCTGTAAAATGGAAATGATACCGACTTCAAAATACAAGCTCAATAAATGGTAGCTATTATTCTGACAACAATTACCATGATTAGACCAGCTGGTCAAATGAAATAGGAACAGAACCTGTGAGATACAGAAATAGGAACAGAACCTGTGAGAGAATATTTCAAATTTGAATCCGTCCTGTTGAAAAACCAAAGGTGGAATTGTTCATTGCTAACTCATGATGTAATAAAAATGGGAATAATTGCATGCACAACTCTTACACTGAATCCAAGGATAATTAAGGTTTTTTTAATATCTTAAAATAAGGCTTTAAAAGAAACTCTCTAACACGTCAAATGTGTCGTGAAACAAATCTTAACAAATGAAAAGTCCTACAACCCGTTAAATCGACGTTAACTCCTCGGAGGGCATATATTGGAATAATGGTTTCCCTGCCATTCAAACAAGACACCACGTGACTGCCAAAGAGGAAGAGAGGAAGGGTAGGGTGCTTCAAAAAGCAAAACAGGAAAAACGAGAAGGCTCGGGGACCAGAATGGACACACTGACCCTAGGTGGCGGGGCGACTGGACTGGGTAGCGGATTCTCGCGGTAAAAGTTCGGTTCAGCATTTGATTGCCTGGGCGTTCGCCCCTTTCGGACCACCCCTTTCCCCCATCTCCTTCCCCTTTCGCACCTTTCCGCTTCTGCCTCATTTCTGCGCCGCCGTAGCAGAGCCACCAGAGATAAAAATGCAGCCACAAACTCAGACCACGGGGAAAGCTGACAGCCACAAAACAATCCCGCCTGTCGTAAAATGTCGGTCAATGTATCGTAAAGCTCTTCCCGGAAGCCGACGTGCACAAAGCCACGCCCCGCCCCGTGTTGCAACTAACAGGGTAGCAGGCGGCCCGTGAGGCCCCTAGGCTGCGATCCTGCCCCGGGTCTCAGGGATGGAGGATGGGAACGTCTGAACGGAGTGGCATCTTGGGGTTAGAAAGCTCGACCTGGGCAGTACAGCTATGGGACAGAGTTCCTGGATAGAGGCTGCGCCAGGAAGCCTAAGTGAAAGGGTGGAAGTGGATGGTCTCTCATGGGGGGGAGTGGGAGCCCAGGGTCGTCACATCCGGGGAGGGTGGGTGGGAACGCGAATGGGCGAGACCACGGAGGAGGAACCCTCCCATGTTGTGGAAACTAACTGAGGGCCTGGAAGAGACCAGGCGGGAATCGAGTAAGAATCCGAGGTGCAGGCTTTGGGACCAGGTGGTCACCTTGGTCTTAGATGAATGGCACATATGATCGGTAACCATCGTGAAAGCTGTGGATGTCTCTTGTGGAAGGAAAATAACATCTCGGGACCCTAAACTCTGCCAAAGAAAAAAGTTAAGCTTAGGGCCGGGCGCAGTGGCTCACACATGTAATACTAGCACTATGCCCATCTCAGGAGGCCAAGGCCAGCAGATCATCTGAGGTCTGGCATTCAAGACCACCCTGGTCAACATGGTGAAACCCTGTCTCTACTAAAAATACAAAAATTAGCCAGGCGTGGTGGTGCACGCCTGTAATCCCAGCTACTTGGGAGGCTAAGGCAGGAGAATCTCTTGAACCCGGAAGTGGAGGTTGCAGTGAGTGGAGATCATTCTCTGTTGTCCAGCCTAGACGACAGAGCGAGACCCTGTCTCAACAACAACAACAACAACAAAAAGTTAAGCTTGTGAACTGAGTCACGCAAAAACTGCCTTCCTTCTGTTCCTAAACAGCTGCAAAGACAGAAGCCCACATATCTCCCTAGGTGGCCTCCCAGAGGAGTTGCTCACAGGGAAATTCCTTGTGAGTGGCAGAGTCTTTACCTTACAACACTTCTGTTGAATTCCACCCTGACCATGCAAATTTACAGTAGGTAGGGGACAAGGACAAGACTAGAAATCACCCTTCAGTCCACCCCAAGAAAAATGCATATTTGACTCCTTCCTCTATGTTTACTTTGTCTTCTGTAAAAGGCAGATTTACTGAGTGTGAAATGAATGCATAGTTGTTCCTCTTTCCCCTTCTGTCTGCTCTTTCCCTTTAAATATTGAAGTCCTCAAAACCCTCTTTGGAAAAACCACAGGCCACAGATTCCATGATAACTTATGTCTCTTTTTCCTGGGTGTGTCCTCAACCTTGGCAGAATAAACCTCCAGACTGAGACCTGTCTCAGACACTGTTTGGTTTACGTTCTCCAGAAAAATACACAGGCACAAAATTTTGCAAAATTTGGAGGCAGGACTTGGGATGTTTTCCTGAAACCCATCTATGATCTCCTTTGTCCATGGGCTGGAGATTAAGAACCTCTCCCATTAATAAAGACAGGAATATGTACCCTACTAGAATTGAGGCAACAACGAGGCTTTGACCCCACTATGACACTGAAACTGGCCTTGCTAAGCTTTGTAACTTCCCAGCCTGCCAAGTTCAGTGGTATTTGTCTGACCTCATTGTCATCCTATACCAATGAACATAAGTTCTCCTCTGTAAACCGAAAATAATTCTCAGCCCAGGGCATTCCAAAGTTAAACTGAAAAACTAGCTCAGGCCATGATGGGAAGTGGGGTTGGACATGCCTCCTTATTCCCTCCTCCTTTTTAGAATTCAGGAGCTGCTAACCAGTGTTAACATCAACACAGAGACCTTAAGGCTGATAGAGCACAGAACCGACTCTTAAAGTCTGATAAGAAACATTTACGGCCGGGCGCGGTGGCTCATGCCTGTAATCCCAGCACTTTGGGAGGCCGAGGTGGGCGGATCACAAGGTCAGGAGATCAAGACCATCCTGGCTAACATGATGAAACCCCGTCTCCACTAAAAATACAAAAAATTAGCCGGGCGTGGTGGTGGGCCCCTGTAGTCCCAGCTACTTGGGAGGCTGAGGCAGGAGAATGGCGTGAACCCGGGAGGCAGAGCTTGCAGTGAGCCGAGATTGCACCACTGCACTCCAGCCTGGGCGACACAGTGAGACTCCGGCTCAAAAAAAAAAAAAAAAAAAAGGAAACATTTACAATCTATTCTCTCTGAAGCCTGCTACCTGGAGGCTTCCTCTGCATGATAAAACCTTAGTCTCCACAACTCTGTGTCTTAACCCAGACATTCCTTTCTGTTCATTTCAGGTCTATAGATAATAACTCTTTCAACCAATTGCCAGTCAGAGAAAACTGAATCTGCCTGTGACCTGAAAGTGTTGCCCCCTGACCCCACATCAATGCTTTGAGTTGTCCCACCTTTCTGGTTGTTCTCTGTGGGATATGCGTGAGGGGAGAAGAAAAGACACATACACAATACCTTTAAGGGTAAACGACCTTTATCCCATGTAAATGGCAATGCAGATATAATAAGCAAATTGCAATGGGAAGGGTAGAAGGGAAAGTATATGTGTATACACACACACACACACACACACACACACACACACCCACCCATCAGACTATGGAGGATTTATCACAAGACCAAGAAGCAACAGCCTGGGTTCCAGACTTGGACACTACACTCACCAGACTATGGAGGATTCACCACCAGACCGGGAAGCAACATCCTGGGCTCCAGAGTTGGGCACTACACTCACCAGACTATGGAGGATTCACCACCAGACCAGGAAGCAACAGCCTGGGCTCCAGAGTTGGCCACTCCTCCTTGCACAGATGAGGATAGGTCTCCTGAAGCTTCGGCTGGGCCTGGGACCCTAGCTCTTTTTGTAACAAGTTGTTTGGCATGAGGCCCAGTCACAAGGGCCCTTCACAACCAGGCTCAAGGAACACAAAAAGGTCAACTTGTTTTTGCTATTGTCTATTGTTTTTCAATAACTAATGTATAGGAATAGATTGAAATAGAGATTTCTCTGAAACAGCGCTGGATGAAAGCCTCAAGGGACTCACAAAACTTGTTCCAGGACTTGGTGACTATTGTTTGTGTCCAGGTTCAATTGAATTCAGATTTAATATTTAACTTTTCCTCCATGCTGGACCAAACCAATATACATCTTACATGTAGTAATGTCTTATAACTCCCTAAAATGTATAAAATCAAGCTGTAACCTGACCACCTTGGACACATGTTCTCAGGATCCCCTGGGGCTCTGTCACAGACCATGTGAGGTAGGAAGTGGGACTCTGTTCTGGAGGCAGAGTTTGGACACTGGATCAAGTTGAGGACTAGCTGAAACAGGGCAGGGGTGGAAGCAACTTTCCATAAGATGCCCACCAGTATGCCATGTCAGTTTACTATTGCCGTGGCAACACCTGAACATTACCCTCCCCTTTCCATGGCAATGACCTGATGACCTGGAAGTTACCATCCTCATTCTTGACATTTCTGCGTAAATTGCCCCTTAATTTGAATACAGTTAAAAGTGGGTATAAATATGACTGCAGAACTGCCTCTGAGCTGCTCTTCTGGGCACTGCCTGTGAGTAGCCCTGCTCGGCAAGGAGCAGTCCCTCTGCTGCAGCTGTGCACTGCTGCTTCAATGCAAGTTGCTATTTAACACCATCAGCTCACCCTTGAATTGTTTCCTGGGCAAAGCCAAGAACCCTCCCAGGCAAAGCCCCAATTTTGGAGCTTGCCTGTCTTGCCTCAGTTGGTCAATCATGGCTCAGAATAAATCTCTTCAAGTATTTTACAGAGTTTGACTCTTTTTGTCAACTCTTCCATGAACATCTTTTATGACAGGGCCCTCCAACTCTCTTGGTTTCTCTTCTCTTTCTTTTGTGAACTCTGTCTCTGCCTCACCTCAGAATACTAGTGTTCCATGGGGGTCACTCAGCCTTGTCTCTCCAAGGTGATCCCCAGAGCACCACGTGTTTGCTCCCAGGTTTCCAGTCCAACCCCAACTTTTCCCCTATTTGATATCTTGTTAGATTTGGGTGTCTAATAGGCATCTCAAACTTAACATGTCCCAAACAGAACTCTATTATTACTCCAGATCTGCTCTTCCTTATCTAATGGCACCATCCTCTACCTCTTCCCTGTTTTATCTCAGAGAGGGGAGGGAGATAGGTGGTTAAAGGTATAATTTTAAATAGGGGTTACAGTAGGCCTTATTGACAATGTGATATTTGAGCTAATACTTGATGTGTAGATATGTGGGAAAGAGTATTTCTGGCTAAGATAATGGTTAGTGCAAAGGTCCTAGGTGAAGGTCAGGCGCAGTGGCTCACGCCTGTAATCCCAGCACTTTGGGAGGCTGAGGCAGGCAGATCACAAGGTCAAGAGATCAAGACCATCCTGGCCAACATGGTGAAACCCTGTCTCTACTGAAAATACAAAAATTAGCTGGGCATGGTGGCACGCGCCTGCACTCCCAGCTACGCGGGAGGCTGAGGCAGGAGAATTGGGAGGTGGCAGTTGCAGTGAGCCTAGATCTCACACCACTGCACTCTAGCCTGGTGACAGAGCGAGACTCCATCTCAAAAAAGAAAAAAAGTCCTAGGTGAGAGGATGTCTGGGGTGTTCAAGGAGACTGAGGAGGCTGACATCACGGGAGCAGTGGGTGAGGCAATGTGAAAGAGAGGTCAGAGGAGTGGCGCATGGGACAGGGGGCAGTGCAGCTCATGTAACACCTTGTGGGCCATTGAAAAGCCTTTGGCTTTTACCCTAATTGAGATGGGGAGCCACTGGTGTTTTTAGCAGAGAATTGAATGGATCTGATCTGTAATTTAAAAGCATGTCTATTTGCTGCATTGAGAATAGACTGTGGGAGGGGGTTGGTGTGGAAGTGGGGAGATCAGGTGGGTGGCGGTTACCATAGCCAGGCCAATGATTCCCAAACTTTGCTGCAATTGGAATCACCTGGAGAGCAGTGAAAAATTCCCAGTGCCCAGATTACATCCCACACCTATTAAATCAGAATATCAAGGGGTGGGAGTCAGGCATTAGCATGTTTAAAAGATCCTGGGTTATTCCAACGTGCAGCAAAACTTAGGAACCACTGAATGAGGCCAGAGATTATTGAGACTCAAATCGGGGTAGTCAGCAGTGAAGGTGGTGAGAAGTGTTCAGATTCTGAATATAATTTGAAGATTTCAACAAGACTTTTTGACAGATCAGATGTGGAATATGAAAGGCAGACAGCAACATCAAATGTGACACCAAAGCTTTTTGACCAAGGGACTGGAAAAATGTAGTTATCATTAGATGAAATGGAGAAAATTAGGTGGAGAGGTGTTTCAAGGGACTGGCGGGGATTGGTTTGAACTTGTATTTTCGGATGACTAGTGAACAGGAAGACACGAAAGAGGTTGACACTGGATATCAGTCGAGAGCCATCGGTATGTGAACGAAATTGAAAGCTACGAAACAGGGTGGCTGTGGAAAGGAAAGAGACCGAAGATGAAGCCTTGGGGTATTTTATTATTAACAGGTTGAGAAGCGAGGGAATAACCAGTGAAGGAGACTGAGGAGCACTTCCAGGGAGATGGGATGAAAACTAGGGGAGTGGTTATCTGAAAGCCAAGTGTAGGAGGTTTGTCAAACAGGAGGGAATGATCAACCAGGTCAAATGCTCCTGATGGCTCAAGAAAGATAAAGGTTGAAAATTGACCAGGATCATTGTGGACTTTGACAAGAACAGCTTTAATGGGATGGGAAGGGTGAAGGCTTGACTGGAATAGGTTTATATTAGCTTGAGAGGAAAGGAATTTGAGACAGTAAGTAGAGACAACTCTTTTGAGGAGTTGTGGGGTTTTGTTTGTTTTTTTGGAGACAGGGTCTTGCTCTGTCACCCAGGCTGGAGTGCAGTGGTACAATCACAGCTCACTGCAGCCTCGACCTCCCAGGCTCAAGTGATCCTTCCATCTCAGCCCCTCAAGTAGCTGGGACTATAGGCATGCACCACCATGCCTGGCTAATTTTTATTTTTATTTTTTGTAGAAACAGGGGTTTCCTTATGTTGCCCAGACTGGTCTTGAACTCCTGGGTTCAAGTGATCCTCCTGCCTCAGCCTCCCAAAGTGCTGACACCATGCCCAGCCTAGGAGTTTTGTCATAAAGAAGTGCAGAGAAATATACTAATACCTGGCAGGGAAATGGAGGTCCAGGGAGTGTTTGTTAAGGTGGAATGAATGACATCAAATCTGTTCACAGATGGGAATAATCCAGTGGAGAGTGAAAGTTTGGTGAATTAGAGAAGAGGAGGAAGTACTCTACATGGTTCTTCAGTTAGAGAGAGGGATGGAATCTGGTGCACAGAGAAGGGATTGGCCTTTAATGGGTGCATGGATAGTTCATCTAGCAACAGGCTGGAGGGCAGAGCACCGGATAGGTGGTTGGGGGTGATGATGAGGCTCTGTGGACGGTCTCATTGCTTCAGTGTTTTCAGTGAGCTCAATGGAAATTCAGCCTGAGAGAATGGAGAAACATCTAACAGGCCTAGCATTCAGGCGTCCAATAGCAGGTGCCAAGGACTACCATAAAGAACCCCAGAGGCTGGACCCAGTGGCTTACACCTGTAATCCCAACACTTTGGGAGGCCAAGATGGGAGGATCGCTTGAGCTCAGGAGTTTGAGTTCAGCCTGGGTAACATAAGGAGACCTCATCTCTACTAAAGTTTTGTTTTGTTTTTGTTTTTCTTTTTTTGTTTTTTGTTTTTTTAAGCTAAGTGTGGTGGCACATGCCTGTAGTCCCAGCTGCTTGGGAGGCTGAGGTGGGAGGATCACTTGAGCCCAGGAGGTTGAGGTTGCAGTGAGCCGTGATAACGCCACTACACTTCAGCCTGGGTGACAGAGTGAGACCCTGTCTAAAACAAACAAACAAAAACAAGCAAACAAATAAAGGAACTCAGGAAGCTTTATTTTTTTATTTTTTGAGATGGAGTCTCCCTTTGTCGCCCAGGCTGGAGTGCAGTGGCCTGATCTTGGCTCACTGCAACCTCTGCCTCCCATGTTCAAGCAATTCTCCTGCCTCAGCCTCCTGAGTAGCTGGGACTACAGGCACACACTGCCATGACCGGCTAGATTTTGTATTTTTAGTAGAGACAGGGTTTCACCATGTTGGCTAGGCTGGTCTCAAGCTCCTGACTTCAGGTGATCTGTCCACCTCGGCCTCCCAAAATGCAGGGATCACAGGTGTGAGCCACTGGGCCTTGCCCCAGGAAGCTTTAAAAATGCTCAAAATTAATTTTAATAATTAAGTAATTTAGTAGCATTTGTGGTTAACTGTTGAAGCTAAGAAATAGCCAGTAGAGGGAGAGCTGAGCACACGTGACATGAATGTAAGCGTAAGGTGTGATTTTGCCTAGAGAGATCAGTATAAGACTCAGCATCCAGGATGGCATTTGTGCTGACTTTCTTTGTTCTGAACTTTAGCCTGGTGTTTCTGTGGTTTTCTTATGGAGGAGGGACGTCATCTTGCCAAAAGTTCAAAGCAGTTTTTAAGACCACAGTCTAAACATTTATCTTCAATTCTTTCCCTGTTCTGACCTCTTTACCTTCTGAATCCCCTCTTCAGACTAAATACATACCTAGAGTACTGAGGGTTGTCTTGGTAATGACTGAGTTGGCCTTTAAAGGTAACATACACCCTTGGCCCAGCACAGTAGCTCATACCTGTAATCCCAGCACTTTGGGAGGCCAAGGTGGGCGGATCATATGAGATCAGGAGTTCGAGACCAGCCTGGCAAACATGGTGAAACCCTGTCTCTACTAAAATTAAAAAAAAAAAAAGTCAGGCATGGTGACGCACCCCTGTAGTCCCAGCTACTCAGGAGGCTGAGGCAGGAAAATCTCTTGAACCCGGAAGACGGAGGTTGCAGTGAGCTGAGACGGCGCCACTGCACTCTAGCCTGGGTGACAGAGCAAGACTGTGTCTCACAAAAAAAAAAAAAAGGTAACACACACCCTGAAGCTGAGGGTTCAAGGGACAACTTTTTCCCTGTATGTGATGTGATGGTTTGGGTTGCCAGACACAGCAAAGTGGAGTGGGTTTTATTTTCTTCTCTCCTGGACAGCACTTTCAAATTTTTGTTTTCTGGGTTTATTAAAAATATGAATTTAAAATTAGATGGGCGTGATGGAGCATGACCATGGTCCCAGCTACCCAGGAGGCTGAGGTGGGAGGATGGCTTGAGCCTGGGAGGTCGAGGCTGCTGTGAGCTATGATCACGCCACTGCACTCCAGGCTGGGTGACAGAGCAAGACCTTGTCTCTAACTAAATAAAGACATAAAAATATACGGATTTAAAATTTAAGTTCCAGAAAGAGGTGTAAAGCGGTATATCACTCATTTCTACACTCAAACAATCCAATGTTGTTTTATTTTTGGCAAATGTTATTTTTGGTGAATTTTAAGACTTTGGGTCAAGAATAACTTTATATTTATTATCTCATATCCTCCATCTCTCCCAGTCATGTCTTATAGTTGGGTGTCGGGGAGCCAGTGCTTTGTCTGTCTTGGAACTGGGGCATTTTTCCTGTCTGCTCCAGTGAACCAGTCATCTGAATATTGTTCACCCTCAGAGAAAAGATGCTGTGGAAGGATGCAGTGATGCACTTGGAAAGGAAAAAAGACATCTGTCTACTTGTAGGAACATGGCAGAGAAGGGTGCAAGATCCCCGTTTCATGTACCATTTAGATTTTTTTTTTTTTCGAGATGTAGTCTTGCTCCATCATCCAGGTTGGAGTGCAGTGGCGCGATCTTGGCTCACTGCAACCTCCACCTCCCAGGCTCAAGTGATTCTCTTGCTTCAGCCTCCTGAGTAGCTGGGACTACAGGGTTCTGCCACCACGCCTGGCTGATTTTTTTTTTTTTTTTGTATTTTTAGTAGAGTCAAGGTTTCACCATGTTGGCCAGGCTGCTGTTGTACTCCTGACCTCAAGTGATCTGCCTGCCTCAGCCTCCCAAAGTGCTGGGATTACAGGAGTGAGCCACCGTGCCTGGTGAATTTAGATTTAAGTGAAAGAAGACAGAATAAATCAGTATCTGTGGGAGGAGACCATGGTAAATAGCTCCCTGATGGCAAGTTGGTTTCACTTCTGCTGTGTAAACGTGGCTTTGTGATTGTGGCCCAAAGGGCTACGTACCCCAGCTGGTTCCAAATACCTGAACCAAGGAGAAGCTGCCACCATCTCCTCTGTGGACTCCTGTAACCAAACCAGAACTTTTTTTTTTTTTTTCTGTTCAGTGACATCTGGTAAGTTGTTTCTTTTATGTAATTTGTACTGTAACTTGTGGTTGATTTTTTAAAAATGGACCTTAATTTTTAGAACAGTTTTGAGTTTACAGGAATATTGAGAAGATAGTTTAGAGCATTCCCATGTAATTCCCACCCAACTTCCCCATTATCTTGTATTAGTGTGGTACATTTGTTACAACTGATGAACCGATACTGATACGTTATTCTTAAACTAAAGTCTGTGCTTGATTCAGATTCTTGGTTTTTATCTAACGTCTGCTTTCTACTGTGGCATCCTATCAGGATAGCACATTATATTTAGTTATGTTCCCTTAGGCTCCTCTTAGCTGTAGCGTTGTTTCTCAGACTTTCCTTGTTTTTGATGAATATGGCAGTTTTGAGGAGTACTGGTTGGGTATTTTGTAGGCTTCTCCTATTGGCATTTGTCTGATGTTTTTCTCATTATTAGACTGGAGTTATGGGTTTTGGGGAAGGAGTCCCAGAGTTAAAGTGCTGTTCTCATCACATCATATCAAGGGATAATATTGTCAACATGATTTAGGACTGTTGGTGTTGACCTTGACCACCTGGTAGAGGCAGCGCTTGTCTGGTTTCTCTGCTATAAGGTGATCCTTTCCCTGCTCCAATCTCCGCCGTGTTCTCTTTGGAAAGAAGCTGCTATGCACAGCACACACTTAAGGAGCAGGGAGTTTTATTCTACCTCCTTGAGGATGGAGTAGCTACGTAAATTATTTGGAATTCTTCTGTATATGGGACATTTGTCTCTTCTCTCTCCTTTGATTTTCTTAAAGCAAGTTATTTCTTGAGGGAAAGTGAATTTTACTTTTCTGTTTGCTTAAGTGAATTTTGGGGGTTTGGTTTGTTTGTTTTTGAGGCTTCGGTCTGTTACCCAGGCTGGAGTGCAGTGGTATGAACATGGCTCACTGTAATCTTCACCTTCTGGGCTCAAGTAATCCTCCTGCCTCAGCCTCCTGAATAACTGGGACTACAGATACATGCTGCCATGCCCAGCTAATTAAAAAAAAAATTGTAGAGATGAGGGTCTCACTTTGTTGCCAAGGCTGGTCTCAAGCTCCTGGGCCCAAGGGATCCCCTCTCCTCTCAGCCTCCCAAAGTGCTGGGATTACAGGCATGAGCCACCATGCTCAGGCTGTTTAAGTGAATTTTAAGGCTATGTAAAAAGGCCAGTGGGCTAGAAATGGGGAGAATCAGGTTTTAGTTTGAATTTTACAGAACAGTGTGATCTTAGGCAAGTCATTAATCATTCCTCCCAAAAGAAAACAGCTATTGCAGAAATTGCTGGCAGGTGTATGAATTCCTGATAAGGAGGGAAGTGTCATCTTATGCCTCATTAGCTTTAACAAGCTTGGGAGAGCAATATGAGAAGATTCAAATTCGTTTCGCTAGAATCTGCTAAAGTACGTTATGAAAATATCTGCTTATTTTGCTTACCTCTTTACCTAGGGAAGAAAGATGGAGAAAAACATGTCATCCTAAAGCCTCCCTTCTACTACGACTGCTTCTGGTGGCCACATTTCTAATTCTGAACACATTAGCCGATGTGTTAATGCTGAAAACATACCTCTTTTCCTTTAGAGATTTGGAGGCCCTTGTTTCACTTTTGCTTCTGAGCTAATGTGTTTAAATTGCTGCCTTGGGACATCCCTAGTTTGGAAGAGCAGTGCAGTGGCCAACGAGGTGGTTAGGAAATGTTGCCAACACCAAAGTTACTTAAACCTAAACCCAAACTCAAAGAGAAAGGAAATAAATTCTAAATTTCATCAACATTCTATCATTTCATTAACAGTCTCCTCCTCTTCCTTCTTTCATTCTTCAGCTCACCTTCTTGTGAGAGCAAGAAAAAACTTGACCAAAGATTGTTTTTTTTTTTTTTGAGATGGAGTCTCACTCTGTTGCCCAGGCTGGAGTGCAGTGGCATGATCTCAGCTCACTGCAACCTCCGCCTCCCGGGTTCAAGCGATTCCTCTGCCTTAGCCTCCTGAGTAGCTGGGACTACAGGCATGTGCCACAACGGCTGGCTAATTTTTTGTATTTTTAGTAGAGACAGAGTTTCACCGAGTTAGCCAGGATGGTCTCAAACTCCTGACCTCATGATCTGCCCGGCTCAGCCTCCCAAAATGTTGGGATTACAGGTGTGATCCACTGCACCCAGCTGATCGAAGATTCTTTAAGGAAGATGGTAGAGCATCCTCAATGTGTTTGATCAATAGGGACAAGAACGGGAGTCAGAATCTCAGCTAAGGTGGCATCTGTTCCCCAAAGACTAACAGACGTGGCCTGGATGACACTAGTACTGATTTCTAGTTTAACTACCTTCATAAAATATTCAAAAAATAACATTTGTACAGATGCATAAGTGCCTGCAGAGCAATTTTGCATTCATTATCACATTTAATTCTCACAACGAACTCTTTTTTATTTTTTATTTTTTTGACGTGGAGTCTCGCTCTGTTGCCCAGGCTGGAGTGCAGTGGTGCGATCTCAACTCACTGCAACCTCTGTTTCCTGGCTTCAAGTGACTCTCCTGCCTCAGTCTCCCAAGCAGCTGGAATTACAGGCATGCTGCACCATGCCCAGGTAATTTTTGTATTTTTAGTAGAGACAGGGTTTCACCATGTTGACCAGGCTGGTCTCGAACTCCTGACCTCAAGTGATCGGCCCACCTTGGCCTCCCAAGGTGCTAGAATTACAGGCATGAGCCACCATGCCTGGCCAATGAATTCTTGATACAGGTATTTTTTTTAAAACCAATTCTATCCTATATGTGGAGAAATAGAGGCTCAGAGAGATCAGGTGATTTGCTCTGTGTTGCATTGAAGATTGGGAGCAGGAGCAAAAATCCAGGCATTCTGACTCCAAATCCCTAATAATTTTTGCTCCACCATTCACATCTGGAATATGGAAGCCCTTTGTTTGCAGATACTGTGACCACATTGTTTCCTGCTGTACCCCCAGTATCTAGAACAGTGCCTGGTGCATCATAGGCACTCACAAATATTTGTTGAATGAATGGATGGATAAATAAAATAGTAAATATAATTTCTGCTATTCTTGATCTTACCATCTAAGATATATATCTATATCTAGATCTAGATAGATCTATCTAGATATAGATACAAAAAATTATATCTATCATCATTCATTCAACAAATTATTTAGTGCTTGCTGTGTACCAAGTACTTCCCATATTTATTAAAAGTAGAGAGTAAACCAATGTTAATGACCAAAATGCCCCTTTGAGAAACTTTGCTAATTTAAGCATTTAAATTTAAGTAAGTAAATAGTGTTGGCAAGGGTTAATGATGCGAGGCAAGGTAGGGTGAAATGAGATTCTGCCTAAGGAGAATAACTAGGGGAAAAGAAAAGGACATTTGTCATTTGTAATAAACACATTGAATTTTGCATTGAACACAGAAAAAATGCAGTGAAAATGTATTCCTCTGATAGTCTCTCTCTCTCTCTCTGGCTTGTTTTACTTCTGAGGGTGTCTTCAAGTTTGCAGGCAGTAAGGTTGGGCATGGTGGCTCATGCCTGTAATCCCAGCACTTTGGGAGGCCAAGGTAGGCAGATCACCTGAGGTCAGGGGTTCGAGACCAGCCTGGCCAACATAGTGAAACCTTGTCTCTACTAGAGATACAAAAATTAGCCGGGCATGGTGGCAGGTGCCTGTAATCCCAGCTACTCGGGAGGCTGAGGCAGGAGAATCGCTTGAACCTGGGAGGCGGAGGTTGCAGTGAGCTGAGATCATGTGCCACTGCACTCCAGCCTGGGCGATAGAGCAAAAACTCCATCTCAAAACAAACAAACAAACAAACAAAAAAACAAAGAACAACAAAAACAAAAACAAAAAAGCAGTTTGCAGGCAGTAGCTTCAGCTTCAGTTCCTGCATACAATTCTATCAAGTTGCTACTCTCTCTCCCCACTCAACAGCCTTCCTTCTCATGAAATGCCTTTGCCATGCATTTGAGGGAACCCTCCTTTGCGGGCACTACTCCTTCCATTGCCCTATGCCTGAGCTCCAGGGGGCTTGTTTAAATAGTGCCTATTAGAGGCTGCTGAATGTGATGAAAAGAACATTGAACTTGGAGTCAGGAAAACTGAGTTTCAGCCCTCATTGCCATAATCTTACTATGTGACCTTGGACAAGTTTCTTCCCCTTCCTGGTCCTCAGGGTCTGGATCTGTAGAAGAAGGGGCCCTAGCATTCTTTTTTTTAAGACGAAATCTCGCTTTGTTGCCCAGGCTGGCAGTGGCGTGATCTCGGCTCACTGCAACCTCCACTTCCTGGGTTCAAGCAATTCTCCTGCATCAGCCTCCTGAGTAGCTGGGATTACAGGCGCGTGCCACCACACCGGGCTAATTTTTGTATTTTTAGTAGAGATGGGGTTTCACCATGCTGGTCAGGCTGGTCTCAAACTCCTGACCTTGTGATCCACCTGCTTCAGCCTCCCAAAGTGCTGGGATTACAGGCGAGAGCCACCGCACCCGGCCCGCATTCTTTATTCAATGCCATGATATGCAGCTGTTCTAGTACAGGAATGACCTGCGTTTGTGTTGCCTCTGTGATTTTCCTGTAAGAAAAAAAACAATAAGCAAACACAAACAGAAGAAAAGGAGGGGGAGAGAAGCAAGAATAACTGTGAAAAGTTACAATTATTTATCAGGAAATCAGTTCTGTGCAGCCTTCCTATATCTAGCTGAATGTGCACAGTCTTATTTAAAAGATGCTATTCTTAGGTTCAGTGCACATGAATGTAAATAAGCACTAAAAGCAAAACTTCAGTGCTAACCACATAGCTGAAATACAAGCAAAATAAACCACACAGGCAGAACCTTGCTTATCTGAGCAATAAATTTGGACTGTTATCAATTGCTTCTCCACAGAAACCAAATTTTCACAATGAACACCACCATTCCTTCCCTTTGGGGGGAAATAGACTGCAGGATGATTTGAAGAAGGACTATACTCCTGTAGCTCATTTTCTCCTTAATACAATGCACTTGAAATCACAGTGCTCTTGGTGTACTGCTCTTGGCCACACGGAAGCCCTAATCATTGGTACGGTCTCAGTTTCAATGACAGGTGACATTTTCAAAATGAGAATTTGTGTCTTTTTAGCACCCATCTAAATCAGAGAACACTCACACTTTAAGGACTAGTTCAGTCTTTGCCTTACACATGGGAAACCTGAGGCCAGGGTGATAAAACGACTTGTCTTAAGTCCTCCAGCTTTATTGATGGGTGGTAAAGCTGGAGCTGGAAGCTTCCACACCAGATTTCCAGCCTAATGTTCTTCCCACCTCATCATTTAGTTCAACCCAATGACTATATACTGAATGTCTGTACCAAACTACCCCCATTTGTTTATCGCTTTTCCTTTTTATGTACTTGGTGTTTATTTTCTTCTGTCCTCTTAGCCTTTTTGCAAATGATCCCTTTCCATTTGCTAGTGTTTTTGTTTGGTCATCAAATGATCCCTTCCTGCCAGTCTTTGAACATTGGCCAAAGGAATTTGAAGCCCAATCCACCACAACCAAACCACATAATTTCCAATGATTCCAAATTTCAGTTAGAGTTCACAAATTACTTGTATACAGAAACCATAGATGCTGCTACGGAGGAAGTTGTGTGGTTTTCTGTCTTCATTGCATGCAGCTAAACCCAAACCAACCCCAGCTAGTTACATGCTAACGGCCCTTGCTGGACACTGTGTACTGTTGATTTAGTAAATGAAGTCAAATGAACTAAAGTTCTTGTGATTCTGAAAGAAGCCAAAACTACTACCCGTATTCCAGAATTCAGTGACCACAGCTGCTTCTGCTCTAAACTCAAGGCCCTTTGATTTTGTGCCCTTTAATCCACAGCTCTCTCAATTGAAGGTCCCTAATCTTAGTGTCTGTATGACCACGACTCTTATCAACTTGGTCTATCAGTTCTTTTGTACTTTATCCGGCTCCACTGTTTCCTCCTAGAATTTGAATTCCAGCACACCAGCTGTCCTGGAGGTCGACCATGGATTTGTTCACTGGTTGTATCATACATTTTGTTTTGCTTCCAGTGCTCACTGTGATAATATGATGCCTAGCATTTCATACGAGTTACTCCTTAAGCTGCTCTCTTCAGAAAACAACAGATCTTTTTCCTAGGGGTAATCCTAGTTCTGTATCTAATTTTTTTTTTTCTTTGAGACAGGGTCTTGCTGTCACCCAGGCTGGAGTGCAGTGGTGCAATCATAGCTCACTGCAACCTTGAACTCCAGGGTTCAAGGGATCCTCCCATCTTAGCCTCCCAAATAGTGGGTACTACAGGTGTGTGTCACCACAACCGGCTACTTTCTTTCTTTTTTTTTTTTTTTGGTAGTGTCAAGGTCTCACTTGATTGCCCAGGCTGGTCTCAAACTCCAGGGCTCAATGAATCCTCCCTCCTCAGCCTCCCAAAGTGCTGGGATTATAGATATGAGCCATCACACCCTGCCTAAAATTATTGACATGCATTATGGTATATTTACTCATGTTATAGCCCATCTACCTTTTTTTTTCTTGTAGCTCACCTAGGTTTTGATGTGTGTCAGCATTTCTGACTCAGTATTCCAAACCAGAAATTGCTTGTGCCTCTTGTGAAATTTGGTGACCTCATAGGGCACTTCTACTACCAGCTTTCTTGGTGAAAATTTCAAGTAAGAACATAGAATCTTGGGATTTGAAGAAGGCTTAAAATTTATCTATCTCAATGTCGTTATTAGGTGGTCATATCAATATAGGTTCAGACACCTCTAGAGGCAGAAAACTCACGGTTTCCTAAGGGAGCTCATTCCATTTTGGACAACTCTGATTAGTTGAGAATGTTAAACCAAAATGCTTTCTTGTACCTGCCACCTAGTGGATCTATTTCTACCCTCTGGGAACCCTAGAAAATATGCAGGATGTCTCTTTTATTTGCAGCTGTAAGGTAATGCATTTGAAGACCACCATGAAGGCCCCTGCCCCCATCTTCTGCCTTTACCTGTGTCTTCCCTACCTCACATCAAATATTCCTCATCCCCGTGGAGCAGTCCTCACTGTGAGTGCCGCTTCATTTGCATACTTGACTATTTATTTCTACTCTTTGCTTTACTCTTCAATCAAGGACTCTAACATACCAAAAATGAATTCAGGGCCAGGCATGGTGGCTCACACCTGTAACCCCAGCCCTTTGGGAGGCTGAAGTGGGTGGATCACTTGAGTCCAGGAGTTCAAGACCAGCCTGGCCAACATGGTGAAACCCCATCTCTACTAAAATTGTAATTAGCCAGGCATGATGGTGCAATGCCTGTAATCCCAGCTACTCTGGAGGCTGAGGCAGGAAAATCGCTTGAACCCAGGAGGTGGAGGTTGTAGTAAACTGAGATTGTGCCGCTGCATTCCAGCCTGGGCAACAGAGCAAGACTCTGTCACAAGCAAACAAACCACCAGACCAAAACAACAAATTTAGCTTTTAAACATCCTTTGGTGTGGAATCTCATCAAAAGCTTCCCATCCATTATGTTATCCATTCATTCAGCTAACGTTTAGTTAGTCATTGCCCTTCTTGATAGAAATGCACCACTGAAAAAAATGCAGTCCTCTGACCTCGAGTGGTTCAACCAGGAGGAACAGACGTAAGCACAGCACAGTCAGTGTTATAACACAGGTGTGTATGGAGCCGGGGACACACGGGGGGAATGAGTGGGAATCAGACACCGTTTCACAGAGGAAACACTAGAACAGGATTTTGAAGCAAGAGCAGGAATTCACCTGCGAGAAGAAGGGAAGGGCACCCCACATGTGCTAAAATGCTCAGCAGTTCAATAGGATACCCTGCTTTGGAGAACTGTAAGGAGTGTGGGATGATCTGAAAATGGGCTGCAGAGGGGAGGAAGGGAGAGGGAAAGAGCTCTACCTAAGACTCAGAATCTTGCACTTAATAGGGGTTCTCACCCCATTCACCCAACACCCACCAAATACAGAAGCCGTTTAGTCAGTTAATATCTGCAAACCAAACTAAGAGTAACTGATGAATGGTGATTTTAATTTGGGGTTAATGTGTAAATGAGACATAGTTTCCCTAAATAACAGCCTGTGGGTCTAGTAGGACAGATCAAAGGTGATTTTGCATATTTCAGAAGGGCTGGTGACTCTGCTTTTGAAATACACGGCTGAGTGATCCAAACAGAAACATCAGGTAACGGCAAGTAAGCACCTTGGGTGTTCCCCACTCGTGTTCCTCAAATTCTTCTCTATGGGTGGAGATGAAGCAGCTCCAGGCTAGCAGATTCTACCCTGTCTGGGCAGTGCCCTCTGTTCTGAGCCTCCACGGGTCCAGTTCTCCCTCTATGTCCAAGCCCTATCTGCTGGTGGACTGGAGACCAACTGGATCTGCCCCTTCTTCTTTTGGATGTGCCTCTCCTCTCCCTCCTGCAGATGCTCCATGCTGCAAGCTGCAAGGAGAGCCCAGGAGGGGTGTCCTCCTGGTGGAAGTTGCGCTTGGTGAGGAAGGTCCAGGGAACCAAGTCACTGCATCTCCTTCCCCAGTCAGCAGCCCCCCAAAGCAACTCCAGGGAACTCTAGGAATATCTAATGTTCCACCTCCCAGATTCCTGCTGAGACTTTCTGGAACTAAATAGCACTGGCTCAGGGTTCAAGCCTTGCCCCAGTGGAGCACTGATGCCACCCAAAGCAGCGAAGCTATATAAATTCACCTTCACAGCTCTGGTCACCAGAGGCTTATTCTCATTTCAGCGTGAGTTACCCTAAAGCTCTCAGGTAATACTGGTTTAGACTCTTTTTTTTTCTCAAGACAGAGTCTCGCTTTGTCATCCAGGCTGGAGTGCAGTGGTTCCATCTCGGCTCACTACAAGCCCCGCCTCCCAGGTTCAAGAGATTCTCCTGCCTCAGCCTCCCCAGTAGCTGGGATTATGGGCACCCACCACCACGCCTGGCTAATTTTTGTATTTTTGGTAGAGACGGCATTTCACCATGTTGGTCAGGCTGGTCTTGAACTCCTGACCTCAAGTGATCCTCCCGCCTTGGCCTCCCAAAGAGCTGGGATTACAGGCATGAGCCACTGCGCCTGGCCTAAGTATTATTGGAAACCAGTGTTCAAACACTAATCTTTGTTATATTTCCATCAAGTAGTGTACTAGGTGTTGTGAGGGATTCAGAGATACGTTGGAATGGGCAGAAATACCGCACAAGCAGACTGACACATCCTTAGGGTTTGCTTTCTGTATTTTCAAATTCCGCTGCCCCACCTGTCTTTGTACTTTGTCTTCACAGGCTGGTTCTCCTGAACTGAGAAGAGCAGGAGTTCACGTAACAAGGAATGGCAGAAACGAAGGATGTTTTTGGCCAGGAACCGCATCCAGGTAACATCTTTGCAGTATCTTCTGATGGAGGATATAGGAACTGATTACTGATATAGGATAAAAGGCAAATAGGTTGGGACTATATTTCACTGTTGTCATTGTTCCTTACTCTTTATTCAGAAGGTGCTTTCTCGTGACAAGTTTAAATAGTGAATGAAGATCAGATATTTCAACAGTAACTGAAATAACCTGTTCATAATGAAGTGAACTGTTTGGCCAGCAGTTAAATAAGTGCGGCTTTTTCCTTAAAAAAAAAAAAAAAAGTTCCAGGCTGGGCATGGTGGCTCACACCTGTAATCCCAGCAATTTGGGAGGCTGAGGCGGGTGGATCACATGACGTCAGGAGTTCGTGACCAGCCTGACCAACATGGTGAAATCCCATCTCTACTAAAAATACAAAAATTAGCCGGGTGTGGTGGTGTGTGCCTGTAGTCCCAGATACTTGGGAGGCTGAGGCAGGAGAATCACTTGAACCCAGGAGGCGGAGGTCACAGTGAGCCAAGATTGTGCCACTGCTCTCCAGCCTGGGCGACAGAGTGAGACTCCATCTCAATAATAATAATGTTCCAGAAAGTCAGCTTGGACTCTCTGTCCAAGTCAGGTAGCCTGTCTTACAAGACCCCTGGAATGACGTTAGGCGGCTTTCCGTAGAAGGAGAGATGTAGGTGCCTTGGAGCGGCTCCTGGAAGGGTGACTCACATTGGAGTCAGTGCGGGTGGCTTCCCTCCCTCAGAAGGCTGGTATTGCGCCCCTGGAGCCAATAAGGGAGGCTTCCCTATAGGACGATGACAGGGATATAACCCCCAGTTGCAGAAAACAGTGGCGTATCATATCCTTTGTGTTTTGAGAACTGAAGAGGGAATGTTTCCTCACTCCGAGGGGATGGATTTCCTTAGGGGCAAAGTGCAGCAGTGTTTCTGGGTTAGTGGGGGTGATGCTAGCATCTGAAGCAAGCCTGAGCAGGCATATAGGAAGAGCTGCCACTTTGGGGTCACCTCAGTTGAGCTTAGCCTAGAGGAATGGGATCGTTTTGCTTGGAAGATTTCTGGCAGTTTCTGGCAATGGTCTGAATCATGTCTGTAATCCCAGGACTTTGGGAGGCCAAGGCAGGAGGATCTCTTGAGCCCAGGAGTTCAAGACCAGCCTAAGCAACACAGCAAGACCTCATCACTGGAAAAAAAAAAAAAAAGAAAAAAAAATTAGCCAGGCGTGGTGGTGAGTGCCTGTAGTTCCAGCTACTTGGGAGCTGAGGTCGGAGGATTGCTTGAGCCACGGAGGTTGAGGCTGCAGTGAGCCGTGACCCAGCCATTGCACTCCAGCCTGGGCGAGAGTGGAGACCTCGTCTCAAAAAAAAAAAAAAAATTTCAACAGTCAACAATGAAACCGCATCTCAGCTCAGGCTGTTGGGGGATCAGTTTTCAAAACTGACACCTTGTGGCAGCAAGAAGGAACAGCAGCAGTATACTACGCTTTTTGGACTGCCGCTATCCACCCCAACAGCTGGTTTCTCGGTGGAGAATGCTGGAAAGGGCAAGGAAGGGCTTGAGCGATGGACAAGAATAATAAGATCTGTGATCTAAATTCGGACAAGTTTATTTTGGTTACAATCTAATATAAAAATACTACCCTCGTATGGTATAAATCCAAGATGGAATACTTTCTCCTTTCCAGATAGTTTTGCATTTTAGAAATTGAAGAAAAAGTTTTAAACCCTGCTGTATTGGACTTCCTAGCATTTGCTTTAGTTGAGAAATAAGCTTCCAAACTCTTATCAGATTCGTTGCCAGTCCTTACAATGTTGAAATAAGGGCCCTGGATGTGTGGACTTGGCCCTTGTTTTATACACATGGCTAAGAGATTAGGCAAACATTGTTTACCCAAAAGAGTTCCTGAGTTACAAAGTCTACATCCCTTTCCACTCTTTCCACAGACAGGTTGTGGACACATCCTGGAGTTCTGAGATGCTTTTTCGAGCACAGATTAAAGTGTTCTTCAGCCGGTAGCTGGCCTAGGGGCCTGACCAGCAGACTTCTTTCTTTGCCTCTTCCTCTCCAGCTCCAGCCACCAAGCCAGCAACCACTTGGTATTTAGTTCTAAGGCAGTCCTCAAACCGAGCCAGGGCGAATTCTTGAATTTGAGCTCAATCATCAGTTAGAATGTCTGAGAGGGAAGGGTCGAAGTATAACCTCTCTCAACTCTCAGTTGTGGCTTGAGCGTGGAGCATGAGGTGGCAGAGATTCAGGCCTTGGCAAATAGCATGGCTTGCACTAGAATATTCTACGGGGTGTGCGTTGGCTTCCATTTCTACTGGAAGATGCAAGGTTGAACAGAGAGGGAGGGCTGCCTGAATTGTCTGGGAGATCTGTGTCTGGAGCCCTCAGGCAGAGACTGGGCCTTCTGTGTGGGCTGCCGTTCTTGGATGCCACGTGACATTTCTTCTCTGTGATTCTGCAGGGAATGACCTCAGAATGTCACACTCAGTTTTGGAGCCTCATGGCCTCCCTGTGATTCTTGGGGATCTACTCTTTTGGTTCACCTCATGGCCATTTTCTAAGGTGCAGGCCAGCCCCAGGAGCCCTGGGTTAGAACCATTTTCAACAACCTTCACCCCAAAGATCCACCTCTTGCCCCTTTCTAGCCAGGTAAACATGACCAGGGGGTGTTTTCTAAAATCCATCTAAAACACAACATTTTGGTTATACCCCTTCTTTAGGATGATGGGCCCAACAAGCCCTTCACTTCATAACCAAGGGAAACTGCTTAAGTGAATGAATCTCCGCAGAGCTACAAAGATCTGCTTCTAGGTGATTTCTGTTCTTGCTTATTATGCAAGGAAGCAACTGCTGATGTCTCCAAGTGAAGAAGGGAAAAAATTTCCCCAAATTTTGAAGGATCTCTGAAGGGCATCCATCCAAACTCTTGTAATGCATGTGTATTTTTTTTGTCAGTTCTCTCATTTTCCAGATGAATAAATTGAGGCTCAAGAAGATGTGATTTTTTCTGGTCACCTGGCCCCTGTTTTCCTTTGCATTCTGCTTCTAGTCGCTTTCTTTCCTAGTCTGGAAAGACCTCCCAGAGGCCTTTCCTCACTGCACACTTAACCCCGTCTTCAGCTTTTCTCTACACAGTTGGTTGATTTCCTAAGACTTGGCATTTGGTGAAGAATGTCCAGCCACTTTGGCTTCTGAGGAGTTGCAAATAGAAACTATTTATCTGGGGAGATAGATTGAACTCTACATTTTGGAACTAAATGCAGACAGTCTTGTGACTCTGAGAAGTAGGAACCAAACTGGAATGATCCAACAGTGTTTTTTCCCAAATGAGTTTATGGGCAGACAGAGCTGGAAGCAGTTCCTATTTTTTTATTTTTTTATTTTTTGAGACAGGGTCTTGTATGACCCAGGTTGGAGTGCAGTGGCAAAATCATAGCCCACTGCAGCCTACAACTCCTGGGCTCAAGTGACCCTCCCACTTCAGCCTCCTGAGTAGCTAGGACTACAGGTGCACACCACCACACCTGGCTAATCAAAAAATATATATATATATATTTTTGGTAAGTTCGAGACCAGCCTGGGCAACATACAGAAACACTGTCTCTACAAAAATTTGCCAGGTGTGATGGTGTGTGCCTGTAGTCCCAGGTACTCTAGAGGCTGAGGTGGGAGGATCACATGAGCCTGGGAGGTTGAGGTTGCAGTGAGTCGTGATCATGCCGCAGCACTCTGGCCTGCTGGGCAACACAGTAAGACCCCTGTCTCTACCAAAAAAAAAAATTTTTTTTTGAGACAAGGGTCTTGCTGTGTTGCCCAGGCATGTCTCGAACTCCTGACCTCAAGCAATCCTCCCACCTTGGCCTCCCAGGCATGTAATCCCTCATGCTTCAGATTACAGACATGAGCCACTGCACCCAGCCAGTCTGTTAGACCCTTTGAGTTTCTATGCTGATAGAGGTGAGGCAAGAATACCATACCCCAACACCTATAATCTTATATATCCTCTGTTTATCTCTAGTTGAAGATGATTTATATAAAGAACGAACGAGAAAAAGAAGGAAATCAGATCGAGACCAGCGGTTCCGAGCATTTCCCTCCATGGAGCAGAGTGCTCTTAAGGAATGTGAGTGTCTTGGAACTGTTGTTTTAACATGGTTCGGTTCTGTTCCAAGTATGTTAAAATGGTCAAAGGAAGAGGAGGTTAAATTCTGAAGCTGGATGAAACATCAAATAAACCTGTTTTGGAAAGAGAGGGCTCAAAGTCTCTGTAGCGGTATGCAGTTAGGCAATTTGTCTCCAGGCATCTGTGGGCAGGAGGGTTGTTATCAAAATAACTTCTTCCAGATTAGAACAAAGCCTGTGAAAATGATGAGGTTGGTGCTTCCGTGGGTGTCAGCATGGTGTCCTTGCATTTTTTCTTTCTTTTTATGACCACAGGAGGGAAAAATCTAGAAGGGGCTGAAGCCCGTGGCCAAGCATACCATAACTTCTGTTACCAGAGTTTCAGAGCAGCCTGGCTCTTTGGAGATTTTCAGAACCAATGATTGCTATCTCCAGTGAGCCGCCATCCCTCGTGTGAGATAACCTGCTATCTTGTTTAATCGGCTTTTCATTTCATTTTTTTTTTCCCTTCTCTGCGATGTTCAACAGACACCTCCTTTGGAGACCTAGTACTTTATCCCTGCCAGGTACCTGCAGGTGACATCTCTCTGTTAATTCCAGATGAAAAATTGGAATCACGGACCAGAAGGGTTTTGAGCAACACTTATCAGAAACTTATTCAGTCTGTCTTCCTGGATGACAGCATCCCTAATGGAGTCAAGTATCTCATGTGAGTCTGAAATCTGCAACCCTGAAATTTTATGTCAGTGTCTTTCCTTAGGCGATTATAGGTGCTTTCCCCCAACAAGGAAAGGGACTATTTAATTAGAAACTAAGAAAAGAGGGACACAAATTTCTGTAGCTATGGGATAGTTGCCATTCATTGAGCTGTCACTGTTAGGTAATCTGCTAAGTGCTTTATATATGTCAAATATCATTTAACCCATCCAACACTCCTATAAAGTAGGAGCTATTATGATCACTTCCATTTTACTGAAATTGAGGCTCAGAGAGGCCCAGATGTGAACAAACTCACACCAGTAGTCAGTGAGAGGGTCCAGAATTCACCCCAGGCTGTGTGACTCTGAGCTCATGTCCCCAATTATTTGTCCTCTGCTGACTTGAAGGACTCGAGTGGTGCTGAGGCTACAATTTCTCCTGCTCAGTAAGACTCTGTGTTGCTCCTAACACTATTAATACTTCATGTCTGTATACATTGTATTTCTAGGATCAAGAATATACAATTTCTGTCCAGGTGTAGTGGCTGACACCTATAATCTCAGCACTTTGGGAGGCCGAGGCGGGTGGACCACTTGAGAGCAGCCTGAGCAATATGGCAAAACTCTGTCTCTATACAAAATACAAAAAAATTAGCCAGGCGTCATGGAGCACGCCTGTAGTTCCAGCTACTTCAGAGGCTGAGGCAAGGGAGTCGCTTGAGCCTAGGAGGTTAAGGCTGCAGTGAGCCATAATTGCACCACTGCACTCCAGCCTGGGTGACAAAGTGAGATCCTGTCTCAGACACATAAACAAACAAAAAAAAGAATATGCAATTTCCAGTGAATACAAATAAAGACACCTCACATCTATATAGACATTACAGGGATTGTGTGGAATTATCATTACCAAATATTTTTACATAATCTCATTTGATCCCCAGGCCAACTCTGTGTGGTCAACAGGGATTGATATTCTCCTTTGACAGAGGAGAGAACAGAGACTCAGGTTGTAGTGACGTGCCCGGGATTAGAATTCAGTTCCTTTGCATTCTGTTTCAATGCTCTTCACTCTAAACTTTGATGATCATGGCAATGTGCATTTTAAAATTCATCCAGAAATAGGCTTCTTGCCTTGATTGAAAAGCCGACAGTGGACCCAATCTACATTGCATTATTTGGAAGCACTGGGGCTGGGAAGAGCTCCCTGATCAATGCCATCATCCAGCAAGCAATGTTTCTACCAGTGTCTGGAGAAAGCATATGTACTTCCTGCATTGTACAAGTGAGCTCTGGCTGCTGTGTGCAGTATGAGGCCAAAATCCACCTTCTGTCTGACCAGGTAAGTGTTCCCTTCCTCCCTCCTTCCTTCCCTTCCTTCCTTTTTCCTTCCTTTCTTCCTTTTTCGTTCCCTCCTTCCTTTCTTTCTTCCTTCCTTCCTCTTCCCTCCCTCTCTCCCTTCTTTCCTTCTTCCTTCTCTTCCTTTTTTTCTTCCTTTTCTTTCTTTCCTTCTCACTGTCTCTCAGAGATAACATTATATTCCTTGCAAATACAGCTCATGCCTTTGTTGAATGAAAAGAGCCCATCCCAGGAGAAAGTTCATCAAGTGAGCTGGGGAGGGGGTCTAGCCTGGTCCTTGCATTTTTATGAGACTTTGGGCAAGCCATTCCCCTCTTCGAGACCCCAGATAGATGACCTAGATTTTCTGAATATGCAGCCCCCTGGCCCTCCACAGGGGGCAATGGGCCCCTCTGTTTGTCGGTGTTCTCTGTGTCTGTGTCAAGAGGGGCTTGGCCCTACTCTGCCTTGGCAGGAGTGGAGGGAGGAGCTGAAGAACCTGACCAAACTCCTGCATAGGACGGAGGAGCTGAGCAGAGAAGAGGCAGATGCGTGGAACAGGGATGAGGCAGTGGAGGAAGCCACCTGGAAGCTACAAATGATTTATGGAAATGGGGCAGAGAGTAAGAACTATGAGGAGTTACTGAGGGCGAAGCCCAAAAGGAAGATCCCCACCTCCAGAGTCATCACCCTCAAGGCGGAAGAGGTAGCGTCAAGTTCGTTTTTTCCTTGATTTCATCCTGGGTCTCAAGTCTAACAGTTGAACCTGTTTCAGGGGATGGGCTTGTGGTACAGTGTTTGTGTGAAATAAGAAATAAGTTGCTACCCAAATTAGAAGTATCCGTAGCCCAAGTTATCCTCATTATTTATGGCTATCAAATGGAAATTTTTGGTATGTGAATGGAGGAGCTCTTATGCCCAGAAAAAGACTATTTACAGTTGCTTGAGAATAATTAGGGATAGTTTGGGCTGCCAAAGATTTTTTAAGAAGACTTATAGTGGCTTAAACAAACAGGGATTTATTCCTTTTCTCATGTAAGAGGTTTGGGGGCAGTAGGGGTGGGGTTGGTTTAGTGGATCAGCAATGCCAACATCAGCATCTCTGGCTCCCTTTGCCTTCCGTCGCCCCCATTGTCATGAGATGGCTCCCGGAGTGCTAGACTTCATGCTAGCCTCCTGGAAGGAAGAAGTGGAGAAAAGGTTGGCATCAGCCACATCTCCCCTTTCATCAGAAAGTAAAAACTTTCCCAGAAATACCTCTGACAAATTTCTGTGTAGATTTCAGAGTTCAGAACTGAGCCACACAGCCCTTCCTGGCTGAAAGGGAGTCCAGAGAAAGTGAAAAGCAGACTTGTCATGATTTGCTTAGACCAGTTTCACTCCACTGCCTCCCCAGTCAGACAGAAAATCAGGATTCTGCTGGCATAAAAGAGGGACAGGATGGACATTCGATAGGCAACTAGTAGAATGATATTCTTGCTTTTATAAACAATGTTTATTTTAAGTTAAAATTCAATTTCTGAATTAAAACAAAATATTTGTGGAATCAACATTCAATTTAGGAAAGCTATACATTTAAAAACCTAGTTTTTCTTGTATCTCTCACCTTTAAATACACCTTTAAAATATTGCTATTCTATTTATAAATCTAGTGATTATTGGTAAAATGGGTACAATTTTTATACATGTCCTAAAGTTAAATGTTCAATGATCTCCTGATTAACAAAGCAAATCTTCCTTAAATATTAATGATACTTACATAATTAATCACATTTCCTTAGGCTTTTTGCATTACAGTTAAAGTTCAATATACTTGAGCCTCTTAAAATGTTTAAATGCTTGACTAGGCACACTTAAAAATCAAATGAATGAAACCTTTTCAAAGCATGTTACTATCTCTTGCATACCTGGAAAATCAAACAAATACAGTGCCCATTTCTTACAGTTTTAAGACGAATATTACTATTAAAATGATTACACTTCTAATATCTAAAACATAGACTGAGCATGTCTAAGAAACACAATGATTACAAAACTAGTTGCTTTATCTGAATACACGCAACTTACACAAGGGTATCAACGTCTTTGCCAACTCTATATTTAGAAATACTCCTTCCCAGCGTCATAAATTTACGCACGGAAACAAGGTGAACAGAATTACCATCTCGATGAGTGGGCTTACAAATTCAGGGTTTCCACTGGAGATCCTAGAATCAAGGCCTTCTACAACGATGTTTGCCCGGAACCAGTTTATTGGGCTGAGCCCTCTTGTAGGAAGGGGCTTTTCAAGCCCCTGCCTTTTCCTGGGCTTCTCTCTTACGGTATCTGCTCTATTTTAAAATTACAATGTCTTAAAGAGCTTTTATTATCTCCTCCGTCGTGGTTTATCATTTGGTTGAAATTGATGAAATCTCTTACTCCTTCCCCAGATTGCAACAAATCCAGCGATTTAATTTAAACTCTCTTAAGAACTGACATTCTTATCTTTCTTTCAGGACTATTTTATAGAAATTTATTTAACAGTGACCACCATACATCCCAAATCCCCTGTCCTCTGAAGTACCCCAGTTGCGATTTACTGTCATAGTTGCTGGCATGGATGTGTCATTGTCCCGAGACATGTTTAAGTAGGAACCGTGGTCTAAGAACTATTCCCTCTCTCACCCACCATCATTAAAATATTCTAGAAATGCCTACATATCAAGGTATTTTTTGTAATCAGAAGATAAATTTTAAAAACTCTTTTTAAGATCCAATTTCGGCCAGGCGCGGTGGCTCACGCCTGTAATCCCAGCACTTTGGGAGGCTGAGGAGGGCGGATCACAACGTCAGGAGATCGACCCCATCCTGGCTAACATGGTGAAACCCTGTCTCTACTAAAAATACAACAAAAATTAGCCGGGCGTGGTTGCGGGTGCCTGTAGTCCCAGCTCCTGGGGAGTCAGGCAGGAGAATGGCGTGAACCCGGGAGGCGGAGCTTGTAGTGAGCCGAGATCGCACCACTGCACTCCAGTCTGGGCAACAGAGCAAGACTCTGTCTCAAAAAAAAAAAAAAAAAAAAAAAAAAGATCCAATTTCAGATCAATTTTCAGTTTGGAAAATATGGTTACCATATCACTGTTAATTTTCTATAGTCATTGCTAGCTTTCTGGTAATGAAAATATCAATTACATAGTATGTTAATTTTAGAACTGAATGCAGTTTAGAAGATAAACTTATTATTCAGCAATACTATAACTTCCCTAAAGTCCCATTTTAGCTGACATTGGTTTTGTTTCATCTGTAAGGTAAGGATCTTGAACTTGCTCCTCTCCAGGGTCCTTCCTGGCTCTCAGGTTCTAGGTCCTACAGACCTGATTGCAGGCCTCCTGTTGGACGCACTTCTTACCCTTACTCAGCATACTTACCATGAACCTGCATCACAGCCAACCGGGGTGAACAGAGCTGGGTGCATGGCTGGTGTGTGTGACTCTGTCCTCCTTCTTCAGGCAGAAGAGCTGTCCATCAAGCTGGACCCCTACATCCGCACACAGAGGAGAGATTGGGATGGAGAGGCCGCTGAGATGCGCATCTGGCCCTTGATCAAACATGTGGAAGTGACACTTCCCAAATCCGACCTGATCCCAGAAGGGGTCGTGCTGGTGGACATCCCAGGCACAGGCGACTTCAACAGCAAGAGGGACGAGATGTGGAAAAAGGTGACTGTCTTTCGTAGGTTTAGTTCTCTCTTCCCTAAACTCCTCTACCCTTTCTCAAGCAACAAAGAATGCTCTGGTTTCAGCTTCAGGGATTTTGAGTTCATTGGAATTAAATTCTTTTAATTTCTATGTTCTAAGTCTCAAGGCCCTGGCAGGGTGTGGGTAGCCAGAGAAAGTGGGGAGGGAGGAATCACAGGATGTGACTATTGGAGCTGGGACAAGTGTGTGTGATGTATGAGAAAGACCAGCAATAGAGTGGCTTAAGAGGAAACAGAGTGACCAAGGACAGAAGGGAACTGGGAGGCCAAGTGTTGGGGACAAAGCAGAGAAGCTGCAGCCAGTCACCAAGAACCAAGAGGCTGCAACTGTGTTGGCTGTAAGCAGCATCAGCATAGAGCTGGAGGTCTGAGGAAGCTGGCGTGGTGGGGGCAGGGTGAATCTTCCTGGGTGAATGGGAGAAGGAGCATGGGGTCCGTGGAGGAGGGAGACTATGGAAGACATGCCTGGAAAAGTTCTGGGGTCTTTAGTACTACTGCTCCAGAGTTTGGCTTCCTGGGAAAACTTGCAGGAAGAGAGGGACTGGGGCATGTGATTGAGAAAGGGCGCGGTAAACAGAGGCGCTCTGGAGCACAGGGTGGGAGGAACACAGGAGCCCAGGAGCTGGAAGGGGACTGGGAGAGGGGGACCAGCATCAGTGAGTTGTGAGCAGCACAGCAGCTGCCAAAGAATCCAGTTCTTTAAACTCCACAGGTTTGTTTAGATGAATGATTGTGCCAGGGGAGCTTGGTAACCACGACTTCCAGTCACAATCTAGAGCAAGCTCTAGCCTCTGCCCTGATTGTACAGATGAAGACATGAAGGCTCAGAGAGGGAAAGTCACTTGTCCAGGACCACACAGCCTTGGAGAGCAGGTTTCCTAACTTCCCTGCTGGGGCTCTATCTACCCCACCTCCCCCAGGGCACGCTCTATATTATCCACCTCCTGCAGGAGGAAGGCAGTCTCTGTGTCCTTCCCCTTGGTCGGTGGCTCAGGCCTGGCCTTGTGAGCCTTAGTTTCTGCAAGACCTCGGATCCTGGGGTGGAAATCGCGAATCTTGGCTAGTTCCAGGCCCGGCCGAGAGAGCGACAGCCCAGGAAGGCTGCCAGGGCCTCTCGCTGGATGGAGCCGCGGCTGCAGCCAGTTCAGATACACTGGGCAGCTTATCAAAGACGGCAGATCTGGCTCAGAAAATGTGCTCTGAGGAGGTCAGGCTGAAGCGAGGGATGGTTCCCACCGTGCTCTGCCTGGCCCAGCTCCCCTGCATTCTTGTGGGTTTTCTTGACCTCCTCTCACAAGAAGTTACTCAAGACCCCCCTCTGCAGGGAGAACGACACAGTTGCCCTCCCTATGTCTCTCAGGCTGCCAGTCTTGCCTTCCCTAAAACCCGTTATGAATTCAGATGTCCCTGAATCTGATCTGCCACTTAGAAGTCACGTGACTTGAGGCATGTCTCTGAACTCCTCTAAGTCCCATTCTCATAGCGGGGGCCTGGGGAGATGCAGGTTGGGGGTGGTGGGGTGCCACCTCATCTACTCCTAAGTCTGGCAGTTCAGGTTTTATCGAAATGCTTTTTTGTATCTTCTGCGACACTAACTTTACCAAACCCTGGCAGTGGGAGCTTTGTGTGGGGTCGGTCTGAAATTTAACCACTGCACCCTTTATGGTTGCTGTCCTTTTCTCATGTTAGTAAACACTAAGCACCTGTGGCTTACCAGGACCATGGGGAATATGAAGGTGACGGGGGCCCTGCCCTTAAGGAGCACCCAGCCTGGCATCCTTATGGCCTTCCGCTGGCTGGACCATTCTCTGCCCACTGTTGACACTACAGAGCTGGAAGCTGCTTCTACTTTTGTTTTGTTTTGTTTGCTACAGCATCTTGCTCTGTTGCCTGGACTGGAGTACAGTGGCATAATCATGGCTGACTGCAACCTCGACCTCCTGGGCTTGAGCAATCCTGCTGTCCCAGCCTCCCGAGTAGCTGGGGCTACAGGTGCACACAACCACACTTGGCTAATTTTTTTTTTTTTTTGTAGAGATGAGATTTTACCATATTGCCCAGGCTGGTGAACTCCTGAGCTCAAGTGATCTGCCTGCTTTAGCCTCCCAAAATGTTGGGATTACAGGCGTGAGCCACCACATCTGGCCCAGAGCCCAAAGCTTTTCTAAGTTGATTATAGTTTGGGCAGCAGAAGGGCTGTAATGGTTTTTATTTTCTTGCCTAAATCAAAGTCCATTCACTTATAGAGGAGAGACAGGATCCATCGTCGTGTGGCCCTACTTGAGTCTCTTTACCGCTTGGGCTTCATTACTTCCCTATAATCCAAGGGGTTTCTCTAACTTGAGAAGCAGATGCTTTTTAAGCAGTGATGTATGGAGCCAAAAGGTTCCTGGACAGAGGGTAGAGGGCATTGAGCCGATGGTGGTTCTGGGTCCTGCACTCCCAATTCAACCAGAGCAGTTCTGCTTTTTAAAAATCAAGTTTATATGTTGGAATTCTAACTAAGATTTCATTTGAAAAAGCCTCCCATGCTAAAAGCAAGCTGAAACCCACTGCCCTGGATCAGGGTTTCTCAAACTCTTGACATTTTGGGCTGTCAGATAATTATTTGTGGGATGGGAGCTGGGGTTGGGCTGTCCTGGGCATTGAAGAATGTTTAGCTGCATCCTCGGCCTTTACCTTCAAGTACCCCCCCAAGGTTGTCACAATTAAAAATGTCTCCAGACATTTTTTGCCAAATACAGATGCTCATTGATGTACCATAGAATTGCATCCTGATAAGCCCACTGTAAGCTGGAATCATAACCATCATTAGCCCCGATTGTACTGGACTTACCAATTGTTCAGTAAACCCATTGTAAAGTCGAAAAGAAAAATTGTAAGCTGAATCATCACAAATTGGAGACTGTTTATATTTTCTGGGGCACAAAACCTCTACTAGTTAAAAACTACTGGTATAAAGCAAAATGATGATTTAATTTTCAAGTCACAAACTTGTCATCCCTTTGTATGCAAAGCACTGAGGAACCACAAATAAACTCAATCCCTGAGTTGAACCAGATTTTCATTTATGTGGAGGTAAGACAAGAGTAACAATACAATTAGAGAAATGTCACAAGGCTACACATGATCGTCATGTGAAAGTTGCATATTTAATAAAGCAACATTCATGCCATTATGTTGTTTCATGTTCATTGGCCTTTGCAACTTGTCATATGGTTTCTGGCTCCATGCTGCCATCTGGTGGCATTGAACTAAACGTGCAGGGGCAGTCAAACATCAAAATGCTGCCGTCAGGTGACAGCTTGAGGGTAGGTGCACCACCAAACCTAGTTCTGGAAAAACAAGAATTTTCCCCAGGGGACAACTGAGATAAAGCAAGCCAGTGATGGATCTGGGACTGGGACTGGAGGACTGATTTAGGGAATTCTGTCAATCTCTAATGCCACAAACTTCTGTGAAGCCTCTCCTGTGTGCCAAGCACTGGGCTTGAGGTGAGGTGGATCCCAAGAGGAAAGGTGCAGACAGTCGCTTCCCATCAAGGGGCAGAGAGCAGACCTGGTGCAGTCACTGTGTCTCAGAGGCGCTGCTTGAGGTAAGTCCAGGTGTTACAGGATGCAGAGGCCAGCCCAATGCCCGAGAGGTCCTCCACAGTCTTGAGGAACAAATGGGGGCTAGGCAGAGGCTGTGGCCAGGGAATTAACAGAACAAGGCACATATGAGAAATGACTCATAGCTCAGTCCAGCTAGTGCACAGAGTGCGGTGGGGAGCGGTGAGGGGTGGGACTGGAGGGAGAGGCTTAAGGGATACATTAGGGAACCGGTCCTCAGGAACTGTGACTCCATTCCTGTGCTGACACATGCCGTGGTCATGTTTTGCAGACCATTGACAAGTGCTCAGTGATCTGGGTGATCAGCGACATAGAGCGAGTTTCTGGGGGGCAAGCCCACGAAGACCTTCTGAATGAGAGCATCAAAGCCTGCCAGCGGGGCTTCTGTAGGGACGTGGCCCTGGTGGTCACCAAGATGGACAAACTCCACTTGCCAGAATACCTAAGGTATTGTGCTGGGCTTGCAAGGATGTGGGCTCCAGTCAGGGGCTTTCCTCTGTGGGTCCTGACTACAGTAGCATGGAGCTTGACTTTGTAACGTGGTTAGAGGGCTTCAGGAAGTGATTGTTGGGGAGGAAAGAAAAGGCTGGGTGACTTCCTGGGACATCAGGACCCTTGGTTGGGTTGTCTTAGGAATCTGAACCTTCCAGGGTAGCTGCTTAGTGCCAAGCTGGTGTCCCCTACACAGCTCTGGGGGTGCCACTCACATGTACCAGATGCAGATGGTGTACCTCCTGCACTGTGTGATGTGATGATCCCACCTGCTCCACAGATGTAGAAAGTGTAGATGCCCCCATAACTAGGGGGTACAGCCTATAATCCTATCTGGTAGGGTACAGCTTTTTTTTTTTTGGCACAGAGTCTTGCTGTGCCGCCCAGGCTGGAGTGCAATGGCACGATCTCAGCTCACTGCAACCTCCGTCTCCTGGGTTCAAGCAATTCTCCTGCCTCAGCCTCCCGAGTGGCTGGGATTACAGGCGCCGGCCGGTCCACCCAGCTAATTTTTGTATTTTAGTAGAGATGGGGTTTCGCCATGTTGGCCGGGGTGGTCTTGAACTCCGGACCTCAGGTGATCTGCCCGCCTTGGCCTCCCAAAGTGCTGGGATTACAGGTGTGAGCCACTGCACCCAGCCCAGGGTACAGCTTTGATGTTTCAGGTTTTTGTACTCCTGAGCTTTTTAAAAATCATTAAATTTTTATTTTTATTTTAAGTTCCAGGGTACATGTGCAGGATGTGCAGGTTTGTTACACAGGTAAACATGTGCCATGGTGGTTAGATGCACAGATCAACCCATCACCTAGGTATCAAGCCCAGCATCCCCAGCCAGAGACTCCTGAACTTTTTAACTCACTTGGAACAGGTCCTCAAAAGTTTTAGAACTTCGGGAGAAGGTAGATGCATTCTCTAAGAGTTGTATTATAACAAATTACAATGAAAGGTATGCATTTTTGGGCTTAATAGATGTTGATTTCTATGGAGAGCTCTGTTGTCCCTATAGTTAGGAAGACTATAACTAACCTTCTATATTGGGACAATTTTGAGAGTGAGAGGGGGTATGATTAGTCCTTAGAGGGGATCAGCGGGTATAAACTGGGCTTTCCTGGATCCATGGGGTGTGTGCTCACGGGATGTGATGTCACGGATGCGTCTCACCTCCAACAAGAGCTCCTTTACAGCCCCTCCACCATTTCCTCCACACCCACTGAAGCTTAGGTCTGACTGCTGTCTCCAGGAATTCCCTTGCTGTCATGGTCTGGGTTGGAATTGCAGCTTCATTTTTTTCCTCCTGCATTTCTCCCCATCTCACCCCAGCAGAGAATATCTCCAGCCCTCCCTTTCCAATGCCAACACTAAAATTAACACAATTAGGCTGAGTGTGGTGGCTCACACCTGTAATCCCAGCACTTTGGGAGGCTGAGGCGGGCAGATCACAAGGTCAGGAGATTGAGACCATCCTGGCCAACATGGTGAAACCCATCTGTACTAAAAAATACAAAATAAATTGGCCGGGCGTGGTGATGCACACCTGTAGTCCCAGCTACTCAGGAGGCTGAGGCAGGGGAATCGCTTGGACCTGGAATGTGGAGGTTGCAGTGAGCTGAGATCGTACCACTGCACTCCAGCCTGGGCAACAGAGTGAGACTCCGTCTCAAAAAAAAAAAAAATTAACATAATTAAATCTAATTTATTAATGATAAGCATTTATTGAACATAGGTAGGGGCTGTGGATTCAGAGGCACATTGCCCAGTCTTTGAGCTCACCATCTAAAAGAGGGTTAAAAGTTATACATGAAGGGACAAGCCAGGTGCTATGGGAACCCAGGGTGAGAGGGCTGCATTTTTGACTGGGACAGGGAGTGAGGTCACAGAAAATGTTCACAGCTGACAAAACGCTGGCTGGCCGTTGAGAAATGAAGGCACTTTTTTCAAGTGGATGCTGGAGATGGGTCAGAAGAGAGAGCATTGGGTCAAAGAAAGAACTTATGAAAAGGCACAGACACAGGGAGTGTGTGCTGCTTTTGGGGAAAGTCGAAAGACTGCAGTGACACATAGTAAAAATTAAGTAATTGTTACATTTTTCTAATTTCATTTCAGGGAAAGAAAGGCAGGAAATGTAAGTATGAACTAGTTTTTTTTATTTTTATTTTTAAATTATTATCTATTTATTTTTTATTTTTTTGAGACAGAGTCTCGCTCTGTCACCCAGGCTGGAGTGCATTGGCGCGATCTCGGCTCACGGCAACCTCTGCCTCCCAGGTTCAAGCAATTCTCCTAATTCAGCCTCCAGAGTAGCTGGGATTACAGGTACCCACCATCATGCCTGGCTAATTTTTGTATTTTTAGTAGAGATGGGGTTTCACCACGTTGGCCAGGCTGGTTTTGAACCCCTGACCTCAGGTGATCCACCGGCTTCAGCCTCCCAAAGTGCTGGGATTACAGGCGTGAGCCACCGCGCCCGGCCTGAACTAATTCTTTTTAAATAATACTTTTTATGACTGATATTACAGTTGGCTCTTGAACAATGTAGAGATTAGTGTGCCAACTCCCTGCTCAATTGAAAATCCACACATAATTTTTGATTCCCCAAAAACTTAACTACTAATAGCCACTGTTGATTGGCAGTCTTACCGATAGCATAAACAGTCGATTAATACATATTTTGTGTATGTATTATGTTCTGTATTCTTAAAATAAGTAAGCTAGAGAAAAGAAAATGTCATTAAGAAAATCATGGCAGGACTTGGTGACTCATGCCTGTAATCCCAGCACTTTGGAAGGCTGAGGTGGGCGGATCACGAGGTCAGGAGTTAAGACCAGCCCAACCAACATGGTGAAACCCCGTTTCTACTAAAAACGCAAAAATTAGCTGGGCCTGGTGGAATGGACCTGTAATCCCAGCTACTCAGTAGGCTGAAGCAGGACAGTCACTTGAACCTGGGAGGCGGAGGTTGCACTGAGCCGAGATCGCGCCACTGCACTCCAGCCTGAGCAACAGTGAGACTCCATCTCAAACAACAACAACAAAAAAAAAAAAAAAAAAGGAAAGAAAATCATAAGGAAGAGAAAATACATTTACAATACGGCACCGTATTTATCAATAGCATAAGTTTACTTCATCTGTTTACAAGATGAATCGTACATCTGAAATGACAGGCAACAGCAGCTGCAGACCTCAATCTACGGCACATATGAAGCGATTCAACTTTTTCTTGTAATGTCATGACTTTTCTCTGCTACTTGGGAGCCCCTCCAGGATCACTGGACTTCACATGGGTCCGATGGTGTTATTCAAGATTTAGGGTATTGCTCTAAACAGGCTGAAAAATACATGAGAACTGCAAGAGCTCACTTTTTATTGCCATACGCAATTTACTGGAGCAGTTGTTCACATGGAGATCATTAGTATCACATGGTGTTTGGCGCTTTAAGTGGATATTTGCAACACTTGAGCTCACCACACCAGCAACAGGAGGTGGCTCTGAAGTTATTACAGTAGTATAGTATGTACTACAGTTAATTTTATGCAGTTATGATTTAATACTGCATCTTAATGTTTGTTTACATTCCTCTTGACTGCCAATGGTGCCATGTAGTCTATAGATGTTTACAGAAGTTTTGATAAATTTTAACTTTTCATGATAGAATCGTGTGCATTTCGTGGTAGTACATTATCAAATATAAACTGGGATCTACATCTATTTTATGTATTCATGACACCTTTTTGTTAATTTTTTGATACTTCTAGGCTACAGGGTTTGTCTGTGAGTTTTTTCAGATTGTTGCAAATCTTCAAATCTTTTTCAATTATTGAAAAAGAATCCACGTATAAGTGGACCTACGCAGTTCAAACCCATGTAGTCCAAGGGTCAACTGTGTATTTTTTTTTTTTTTTTGAGATACAGTCTCACTCTGTCGCCCAGGCTGGAGTGCAGTGGCGCGATCTCGACTCACTGCAAGCTCTGCTTCCTGTGTTCAAGCAATTCTCCTGCCTCAGCCTCCCGAGTAGCTGGGACTACAGGCACGTGCCGCCACGCCTAGCTAATTTTTTGTATTCTTAGTAGAGATGGGGTTTCACTGGATTAGCCAGGATGGTCTCGATCTCTTGAGCTTGTGATCTGCCTACCTTGGCCTCCCAACGGGCTAGGATTACAGGCATGAGCCACCGTGCCCGGCAACTGTGTATAATTCTAATACAGTGCATGCATATTTGACTGTTTGGACCAAATGAAAATCTGCCAAAAAAATGTGCATCTTGCCACCTCATCACTGTTGATAACGCTACTCTCTGCATGCTTCTATTTCCTTTCACAACCTAGCAAGCTATTCAGAGTCAGCGAGAGGCTGTTTTAGAAAGAAATGAAATGATAAAACTACAAAGGACTAGAATTCTCAAGGAAAAACTGAAGGTGAGTTAATAGGTTTCTCTATGTGTTTTTCTGTATCCCAGCAACTAGATTTTGGGAGACAAATGTATGCCTGGTATTGTGTAGTTGCAAGGGCCAAAGTTTTGGAATAGACAGTTAGTTTCTTTTGTTTTGAGACGCGGGTCTCACTCTGTTGGCCAGGCTGAAGTGCAGCGGTGTGATCTTGACTCACTGCAACCTCTGCCTCCCAGGCTCAAGAGATCCTCCCACCTCAGCCTCTCAAGTAGCTGGGACTATAGGCATGCACCGCCATGTCTGGCTAATTTTTGTATTTTTTGTAGAGATGGGATTGCACCATGTTGTCCAGACTGTTCTCAAACTCCTGGGCTCAAGTGATCCACCTGCCTTGACCTCCCAAAGTGCTGGGATTACTGACCTATAGGAGACAGTTTGGATTTAACTCAGTCCTACTGCTTCAGTTACCTCTCTGAGGCACCATTTTCTCATCTTTAAAGCAGGGAGATAATGATATCTATCTCCCGTGATTGTTGAGAGGGTCGAATGAGCATGTGGTCCACAGAGGAGTAGGCCCAGGTGAGTCTGGGCTCTCCATACAGTGGAGGAATTGTTGAGTGCTATGGGACACGGAGGAAAGATGCCAGGTCACACTGGTGGCAGGAGAGGTGGGACTGGGGAGGTGTTCAAGGAAAACTCAGCCTCTGAGCAGAATTTTATTTTATTATTATTATTTTTTGAGACTTAGTCTCACTTTGTCACCCAGGCTGGAGTGCAGTGGGACAAACTCGGCTCACTGCAACCTCCGTCTCCTGGGTTCAAGTGATTATCCTGCCTCAGCCTCCTGAGTAGCTGGGATTACAGGTGCATGCCACCATGCCTGGTTAATTTTTGTATTTTTAGTAGAGAGAGGGTTTTACCATGTTGACCAGGCTGGTCACCATGCCTGGTTAATTTTTGTATTTTTAGTAGAGACAGGGTTTTACCATGTTGACTAGGCTGGTCTTGAACTCCTGACCTCAGGTGATCTGCCTGCCTTGGCCTCCCAAAATGCTGGGATTACAGGCATGAGCCACTGCACCTGGCCAATTTTATTATTATTATTTTTAAAGATGGGGTTTCCACTATGTTGCCCAGGCTGGTCTCAAACTCTTGGGCTGAAGTGATCCTCCTGCCTCAGCCTCCCACGTAGCTGGGACTACAGCTCGGCAAGCACCACAGTGCTCTGCAGAGCAGAATTTTAAAGAAGCTGTAGTCTTTAGTAAGGTGAAAAAGTCGAGAAGGCACTTTTGAGGCAGAAGCAAGAACACCGTTCACACAGGCTGCTGTGTTTGGCGAATGACAGGCAAGTAGCTTGGAAAGGCTCAGAGGGAGAGTGTGAGAGGGAGTGGACAGGGATAAGGCCTGAGCTGCACTTAGTGTTCTCCTATTTTTACTATTTTATCACTAAAGTAGGTACAAACATACAACTTATTATTATTATAGTCTTTTTTTTTAACTTTTTTATTTTGAGACAGAGTTGCGCTCCGTTGCCCAGGCTGGAGTGCAGTGGTGCAATCTCGGCTCACTGCAACCTCTGACCCCTGGGTTCAAACGATTTTCCTGCCTCAGCCTCCCAAGTAGCTGGGATTACAAGTGCCTGCCACTATGCCCAGCTAATTTTTGTATTTTTAGTGGAGATGAGGTTTCACCATGTTAGCCAGGCTGGTCTCGAACTCCTGACCTCTGGTGATCTACCCACCTCGGCCTCCCAAAGTGCTGGGATTACCAACGTGAGCCACCACGTCTGGCCTATAATAGTCTTGTACAACTATAAAACTAAAACCAAGTTTAAGATAAAATATAAACAACACAACATAAGGGATATATCAGAGTAAGTACCATGTGACAGATGATATGTTTGGCTGAAACAAAATCTTCGGTATTGGATTCAATAGTAAAAACATTTGGCCGATGACCAGCTCTATATTCAATTTCTTTCTGTATTTTGCCTTCAATAATATTGATACAGAAAATGTCTGTTGTGCAACGTGGAATTGAAAATTTCAAAGCTTTTGTTTCTAGCGCAATATCATTAGGCCTCATACTTAAGCCAAAATATTCTATCAGGCAATTCTTGAATGCCAGTTTTAACGAGGCAAAACTTAGTACAGCTGGTCTTGGTCTGTTGAATTGTTCTTGTTGGTATTAAATAAATATGCATTGTATGAGTGCCTGATCATATTATCCCTGGAAATGGAAACGTAGAATACTTCAATACACAATTTACAACTATGCCAGTAAACATGCCGAATTGGTTTGTATGAGTTAGGGCCTGGGCAGCAATACATCAGTTTGCAGGGTGACTATAGCTGTCACCGCTATGGTGCAAGTTCTTCTGAGGCCTAAAACCCACACCTCTGATGGCAAGGTGATGCCTTCATTCTCCAACCACTTTATTTCAGTTTGAATTATTGTGAAACCTTTACTTGTACTACATGCCGTTGTTTGGAACTTTTTTTTTTTCCCAGATGGGTCTCACTCTGTTAGCCAGGCTGGAGTGTAGTGGCACAATGATAACTCACTGCAACGTTGAATTCCTGGGCTCAAGCTATCTTCCTGCCCGCACTCCGCACCCCCTGACCACCACCAGCCTCCCAAGGAGCTAGGACTACCGGTATACCGGTATGCACCACCACATCCAGCTAATTTTTAAATTTTTTGTAGAGACAGGGTATGTTGCCCAGGCTGGTCTCTAATTCCTGGGCTCAAGCAATTCTCCTGCTTGGGCCTCCCAAAGCACTGGGATTACAGGTGTGAGCCACAATGCCTAGCCTTGGAGCAAATTTAGTTTTAATCACAGAAAACATGAGACAGAAGTTCTTTATAAGGCATTCTTTGAGTTTCCATCACTTTTTTTTTTGGCTGGGTGTGGGATAGGCAGTCACTTTGCATACACCTCAGTATCAAAACACAACCCACCTTCATCTACATGTGGATGTCTCCCTTTCCTAGGTCCCATGAAGCACTTAGGTGTTGCTTTGCAAAAAAATCTGGAATTACTGTCTACACCAACCATACTTCCACTAACATCAAGTATATGCCCCACGTTTCCATTTCCAGGCCTTTCGATGTAACGGCCTGGAAAATGCTGACCTTTCAATGCTGAATCATAACATAATCTTTTAAAAGACATATTAAATGGCAGTTAAGTAATGCACACAACTCATTAGAAGGAAGGGCAATGTGAACAGCTGTGACCAAGTTCACCCATGTGCAGTGTATGAACCTCCTAAGCACCACAGCTGGGTAGCTTGGAACGACAGAAAATTATTATCTCCCAGTTCTGGAGGCTGGAAGTCCAAAATCAAGGTATTAGCAGCGCCATGCTCCCTCTGAAACTGCAGGAAGGATCTGGTACAGTTCTGTCTGCTTGCTTCTGGTAATTCCTGGCTTGTGGCAGCACAACTCCAGTCTTCATATGCCATTCTCCTCATGTGTGTGTCTCTGTATCCAAATTTCCCCTTTTTTTAAAGACACCAGTCATTGGATTAGGGGCCCACCCTACTCCATTATGACTTCATCTTAATACATTTCATCCTCAATGACCCAATTTCCATATAAGGTCACATTTTTAGGTAGTGGAGATTAGGACCTCAACATGTGAATTTTGGAGGGGGATACATTTCAGCCCATAACACACAGGCAGTGACAACCACCTTGTGACTGCCACCTGGCCTGCAGCAGTTGCAAGATGCACCTCAATTTCAAAAATATTAAACGGGGAAACAATGTGCCTCTTAGTATTGATAAGCTGTAGTCACATATCAGCTGAAGTTAAGTGGTTGAAGATTGGGGATCACAATGTAGTTATGGATTTGAGTTACTAGTTTGAGATTCAAGGCTGAGACACAGGCACATAGATCCTTCCAAGATGCCTGATTTGGGCCCCATCCTATAGTAACGAGGCTTTCTAGCTCCACATCTTTTCTTACTACCTGGTATGTTATGGTTCACTTGACCTTCCCTTAAATTTTGCCTTGACCCAGTTTGGTTTTTTTTGTTTGTTTTTGTTTTTGTTTTGTTTTGTTTTGTTTTGTTTCGCTCCTGTTGCCCAGGCTGGAGTGCAATGGCGCTATCTTGGCTCACCGCAACCTCCGCCTCCTGGGTTCAAGCAATTCTCCTGCCTCAGCCTCCCAAGTAGCTGGGATTACAGGCATGGGCCACCAGGCCCAGCTAATTTTGTACTTTTAGTAGAGACGGGGTTTCTCCATGCTGGTCAGGCTGGTCTCAAACTCCCGACCTCAGGTGATCTGCCCTCAGCCTCTCAAAGTGCTGGGATTACAGGCATGAGCCAATGCACCTGGCCGCCTTGGCTCAGTTTTTACTATAAACTGTCACACGACTTTTTATTTTAACCTAATTCACAAAGTTTTACTGCCTGATTTGACCTGACAGGATTTTTGTGCCCCTACTAAGACTGTTAATATTCTTTTATATGTTAGGTAAACTTTTAGGACTTGCCCAAGTGGAATTTACAGACTGAATTTTGACAGTCTCAGGCATATATTGTTTGAGGTGGTTAATGCCTTTACTTTAACATACCTTATTTTATTTACTCAGTTTTAGGATCATAATGAGCTCATAGCTTTTCACAGAACTATTGTGTTCATTCTGATGCTCAATGTGTCACTTTTTGGCCAGTGGGAACCCTTTAAGCTGACTCCCTTTAGCATTACTCCCTTTAGCATTTAAAAAACATTCTTGCTGTCTAGCTACAACAAGATATTCAGGTTCACTTTATTTTTCCCTGCCCCAAGATATGGAACAACTACTCCCCAGGAATCTGGGGTTTCTTTTAGCGAGAATAACATTAAAAATAATAATTGGGCCAGGAGCAGTGGCTCACACCTGTAATCTCAGCACTTTGGGAGGCCGAGGTGGGAGGATCGTATGAGGCCAGGAGTTCAAGACCAGCTAGGGCAACATAGCAAGACCCCCATCTCTAACAACAGCAAAAAAAGAGTGCTAGGGGCTCAGATCAAATTATTTCATACAAGTAAGACAGTGGCAGAGTGACATCACTGCAACATAATTTTCATGACAAAGCTAGAAAAGGTGGATTTAAAAAATGAGTCATGATTTATGTCACTGATTTCAGGTAGATTTTTAAAAATCAGGTCATGATTTTTTTTTTTTTTTGAGACGGAGCCTGGCTCTGTTGCCCAGGCTAGAATGCAGTGGCACAATGTTGGCTCACTGCAACCTCTGCCTCCTGGGTTCAAGTGATTCTCCTGCCTCAGTCTCCCAGGTAGCTGGGATTACAGGCATGCGCCACCACAACTGGCTAATTTTTGTAGTTTTAGTGAAGACAGGGTTTCACCATATTGGCCAGGCTGGTCTCGAACTCCTGACCTCAGGTGACCCACCTGTCTCAGCCTCCCAAAGTACTAGGATTACAGGCATGAGCCACCTCACCCAGCTGGGTCATGATTGATATTACTGGTTTCAGTGTAACTCCAACTTTACTATATCCTTTCTGATTCTGCTTCCATTGAATAACCCTTCTGTTTTCTTTCTTCCTTTCCTTTCCTTTCCTTTCTTTTCCTTTCCTTTTTTCTTTTTTTTTAACAGAGTTTTGTTCTTGTTGCCCAGGCTGGAATGTAATGGCACGATCTTGGCTTACCACAATATCTGCCTCCCTGGTTCAAGCGATTCTCCTGCCTCAGCCTCCCGAGTAGCTGGGATTACAGGCACTCACCACCATGCCTGGCTAATTTTGTATTTTTAGTAGAGACGGGGTTTCTCCATGTTGATCAGGCTGGTCTCAAACTCCAGACCTCCGGTGATTTGCCCGCCTCGGCCTCCCGAAGTGCTGGGATTACAGGCATGAGCCACCGTGCCCGGCCTTTTATTTAATTTTTTTAAGATAGTGTCTTCCTTTGTTGTCCTGGCTGGAGTTCAATGGCGTGATCATGGCTCACTGCAGCCTCTGCTTCCCAGGCTCAAGGAATTCTCCTGCTTCAGCCTCCCGAGTAGTTGGGACTACAGGCGTGTGCCTCCATGCCCGACTAATTTTTTGTATTTTTAGTAGAGACGGGGTTTCACCATGTTGGCTAGGCTGGTCCTGAATTCCTGAGCTTAGGCAATCCACCTGCCTCGGCTTCCCAAAGTGCTGGGATTACAGGTGTGAGCCACCACACCTAGCCTCCCTTCTGGTTTGAGCTTCCACGTTTTCTCCTCTCTCACATACAACATCTTTTTACAAACTTTAATATATTGTGTTACGTTTTATTATGACAAGCCATGTGTTTAAATTAGAACAGTGTGTAATGTTTCTGTTGCATAATTTAATGAATATCTACTAACATCTTGGATCCTACCTCTAGCTGTAGCTGTTTCTACTTCTCTTTTACAATAATATGAACCCTTTATACTAGAGTCACTTCACTGACACTATAAAAACATTTCTTTTTACTACAATAAAAAGCATAAATGTTAACTAATCTTCAGTAATTTTTAGAAAAGTTATACAAGATTTAGGTCCAGATTTTAAATAATGCAAACATCTGGACACAGCTAAGCACATGCCTTTCTTGGAACTGTTTTAAAACTCTACTTAAACTTAATTCTACATTAATTTCATCTCCCAGTAGAAAATAGTTTCAGCTTTCCCTAAACTTTTTCCTAGAGTGAAAACTCAATCAAAGCAAAATCTCAGCAGATAGATTCTTTTTGCAACTTCAGCTCACTCTATAAGGGGGTTGGTGGGGGTGGGCTTCTGGCAGTCTGCACAGATATCCGTATTCCAGCCTTAACTACACGTGCTTATAGCTTGCCAGGGACACGGCTTCTCACCAGTCCCAGTGGACTGCAAGGCGTCTACTCACTCAGCTCTTTATATCTTTGCATCAGAAAGAGATTGACAACTCTTCACTGCTTTCTACCTCCCTCAAATACCCACACACGCACATGCACATTCTATAGGTGAATGTTTTTCTCTTTTTTTTTAAGTAAGAAGAATGAAAGAATATGTAATGCTATTTCTATATGATTCTAGTATGACTTCTCCACGACACTGTTTTTCTAAGCACAAAAAAAGACTCCCTCAAATAATTCTTAATTGCTTGACTTTTTTTTTTTTTTTTTTTTGAGATGGAATCTCTCTGTCACCCAGGCTGGAGTGCAGTGGCATGATCTTGGCTCATTGCAACCTCTACCTCCCGGGTTCAAACAATTCTCTTGTCTCAGCCTCCCGAGTAGCTGCGACTACAAGTGCGCACCACCATGCCTGGCTAATTTTTGTATTTTTTAGTAGAGATGGGGTTTCACCATATTGGCCAGGCTGGTCTCGAACTCCTGACCTTGTGATCCGCCTGCCTTGGCCTCCCAAAGTGCTAGGATTACAGGTGTGAACCACCGCACCCAGACTAATGTTTCAACATTAGTCTGCATTAAAATGTGTATGATTACTCACTAACTACTTAAGAAACTGTCACTTTTCTAGGACCTTAGCCAGGTTTGTGTTGCGTTGCGCTTGTAAATGTTTAACAACTAGCTCTTTGTTTAAAAACAAAAAAATCCCCCAAAACAAACAAACAAACAAAAAACCCAAAAGGCTGATGTGTACCATTTGCCAATTCCTGTGGTGTAAATAGGAGTTAGTGGGGATTGGGACCTCAACATTTGAATTTTGGAGGGGGATACATTTCAGCCCATAACACGCAGGCAGTGACAACCACCTTGTGATTGTCACCTGGTCTATAGCAGTTGCAAGATGCATCTCAATTTCAGAAATCTTAAACAGGGAAATGATGTGCCTCTTAGTATTGATAAGCTGTGGTCACATGTCAGCTGGAATTATTTGGTTGAAGATTAGGGATCACAATGTGGTTATGGATTTGGGTTATCAGTTTGAGATTCAGGACTGAAACAGTCCCAACATTGTCAATTTCAAGCTACCAGTGTGACGTCACTGAATGCAGAGTAGGAAAGTGATGTGTGCTGTTGGCTTTCAGGAGCTGGTACGAGCTGGCTGCAGCACATCACTGCCTATTCCAGACATGTGTTTCTTTTTTGAGAAAGGATCCTGGTATTATTCCCCCTCTGAACATTTAAATACAACTTTGAATTATTTTCTCTACACATTTTCTTCTAGAATTGATATTAACTCCCAAGAGAATAGTTTCTATGCAGCAGTTTCCTCATAACTTCTGACCTTGTTAGGAGTGGACAGATGGCAACACCAGACATTGAGAACATTGTCTGTTCCCAGAGAGGGTCATGGAGAACTGAAAATGAGTGAGCTGAAATTGGCTGAAGGCTCTTGTGGGTCCTGTGCATGATTGCCTTTGCTATGGTTTGAGTTATTCTGTTTTCTGTGTGACTCTCTCACTTCAGAGAAAACTGCCAGCTGACTTCAAGGTTCTGGAAGCCTCAGATCTGGTGTATACAGTCAGCGCCCAGGAGTACTGGCAGCAGGCTCTCCTCACCGAGGAGGAAACGGGTAATTTATGTTTTTTAAATCTCCATCACTAAAATTCTCAAGATCAAGCTTGGCACTTCGAATTTCCTGCTCTAGAACTTTTTGTGCCACACAAACAATTTTTTTCCAGCTTGCCATGGTTTCAATACCAATTGCAAATAAGGATATTTTCCTCTCTGCATTGTTGTGGTGCCAGAGACCACAGTTCCTCTTGCCTCCAAATCTTACCATGGGTTGGTAAAGGTCAAATAATTGGGTTGCTGGGCGCAGTGGCTCACACCTGTAATTCCAGCACTTTGGGAGGCCAAAGTGGGTAGATCACCTGAGGTCAGGAGTATGAGAACAGCCTGACAAACATGGTGAAACCCCATCTCTACTAAAAATACAAAATTTGCCAGGCGTGGTGGTGCATGCCTATAATCTCAGCTACTTGGGAGGCTGAGGCAGGAGAATTGCTTGAACCCGGGAGGCAGAGGTTGCAGTGAGCCAAGATTGCGCCATTGCACTACAGCCTGGACAACAAGAGTGAAACTCTGTCTCAAAACACAACAACAAAAAAAGCCAGGCATGTTGGTTCATGCCTGTAATCCCAGCACTTTGGGAGGTCGAGGTGGGTTGATCCCCTAAGGTCAGGAGTTCAAGACCAACCTGACCAATATGGTGAAACCCCATTTCTACTAAAAAATACAAAAATTAGCCGGACGTGGTGGTGCCAGCTACTCGGGAGGCTAAGGCAGGAGAATTGCTTGAATCTGGGAGGTGGAGGTTGCAGTGAGCCGAGATCGCACCATTGAACTCCAGTCTGGGTGACAACAGTGGAACTTCGTCTCAAAAAAAAAAAAAAAAATTGGGTTATCATTTCCTTAGTCCCCTCCCACCCAGCTTCAGGCATTAGAATTGTTTCCTGAGTGACTATTGTATATTTTGTCTGTGAGGCAGTGAAAGCATAAGGCATGGCTCTTTCTTCACAGAACTTGAAATCTGGATGAGGAGCTAATACTAACCCAAATGCAAAAACTGAAGTAAAAATAAGGTTTAGTTGTTGCTGACCATGAGTGCAATAGAAGCCCGGGGAACCTAGAGCTCTGCGTGCGCTAGATACTCAGTGGAAAGTGGGTGGGCAGGCAGGGTCAGGACTGCATTCTCATCTGAACTTGATATGGCTTGCAACGTGCATGCATTTGACTAGACGTGTAGGTATGTGAATGGAGGTTAAGGAGCAGAAGGTGTGAAATGTTCCCAGAGATGGGGGAACTGCTTGATTAAGGGTATAAAAGACAAAATTAGCATGGTATATGGAAGGAATAATATAGAGAAATTGACACATATGGGAATAATGGGGAAAAGGGTAGAGTGGCATCTATTATCTTCTGACAGACAATGGGTTAGGATGTGACAGGAATCCTGTCACATCTAGAATCCTGCATGTCAGAGGTTCTTGTTCCTTTCTACAGCAAGCATGGGCTATTCTGGTGTTAAGGGTTAGTTGATATAGGTAGAAAAGTCTAGGGGGACTGAAGGGCTGGGACTCTAGAATTCCGAGCACTTTGGTTTACCTCTGCAGGTGATAGCTGTTCAAAGGAAAGAGCCCATGTTTTCAACTAGCCTGTACTTTTCCATGTAGTTTTTTTAATACGGCTAAATAAAATGAATATGCAGTATTGCTGATCTACCATTCATCACTGTCATTGATCCTAGACATGGGAAAAGTGCTTTTCAGAAAGGTTGGTTCTGTAGGCATCCAGCCCACTTGGGATCTCAACTCTACTTCATTCATATCGCCACCTTGGTCTTTCAACTTTTATGAATTCTATTGACCACAAACTTCTGGCCTTTAACAATTATTTGTGCTGCCTGTGAATTCCAGAAATCCCTAAGTTAAGAGAATACATCAGGAAGAGCCTCTTGGACAAGAAGAAGAGGACAGTGACCAAGTATGTGACTGAAGCCTTTGGCCTGTTGCTCCTCACAGATAGTTTCAACTCCACGCAAAACCTGCCGGTATGGAAGACACTGGGTTTTCATATTCTCCCCCTTCCTGGGCAGGACATTTCCTTTTACCAAGTTAGAAAATTAACTTATGATATTTTTTCTTTTCATATTAAAGGAAGATATGAAGTTCAGTGAGTCTAAAAGGACAAAAAGATAATTAGAGGGTTAAAATCATAACATTTGGGTAAAAGAGAAAGGAGTAATATTTTACCTGGGACAGATGGGCTGAGAGAAAAATGTCAAAATAGTAGCTATTTTCCAACTCTCCTGAGACTCGAACAAGGTGGAATGTGTTTAAGCGATGGCAGGCGTGATTTGGCTTGCTTCTAGTGGAATATAGACACTTCTTGGTTACCCTGGAGAGGCGTGTTTATGTATACAGTCCAAAAATATTTCATCTGTCTCTGGTGCTGTCAGAATCTCAAGCTCAGAAGAGCACAGGAAAATAATGTGAGAGGATGGAAGCTTGGAGGGAATTTCAGTAGAGTTTCAATAGTTATCTTCACTGGCAAGAATGCAGGCCTTCTGAAAAAGTAGTTAAAATTACTTTTCTCATAGTAATTGACATATTTATCTCTTTCATGGATGGTTTCTTTTTAACCCTAAAATAAGAGGGATAAGCTGCTAGATTAGAGACTTGGGGGGTTTTGGAGAAAAACCTCTTACTGTCGTCAGTCACCAGCTGTGTTGTCTCCTTATGAGAGATAGAATATGCAAAGACAATTGCTGGACCGTGTGTAAAAATAGATCTCTGACCACAACCTGCAGCCACCTGCCCAGAAACCAACCTCTTATCTACAATAAACAGCCCAGGAAGCCTTCTGTCTGTAAGTCAGACTTCAGGAAGTCAAACTGCTATCTCTAATAACAACCCAGGAGGCTAAAGAATAACTCTGTAACAATCAGCACCAGATGGCCGGGACTTGATGAATAACTTCCCTAATCTCTGTTCCTGCTTCCAACTTACTACCAACCGGGAAAACCAAATGTCTATGCCTAACCAACCACATTGGCTGCTCTGCTTTTAGCTAGCCCGTCTTTAGTGTCCCCAGGCCAACAGCCTCCAATCAGGGCACCCCGAAGCCTTTCCTTTTGTCCACCATGAAGCTTTTCCACTCCCCTGCCTGCTTTTGAGTCTCTGCTGAACTCAAATGATGGTGGCTGACTCTGTTGCTGTAGTGAGCTGTGAATAAACAGCCTCTGCTTGTCCTCATTTGGTTGGTTTTCACTTATTTGCACACTTGCCTTCACCCGTCAGATGTGCACAGTCAAGATGTTTGTCTTCTTGTTATGCCGGAACAGGGAAGGGGTAGAGGAAGTACATGAATAGGGCTTTGTGAGTGGTCGAGGAGCTGGTCCTCACGATGGGGAAGGTGGGCCAATGATGACCCTGTGGGGTGGCAAGGGGAGGCAGACACTCGAGACCTGACTTCCATGTGGGAGTAAGCAGTGCCACCTGGAGCCTTTGGTTGTGTATAAATGCTTGTAAAAAGTCTTTAGTGGTGTGGGGTCTTTCTTCTGCATAAAAGGGGCATATAGAGCAAAATTCAATCTTTTTTAAATCTATTTCTTATGACTTGTTTTGGTCTAGTTGTACAAGACAAAAACAAAACAAAACTCTTGGAATCTGAGATTTTCTTATTTGACTTTGTCCGCTGAAATCGTTGGGGAAGGGTTTGACCTTCCAATTTCCCAAAACAGTTCTTCAGGGTGAAATTTGTCTCTTTGCCCAGCACAAGATTGCTTTTGGAAGTGCTGATGGAAAATGAATCCGATGTGGGCTGTGTGAGGTTGGTGTATTTTACAAACATTAGGACAAGGCATTTTGCCATCAAGGCCAGAAGTGCCCACCCCACGTGTTTTCTTTGCTAATATGGAAGTGCAGAGCTCAGAGGGGCTCAGATTCACCCTTGCAGCCAGACTCCAAGCAGTGGAAAACATAGAGGAGAAGGGGGCTGACTGGCAATTCTGCAATAGCTATGTTAGGGAGTTGCTGGCAACTTTGCTCAAAATTCCTTGGCCTTAGGTATTGGTCTTACTCTTAGCTCTTTGATAGAAAGTTGGAAGGCAAGAATTTGTCAGTTCCTTTGAATTCTGAAAAATCAAATCTAAATATGTGTGTGATTGATTTTTTTTCAAAGATGATCACTGAAACCAAAAATTTGGAGTTTGAGTAGTGATTTTAAATGAGCAATCATTATTTTTAAGAATCCATAGGAAGTTGAGGACCACATCTCAATGTCAAATGAAGTCTGCGTTTATTCATACTAAGTGCCAGCTTCTTTGTTTCTTATTGTTCTTTTATTCTCCGCTCTTCCCTTTCTTATCATTCTTTTGTTTATCCAACAAGGATTTATCGAGAGTGAGGCATTGTGAGAATCATGCCCATAGCTTTTCTTTCCATGACTTCTTTCTTCTTTCATTTTCATCACTGGTGACACCACAAATTCAAAAGAATCTAAAGGATGTCCTGGGAAAAATGCTTTGTAGAATTCTTAATGGTGAAAATGAGGGAAATTCCCGGGGTGCACCGAATGCTAAACAGTCTCCATAAACTCTAAAACGTATTTACTCCAAGATTCACAGCATTTTAGAGTGTGAGGTTGTTTTCAAGATCATTCAACCCAATTCACTTAAAGATGATACCGTTGAGAATCAGAGAAGTTAAATCACCTGTATCAGGTCACACATCGATTCGAGAGCTATTTCTGTCTATTTGAAATAGAATTTAAAAGCCCAAATTATCTCGCAGTTTCTCTGGGCCACTCGTTCAATCCACAAATGTCTATGGGTTTTGCTCTCTGTGCTGTGCCCTGGAATAAAAGAGCATGACTAAGAGCCTGCTCCTTTGGCAAGTTCCTATCCAGGGAAGAAGACACAGGGAACGAGAGAGATGTCATACGGCAGGAGGCAGGAGACGTGCTGTGGTGCAGGACTGTGGGAAGTGCAGTGGGAGCACAGGACAGAGAGCCCCACCTCTACCTGGGGACTCAGGGAAGGTGCCTCATGGGAAGGACCTTTGAGCTTTGTCTCCGAAGTAACAAAGATGAAATCAGCAAGGCCCAGAGGGCACAAGATTGACAGCATGTTTGGGGAATAGCAGCAAGTCCAGGGGTAGCTACTTGGCAGGATGTGTCAGGCAAACAGAGATGGTGGTGCTAGAGAGGTGGAGTGAGTTCTGGCTATGAGGTGCCTTAAAGGCCAAGCTGGGGAGTGTGGCTCTGACTGCTGCAGGCACTGTGGGGCCCACCAAGGTTCCCATGTGGGGAACAACACTATGAGTTCCCAGTCTGGAACTGTATTAGTCCATTTTCATGCTGCTGATAAAGACATACCCGAGACTGGGTAATTTATAGAGAAAATGAGGTTTAATGGACTCACAGTTCCATGTGCCTGGGGAGGCCTCACAATCATTGTGGGCAAAAGGCATGTCTTACATGGTGGCATGTTTTATAAGGTTTTATAAGGTTTCTCCTTATAAAACCATCAGATCTCATGAGACTCATTCACTACCATGAGAACAGTATGGGGAAAGCCAATCCCATGATTCAATTATCTCCCACCAGGTCCCCCCCACAACACGTGGAATTATGGGAGCTACAATTCAAAATGATA